>NT_187660.1:1504896-1817598 GCF_000001405.40 Homo sapiens | reverse complement strand
TATTTGGAAGAAGAAAGACCTGTTACGCTTTTCTGTGTGTGTTGTAGTTCTGACTGTGTCAGCCCCAGCAGCTTAAAGCCCTTCCCTTTCTTCCCCACGACCTCGCTGTCCTGGCTCTGTGGCCACCAGCAGACCTGTCTTGTGCAGCTCCTGTGTGCTCTCTGTGCCCAGCCACAGTGGCCTCTTGCAGTCACCTGAACTCTGCCTGTTCCCTCCCATTTTAAGCATGGGTGCCTTTTCTTCCCTGTCTAGAAAACTTCTCATTCCTTTTTTCTAAGACAAGGGTGTGAGATTCTGCCCTTAAGCTGACTCCGAGGTCCCAGTAATGCCTTCTTATGCTTCACGTCTCACCCAGCAGTCCCTTTCAGAGAAGGCTCTCCCCGCCTCTCCTCTGGATGGCTGGCCCCTCTCCCAGCCCGCATTCCTGCCCTGTGTCCTCCCCGCTTGCTCTTGTCTTCTGTTACATGCTCCTCACTATCTGAAATTAAATTCTGTTTCTCATCTGTCTTCCCTCCTGGAACATGGGCTCCCTCAGGCTGAGGCTGAGGCCTTGGTAGCTGTGTCCATCCTGTTTCTAGGACCGTGCTTGGCCTACGGCAGGTGCTCAGTACCGATTTACGGAAGGAGCGAGTGAACAGATGAGATGAGTTGAAATTTCCGCAGTGTGCTCCGGGTCAGTTGTTGGGTCCTCCAAGGTGGGTCTGGTGAGTCTTTCTCAGCTTGCTGTGCCTTTTATTAACCATCCACATTATGTCCAAATGCCTGACATAGGGAGGGAGTGATGCTTTCTGGTCAGTGCAGACCCGGTGAATACCTGGAGGTTTGTGATCCCCAGGCCCCGAGCCATAGCGATGACAAAGAACTGCTCTGGCTCTGTCATTTTGAGAAGGCAGCTGGATTCTTCTAATGGGCGTTGTTATTTTAAAAAATATTTCCCTCATTTCCACAGATAGAGTCTATTTCTAGTTCACTAGCCACTAGGACATCATCTAGGATAAATACTCAAGGCTATAGGACTAACTTGTCTGCTTTTCATTTATTTTAAGATAGCTTTTTGATGCTTTTGTTTAGAGAAAGCTTTTTAAAATTCCAGTGGTATTAACTGTGTGATCCCTGGTTGGTGCAGATCACACTGTTTAGGGAAGATCCCATGTGCCGTTGGTAGTGTTACATCACTTTATCAGTGCTTGAGAATAGGATGATGGGACAGTTGTCAGTTACATGATCAATTATGCTGTCAAGCAATTATAGATGGCAGGCAAAGTGTTAGGTTTTCGTCTCCTGACATGGTATAGCACTCTTTCTATTTCTATTCAGATAGCCAGATCACCATAAAGTTAGCGGTATGTCTACCTGTCTCGGCGTGTTTATGTTGTGAACTTGCCAGTTTTCCTTCTCTCTTGTGTGATGCCTAAGAAGAGTTTCACTGAGCCCTGGTGGGCGAAAACAGAGTTGTCAGGTTTGTGTGTTGTTTTTGAATGCCTTCCACTGGCCTCTTTCTTTCTTTCTTTTTGATACATTATATTTGTACATATTTATGGGGTATAATCATACAGTTGGATAGAAAAAAATAAGTTCTAATGTTTGATAGCAGAGTAGAGTGGCTATAGTTAACAACAGTGTGTATAATACATTTCAACATAGCGAGAAGAGAGTTGAAACGTACCTAACACATAGAAATGGGAAACACTAGGGTGATGGATACCCTGGCTTGATTATTATACATTCAATACATTGGCCTGTCTTTGAGGTCTACTTTCTTTCATTTAAACTGGAAGACTGTGGATAAGGGTCCCAGAAAGGCTGGGGTGTCAGGAGTATGGGGTGCAGGGAGGCAATGGGCTGTGATATGACCCAAACTGAGTGATCCCCATACATCCTGGGTGCACGGGAGCCACTGGCCTGCCTGGGCCACATCTGCCTAGACTTTGTCTCTTGGGAGGCAGTGAGGCAAACAGAGTGAGAGAGCTGTTGGTGGCCACGTTTGCAGCTAGGTGGGCGTCCTGGGCAGCCCTGGCATGGTGTGAGGGCTCGCCAGGGCTTGGCTTGGAGTGTCATCCGTCATCTGTCATTTGTCACTCAGGGGATTTTGGCTGCTCTGGGCAGGATGTGGGGCACTGTTCTTGGCTCTGTAGCCTTCAGCCTTTCCTTTTGCCCTCCTAGCGATTCTGGGCCCTCTCCAACATTGTTTAGGTAAATGCCATTTTCCACCTTGCTCTGCCAACTTGATTCTGTTGCTTGGAAGTCAAAACCCAGAACAAGGCAGGATTGGAATAAGGAGTGGAGGCAGGTGGTAGACCCTCCAGGAAATAGGGGCAGGGCATGTGGGACTGGTAATTTGCCCAGTTTAAGGGCAGAGCTAGTGAAAGTACAGCCAGGGTTGAGTGGTGGACTCCTCACCGTCCATGGCAGGCAGTGGGGAATTGGATATTCAGGGGCTCCTGCTGATTAGCTTAAAGAAAAAGAATGCAGAGCCCAGATTCTGAAACTTTCAGCTCCTGGCATGTCGTGAACTTGCAGTGATTGCACTGAAACAAAAGGCGGGGGCAACAAGAAAGGAGCAGAGGGTTTCAGAGTGTGATCCTTCTGGTTGCTGAGCACACCAGCAGTTGTGTTCATGGCCTTGCCTGGTTCCCGAACACTGTCGTTGATTTAGGAAGCATGAGGTCTGACACTCTGGTGGATGCTGGTGGGGGTGGGGGGTGGGGAGAGGATTGGGAAGACTCAGGATCCCTCTCAACTGTGCTTGCCAACCCAGGCAGGCTGGGACCTCTGTCGGGTGCAGCGTTTCCACCCGGCCCCAGTATCTCACCTGGGAAGGCAGTCTCCCGATGTTTCTCCCTCACCACCCCTTGTCATATCCAGACTGAAGTCAGTCCCCAGCAGGGAAGGTGCAGCTGCCATTATAAAGTCCACAGGGAGAAAGCTTACATGCCACGTGCCACTTGAACTGAATTTTTGCTAATATACATGGATGCAAACTTGGCTAATATATATGCTGGTGGAATCTGAGGGTGTTAGACCAAGGAGGAACAAACACAATTTTAGATTACACAAAAATTATCAATGTAGGTGCACCTACTCCAGAAAGATTTTTTTTTTTTGAGATAGAGTCTCGCTTTGTCACCCAGGCTGGAGTGCAGTGGCATGATCTCGGCTCACTGCAAGTTCTGCCTCCCAGGTTCACACCATTCTCCTGCCTCAGCCTCCTGAGTAGCTGGGACTACAGGCGCCCGCCACCACGCCCCTACCTTTTTTTTTTTTTTTTTTTTTTGTATTTTTAGTAGAGACGGGGTTTCACCGTGTTAGCCAGGATGGTCTCGATCTCCTGATCTTGTGATCTGCCCGCCTCAGCCTCCCAAAGTGCTGGGATTACAAGCGTGAGCCACTGCGCCCGGCCCAAAAGATCTTAAACCCCACACTGATCTATAAACCTTTGATTATCTTTTCATGTTGTCCTCTCTTCATGCCCTCACTTCCTTCTTTACCTAACTTATAATAATTTCCGAGTTCAGCCATTATGATCAGTCATCGTTTGCCTCTTCAGCTCTCTGGCTCTTCTCTCCTTCCTTATACTCTGTTGGCAAAACTCCAGCCCTGCTGAATTGAACTCTCTGCTTCCTCCAGGCCTGTAGCTGCCCAGCTGAACATGACTGGGACAAAACACAAGGCCGTGCTAAGTGACCTAACCAACCACATGCATAGTCACCCACCTCTTCTTTCCTCCCTCTCCCTCATTCAAGCATGTGGCAGACCCTATCCCAGACACTGCTGTGGGATGTAGCAAGGTTGGCAAAAATCCCCACCCTCCTACAGCGTGCATTCTAGTGGACAATGAACATGCCACATAAATAAAACGTATTGTTAAATCCAGGAGAAGGGGTGTGAAGGGTCAGTGGAAAGGGGTTGGGAAGGCCCCTTTGTAGAAAGGATGGCTAGGGAAGCCCTCATTAATGAGGTGATTTTTCAGTAGCGACCTGCAGAAGTGTGGAGAAGGGCAGAGCAAGTGCAGAGGCCAAGGCAGGAACCGCCTTGGGTTGTTCACAGGACAGCAAGGAGGCCAGCGGAGTGCAGTGAGGAAGAGGGGGAGCAATGGGAAACAATGATGGGACAGGGATCCCCATCAGTAGGGGCCTCCTGAGTCACTGGGAGGACGGTGGCTTTTTCTCTGAATGAAACAGGAGCTACTGGAGGGTTTTGAGCAGAGGAGTGACCTGACCTAACTTATTCTAACCGGATCATCCTGGCAGCTCTGTAGAGTGCTTTGAAGGAGGGCCAGGGTCGCAAAGTGGAGATTCCAGTTAGGAGGCTAATGCAATGATCCAGAGAGAGATGGTGGGGCCCTGGGCCAGGCCAAGGGTTTGAGGAGAAATAGTTGGATTTGCATGTACTGTATATAGGGTGCGTGGCTGGTCCTCAGCTTTACAGTTTAATCTCTACATTAGACTAAAAGAAGAATCAGGAGGAAACCAAAGGGGAAGTGGACCTCTCCTGAGGTCCTGCACTTGTTCTAGAATTTGTGGTGTGTGCTTTTGGTTGTATATATAAGGATAACGGCATGCTGTGTGGAGCAGCAATTTGTGTTTGTGTCTGGCGGTGTGAGTTTGGGATGAAGGAAGGATGTTGGTGCTGGCTGGTTAAAGCGGTGCGTGGACTCTAGTGGGCATTGGCTCCTTTAGGACCCTTTCTCTGCTTGGTAGTCCCCTCCCTTGGGACCAGTTGATCGAGTTGCCTTCAATCGCAATTACTGACATCATCACTCAAAGTGGCTTAAGCAGAAGGAAAATTTATTAATTTACATAGTATACATATATTATGTTACGTATACATAAAAAGGTCCAGAAGAAAGAAGGTGTATTAGCTTGCTAGAGCTGCCCAGATTAGGTGGCTTAAAACAATAGAAATTTCTTCTCTCACAGTTCTGGAGGCTGGAAGTCCAACCTGAAGGCATCAACAGAGCTGTGCTCCCTCTGAGACTCCAGGTAGATAGATCCCTTCCTCCCCTTTCTCCTGGCTTCTGGTGGTGGCCAGCAGTCCTTGGGCATTCCTTGGTTTGCAGTCTCAGCAGTCCAGTCTCTGCCTCCGTCTTCACCTGGGGCTCTCCTGTGTGTCTTCACCACATCCTTCTATGGTATGTGTGTCCAAATTTCCCCTTTTTATAAGGACACCAGTCATCTTGGATTAGAGCCCACCCAATGACCTCATCTTAATTTGGTTAAATCTGCAAAGACCTTCTTTCCAAATAAACTCCGATTCTGAGATTTTGAGGTACTAGGGTTTAGAACTTTGACTTTTTTTTTTTTTTTTTTGAGACAGAGTCAGGCTCTGTTGCTCAGGCTGGAGTGCAGTGGCACTATCTCAGCTCACTGCAACCTCTGCCTCCCGGGTTCAAGCGATTCTTCTGCCTCAGCCTCCTGAGTAGGTGGGATTACAGGCGTATGTCACCATGCCTGGCTAATTCTTTGATGTATCTTTTATGGGGGACAGAATTCAACCATAACAGGTTTCCAGTTGGTTAATGTAGTGCCTCGGTGACATTATCAAGTACCCATGTGTTTTCCATCTTTCTGCTCTGCTGGTAAGAGTATCTTAATTTAACCTGAATCCAGCTAGAAGGCTGCTGTAGTTTTAGGCACCAGAATCAGAGGACACATGTACACAAAAGAAGAGGGGTTACTGATCCCTGTGTCTCTTCTTAGTGGCAAGGAAATCTTTCCTAGAAGCCCCCCACCAGACTTCCCCTCAGTGGTCAGACCTAAGTCATGTGATCATCCCTGAACCAATCACTGGCAAGGGGAATTAGCTAATACTGACCTTTTCTTAGAGTGGGAGGTAGATTCACTTGACCTTGAGTCACATGGGAAAAGGATCCTCTAACAAAGCTGGGGATCTGTCCGAGGGAAGAGGGAACGTGGCTGTTGGGCAGGCTCCTCTGCCGCCTGGGTCTGCCTCCCTGCCTTTGGGGAATGTTTTCCGACTAGCCCCTGTGTCTTGGATTTCCACTCTTCTTCCTGGGATTGTAGCCAGTGCTTCAAGCAGTGGTTCTCACACTGTCAGATTTTGTAGTTAAAATGAAAGTTCGAGAATATTTGGGGTTCTGGTGAGCCGAGATCACACCACTGCACTCCAGCCTGGCCGATAGAGTGAGACTCTGTCTCAAAAAAAAAAAAGAATATTTGGGGTTCAGACATAAAGTTGCTAACTTTTTGGGTAGTTTGTTTTTTGAGACAGGGTCTTGCTTTATCACCCAGGCTAGAGTGCAGTGACACAATCACAGCTCATTGCATCCCGCACTCCCAGGCTCGAGTGATCTTCCTGCTTCAGCTTCCCGACTAGCTGGGACTATAGGTGCTTATCACCATACCTGGCTAATTAAAAAAATTTTTTTTTCTTTGTAGAGACAGGGTCTCACCAGGCTAGTCTTGAACTCCTGGGCTCAAGACTCAAGCAGTCCCCCTGCCTTAGCCTCCCAAAGTTGTGGGATTACAGGCATGAGCCACCATGCCTGGCCTTACTGTTTAGTTTTTATTCACACTGAAACTATTGTCTTTTATCACACCATTTTATTATACAAAGAAAAAGATTTTATTAGGAGAATGTTATAAGGGACACTCTCAGGTTCAACTTTAGCTTTTTACTTTATTTTTATTATTATTTTTTTAGAGATGATGTCTTGCTCTGTTGCCCAGGCTGGAGTGCAAACGGCACAGTCATAGCCCACTGCAGCCTTGAACTCCTGGGCTCAAGCGATTGTGCTGCCTCAGCCTCCTGAGCAGCTAGGACTACAGGCTTGCCCCACCATGCCCGGCTAGTTTTTAAGTTCTTTTTTTTATAGAGACGAGGTCTCCCTGTGTTGCCCAGGCTGTCTCAAACTCCTGATCTCAAGTGATCTTCCTGCATCAGCCTCCCAAAATGCTGGGATTACAGGCGTGAGCCACCATGCCTGGCCCCAGCTTTATTTTTAAGGATTGTTCTTCACATGTAATAAATTATCTCTTGACTTTTGAAAAGTATACAGTATCAGTCATTCACTTATCAGTCCATCAGTCTACAGATACTTATTGGTGCCTTTTTTTGTGCTGGGAACTATTCTTATTTTTGTCTTGGCCAGTGAAAACTTTGTGCCTGGCCACATTGTGGTAACAAGGTCTCAGGAATTGGCACCACTGAGGTAGAATTCAGGGTCCATTCCATGATGCCTCGCCCTGGGCTTGCCACGTTTTTATAGGGTGCCTCTGTGGACCGAGAGTACCAGAGGCTTAGCTCATCTCCTACTTAACAATAAGTAAGCCCTCATGCCCTCAAAAGAATTTTTGGAATTTACTCTTATCTTGGCATTTCATTGCTGAAAGAGATTAAGTATTTTACAAACTTGGAGACTAATCTGGGTCATTTATAGACATTTAAGAAGTATACTTGTTTGCCCTGTTGCTAAAGCAACCCTTTTTTTCATGGTGAAATAAAACCTGTTAAATATTCTTCAGAACCAGGAGGGGTATAAATAAAGTAGCTAAGTACAAAACAGTATAATATCCTGGAAGCCCAGTTTTCCATTTTGGGTGTTGGAATTCATGAGCCACATTTATAAAGTCTAAATCCAATATCTCCACGGAACCCTTTTTAGTGTGTATTTCTCCATCCTCTCAGACACTCCAGCGAGAAAATAGATTCCCAGTAGTTAGGGTTGTAAAAGCTGGAGCCACAGTTTGGTTTGGTTGGCTCCCACGTTCCGGTGAGCTCCTGATTAGGAAGGAGAGCAAGGCTACATATCCTTCTTTTTTTTTTTTTTTTTTTTTTTTTTTTTTGGCCAAGGGGCACTTGCAGATGTGACCCACTGGTGTGGTGTTAGGTTGGACATATGACACTCTTTCTGTGGGTCACATATCGTTTCTATAGGCAGCAGCACATATTGCCACCTAATGCGTCTCCATACGTTCCTGAGCCGTGGGGAGTCCTGGGGCCCTGGCATTTCACAATGGAATAGATGTAAAGCAAACCCAAACTCTGTCCTGTTTCTCATTGTTTGGGCCTACTGGGGTCTGCTGTTGGCTCATTGCAGGCATGAGTGGTATTTCCCTTCTTCCTTTCCAAGAGAGTGTTGAATCTTGGTCTGCCAGAATGGGAGGTTCCCTTTCTACAGGGGAGAAATGCCTGACTTCTGTTTTTTACTGATGTCAGACTGGCTCGTCTAAGAAGGGGAAATTCCAAGGTGAGGATGGCCACAGATGTCTGCAGACAGAACACTTTCCAGGGTCAGGGCCTCTACAATGGACCTTATGGGCAGGGAGCTCAATGGTGATCATCATGGACCGTTTGCCAAATTTTCTGGGTTGCATATACCACTTAAGACTCTTGTACTCCATGAAGAAATGCTATTTCTCACCAGGTGAACAGGTGGAAGCTTAGAAATATTTAACTTTGGGGAAAAATAGAGAGGTATTTCTTATCCCCGAGTCTAGTCCAGCTGCTGTGTCCCGGTCACTTTTCAAGCTATTGCATTCCATCCCCCTTCATCCCACCATTGCAAGTGCAGCATCTGCTTTGCAGAGAGCCTCTTTCTGGTCATAAGTCTACTCCAACCAAAATGCGTAATTTTTATGAAACAAGAAAAATATAGACAGGGTGACTGGACATTTTCTGGAGAGTTGAAGTTGTGTGTGCTGTGGCTTTTGGAGTGGATAGACATAGCGCACTGCAAGAGAATGGAGGCCTCGTCAGACCTGCTGGGCGGGTGCTTCCTGGCTGGGCAGCCTTTAGGGGAGTTGCCAGGCCTCAGTTTCCCCAACTGTAGAGTGCTGCTACGAAGCCTATCCTGTGGGAAATCCAGAGTCAGAGAAAATTGAATAAAGTAGCCTGTGTACAATCCCTGGATTGGAACACACACTGAGCACATGGCCATTTCCCCTTCCTCCTGTAGAGGCTCCAGCACATGGAGGGTCTGCTGTCTTTGGGTGGTAAATATGGAAGTGAGTTTCAGTTGGATAGTTGAGAGTCTTGGCTGTAATCTTTGTCTTGCTATTTAATGCTTTATATTTATTTTCTGTGAAATGCCATTGAAATTTGTATGTTTCATAAATATTTCAACCTGAGAATTGCCTTTAATTCTTGGGGAGATCTCAGGTTTTGTAGATTTTAAAATCTAGCAGAAATCAATTCTATTGGCAGTCTCTCCTTTTTGTGTTAAAATCAGATAAATCCACATTTGCTAGTATAGCATATACAGAAAGTTTTAAAAATTGGAACTTAGACTTAAGCATTGGTTTAGCTAATTTAACTTGGACAACCCATTTATCAAAGTGAGATTTTCATTTTTGGTTAGAAGATGATGCTGTTTGGCACATCAGTGACCAGGAGTCAGTCTGAGTTGCAGCTTCTCTTGGTAGGTGCTAGAACAGCTGGTGTTGTAATTACTCAAACAAGTGTGTGGGATGCACCAGTTTTGTGTCTGCCAGTAGGAAGGTATGATCATGTTTTATGCTTATGATTTTGAATAAATGCCTAAATCAAGTGCATTTTTAAATAGTGTATCTCGGCCATGAATGCTACAAATCAGAAAACACTGTCTCTTTGTATAACTACATTTTAATCAGATTTTAATGCAGAATATGTGTAAAATATATTTCAAAGTTTTAGTAAACACAGATCACTTCCTGAGCTGTTTGTTTACCAGTGATGTTTTCTGAATAAAATATTTTCTCTAGGTCACAGTTTAGCGAAATAAATTCAAAATTGCTCTGTGTAATATAGGGTAAAAATTAGAATCTGAGGTATACAAAATTTCAGTTCGATAGGAGGAGGAAGTTAAAGAGATCTCTTGTACAACATGGTGACTATAGTTAATAGCATTGTCTTCTTGAAAATTGCTGAGTAGATTTTAAGTGATCTTACTACAAAAAATAAGGATGCAAAGTAATGCATATGCTAATTAGCTCAGTTTAGCCTTTCAAGCTGGGTGCGGTGGCTCACGCCTGTAATCCTAGCCCTTTGGGAAGTAGGGGCAGGTGGATCACCTGAGGTCAGGGGTTTGAGACCAGCCTGGCCAACATAGTGAAACCCCATCTCTACTAAAAATACAAAAATTAGCCAGGCGTGGTGGTGGGTGCCTTTAGTCCCAGCTTCTCCCCAGGCTGAGGCAGGAGAATCGCTTGAACCTGGGAGGCAGAGGTTGCAGTGAGCCGAGATTGCGCCACTGCGCTGCAGTCTAGGTGACAGAGTGAGACCCTGCCTCAGAAACAATTTTGCTTTCCATAATGTTTACATATTTCAAACAACATGTTGAAGTACGTGCAGTTGTACAAATTGTACAATAAATATGTACAATTTTTATTTGTCAATTAAAAATGAATTAAAAAATTTAAAAATGGGTTTCCCACAGCCTTTTGCCTTCCGTCCCCATGGTTGGCCCTCCCCAGGGCTGCCCTTCATGTTCTGCCCAGTTTCAGACCTCAGACAGGAGTTGGCCTGTCTTCTAGGCCCTTGTCAGAGTGGGACCTGGCCCTCCCCCACACCAGTCCACTTTCAGTTACCAAAAGCTTCTAATGTGAAATCCTGAAAGATGTTAAATGATGATGGCTAGTTTGAAAGTCTGGCGTGTCTGCAAAGAGCCCTGGTAAAATGAATAGTAGGCATTCAGATTTGTGTTTCTTGAATGAATCAGTAGTGGGTAAAATTGCTGGCTTCCCGTCCCCTACCTCCCTGTCTTCTCAAGGCGAGACTGTCACGCATAAAGGATTTGCAAAGTCAGGAGAAATCAAGAGCCCTCGTAGGTAAGAAGAAAACTGGGGGGAAGGTAGAACACAGCCTACCTGAGGCTGAGAACAGTGCACAGGGGAGCCCACGACTCCATGTGTGGCCAGAGCCACTGAGGGGAAGAATGCAGGCAGGTGCCTCCCTCTTCTCTCCGTCATTGGTCCCAGACTTGGGTGCGGCACCGTTTTGGGATGGGTCTGCATTTGAACCTTGAAATGCTAACTGGATCGAGATCAAGGACAGGGCTCAAAGGAAAGGCTACAGGAGGTGTCTGGCCAGAGTCTGCTCTGGGCCTGTGGTTGGAACTCTGTCAGATCCACAGCCCTTTGTCATGATGTTTTTGCTATATCCCCAAATGGAAGTCATAGAAAGTGCACCGTATTCTCACTTACGATTCCAAAAAGCATTACAAAGCCCTAAATGTAATTTTCACTGAAAATAATGTATGTTTCTGTGCTTAGGCATGTTGACCACTGGGAGACACAGGGAACGACTGGGTGCTTGCACCTCCACCCATCACCACAGACATGACGGCAGCCGCACAGCAGGACAGGATGTTGCACTGGAGTGTCCTTGTCAATGGGGACATGATTTTCCAAAGTGGTGAACCGCTCTTGGTAGAGTTCCAGACACGTTGGAGTTCGCTTGATCGATCTGGTAGTTGCAGTGCCGGGCACCTTAGTGTATATAAAAACAATGAGAAAACTCCTGGAGGTTAAAAGTGGAAGCAAGTTTTAGGTTGTGATTATTATAAGTTGGTGTTTCACCTACATTAACACGTAAAGGTTAACACTCCTTGCATAGATGGATGGCTACCATCCCTGGCCACTTTTCCCCATAGGTCAGGAACTACACAGCCATTATGACAACCCAGCACCCGCACAGATTCCCAGAGAACCATTGCTCTGGGCGAGGCTCAGGGAGCACTAAGTTGTTCAGTCCAGTTCCCTAGGGTGAGAAGGCAGCTGCAGGTGGATACTAAAGCCTTGTTCGGAAGAGCTTTGCATTTTCTGGAGCGTCCCCTCCCCACCTAGGCGCCTTCCGTACATCCGAGCATGGGAGATGTGAGCGGGAAAGACCACCCCAACCAAGACTTATAAGCACGAGGGGCCCTGGGCTTCATCCATCAGAATGGAGCTTTAGGTGGGGCCTGAGGTCTGCAGAGGCCGTGTGGTGAAGAATCCATGCAAAAGGCTAGACAAGAAGATGTAGCTTCATTTTAGCTCTGTTTGTCTTTAGTCAGATGACTAAAGAAACACCGCTTAACTTCTCTGACCTTCGGTTTTCCTGAGATTCAGAATGGCCATAAACCTGTGATGTTTTAGAGTTTTTGCTATATCTAAAATGAGGTAGTTTGTAAGTGCTGTGTAAACCCTAAGGTAGAAATTTTATTAGCTCATTTGAGCTTGGTCAAGTCAATCAGCCACTCTAGGTGTCATTCTCTGTGAGACAAGGTTTTGGTGTGTGTTCATTGTGCCCTTTTATTCTGTATATTTGGGTGCTCTGGCATCTGGGGCCTTGCTGATGCTGGAGGGACTGTCCCTCCCAGGCTAGCTGATTCCTGCAGGTGGTAATGGCTCACCTGTGAGTGAGCCTTTCAGAATGCAAACCAGCCAGCCTAGAGCCCAGTTCCCCAGCACTTCTTCTGGCTCTCACCTTCTAGGCCACGGTCCACCAGCCCTAAACACCTCAGAGCCAGGTACCAGACAACTCATGACAGCCCCTCCAGCCCAGAGGCTGCTGGATTCTTCAAACTAGCCAGTCCTAACCATGCTTAACCTGCCTCACCAATGGCACCAATCATCCTCAAACTTCTTTTGACTTCATAGAGAAGATACTCAGAAACTGAGTGAGGCGTAGCCTTCCTGTGCCTTTACTGGATTAGCTACCACACACCCCTCCACACCCTCACACACCCCTCCACACCCTCACACACCCCTCCACGCCCCCACACCCCTCCACGCCCCCCCACACCCCTCCATGCCTCCCACGTCCCCCATGCCCCCACATGCCCCTCCACTCCCCCCCACTCCCCTCCACGCCTCCCACACCCCTCCACGCCCCCCCACATCCCTCCACGCCCCCCACACCCCTCCACGCCCCCACCCCTCCACACCCTCACACACCCCTCCACGCCCTCACAACCCCACCTTTATGTGGACCCTCTGCCACTTGCAGCTCTTGGGAGCTTATGTGCCCACAGCTCCTTGACCGGACATGCAAGAGGCTTTTGTTTTGCAGGTTGGAGAATCCCAGGGAAGACTCAAATAGGCTGGTTTCATGTCATGGTCCTATCTCTGGACTAGCCACAGTGGCTGGGGAGGGGCTAGAAAGAGTATAATTGGAAGTTTCAAGTACAATCACATGGGACAAAGGAGAATTTACAAGAAGAATAGAGTTTTACGCAGATAAAACAATACATATCACTTGAGTAACATAGTTTTACCCAGTTATTTTTAATGGTTGTATATACAAAATTTTATGAACATAATCTATATAACTGTTCTGCGATGGATGGAGTTTAGACAGTTCCATTTGAAACACAAAAAATGTGATTTTCAAGTGCAGAGATCTGAAATTAAGTGAATTACCTGTGAGTGGGCCTTTAAGTGAATTACGAAAGAGCGTTGGCATATAGATTTCATGGTGGAGCTAATCCTACTATCTAGAATTACAGTTCTTTGTAATGAGACCTTTGGACTTGATTTGCTATCAGAAGATGTGTTTGGTGAGGAAGTATCATTTGACTCATTTCAGGGGCTCTGTTTTTACATCTTTATTTTTGGGTTCCTTTATCATTGGAAACTGGCTTGTTATCTTTCAAGTGGGCACAAGGCCAGTGGACCAGATGGTCTGTACTGTAGGCTTGCTAGGCAGGAATGTGTCACTCTCACTTGGGTACTAGCGGCTGGATTTCTACTGGGAGTGGGGAGCCAAGAGGAGGAGCATCACTTCATTAGTTTGGAAGGACATGCAGCTTCTCTTCCAACTCATCCTATTTTTTTTTTTTTTTGGTCAGCCTTTAACATTGAGACTGTATCTTCTTATTTTGAAGGACTTTGAGGTTTTACAAATCTTGATGGGATTTTTATGGAATGCAATCTCAGATGCTGTCACATGATACTACGGACCACCCAATATCAAGGATCTGACCCCGTCAGATGACCCCTTGAATTTTGGTATAATGCCATCACAACCTGTCATTTGTTGTGCTTATTGTTTGCGTCTGTTCACCAGGAGGTCTGCTCCCCAGGGCAAGGATCATGGAGTTTGTCACCTTCACCTAGCACAGCACCTGGAAGGTAGGGGAGCTCAGTGAGTGTTTGCCAAATGGATGAATGCACGGTGTCTGCAGGGCGGATGTGTGCAGAGAGGCCTCAGTTATGGTGCACTGGTGTGTTGCTGGAGTGAAGCAAGGTCTCATCAGCCCTAGTTTGTCATAATCTTAGCAGCGAAACCAGCAAGCCCGTGAGAATGGAGACCCCTGTGAATCAGAGGGGTCCGCTGAAGCATCCTTACTGAGGGGGGCTTACTTTGAATTCATGGACCCTGGGGTGAATTTCCTGGGGTGAGACCTTGAGATTACATACAGATCCTTGTGTGTTGTGTGTGTGTTTATTTTTCTGGGGAGAGGAGTCCAGCTTCTATAAGCTTCTCCATGGCTCATGAAGAATGGTGGTGGCAAGATTACAGGGTCTGCAGTGGATGCCTTCTGTTGGCACATCTCTGATTTTGTGCCCTGGGGAGGAAGTGAGGCAGGTGATCTTGGGAATTACCTAGGAGTAAAGTAGTAAATTCTGTGTTTCATTTCACACGAGACTAAATTTCAGTGGGGAAGATGAGAAGGATTTTGTGAAATACCTGAGCCTACAACAGGGACACAAACTATTGATTGTTGGGATTATTTTTCTAGGAATGTTTTAGACAGATTTGTTTTCCTAAAGACTCATCAGCTGATCGTGGGGTGGCTGGGGGGCATCATGTGAAGCAGTGTTTCTCAAAGGTATTTTCCCATGGAACCCCCTTTTTAATGGGACATCTACTTAGATCTCACAGACTAATTAGAAAATGTCCTGAAACCCAGCAAAGGTTGGGCCGATGAAACAGAGCGAGCAGGTGCATACGGATGGCATTGGATGCAGGCAGGCAACAAATTGAAGAGTGTGGAGAAACGGGGGCATGGCCTGGCCATGAGGAATTTCCTCAGTATTTAGAAGCTCAGGAGAGCAGGCTGAGCTGCCACAGGAAACCAAGAAAGTGTGGCCAGATCTGGGGGAAAAGCAGGAGGGTGTGGTTTCAAGGATGTTGAAAGCAGAAAATATCAGCAGAAGGAAAGTGTGGCCAAATGGGTTGGTGACAACTGAGAAGCTGAGCAAATGGACAAACACGTGCCCCCCGGATTCCACAGCATGGAGATCGTTAGTGACCATTTGAGGACAGGTTTTGTGGAAAATCAGTGAGGAGGCCAGATGGGAGTGATGGAAGGGAGAGTGGGAGTGTGGAGGCAGACATGGTTCTCTGGGGGTGTTAGGTTGGCACGACTGGAAAGATGGGAAGGTATGGGGCAAACATGATCCTTTCCAGGCTGGGCACAGTGGCTCAGACCTGTAATCCCAGCACTTTGGGAGGCTGAGGCGGGAGGATTGCTATGGCCCAGGAGTTTGAGACCAGCCTGGGCAATATCGTTAAGACACCATCTTTAAAAAAAAAAAAATTTTTTTATAGTAGCCAGGTGTGGTGACATGTGCCTATAGTCTGTTACTCAGGAGGCTGAGGTGGGAGGATTGCTTGAACCCAGGAGTTTGAGGCTGCAGTGAGCTATGATCACGCTATTGCACCCTAGCCTGGGTGATGGAATGAAACCCTGTCTCTGAAAAAAAGAAAATACTCTGTACAGGGGGAGATTAAGAAGTAGCAGTCTGTGGGCTGTGGCTTGCCTCTAAGGTGGGAATTTATCAGTGGGGGTTGGAGGAAAGAGGGAATGATGTGGAGAGTCAGAGGCTGTCCAAGAGGGACACCATCTTTGAGAAGCGTGAGGGGAGCCTTGGTTTTTGGAAGATGGACACTTTCCCTGTAACAAGAGAGAGTTGTGATCCTATTTTTTCTTTTCTTTTTTAACCAGATGATTGAGTTGTTTGCAAGTGCCTTTCAGTTCACTCTACAGAAAAGCTTTTTGCCAGGTGTAGCACTATATCACGTACATGGAATTTTAATTTTACTTTTTGCATCCAAGCTTGCACAATCAATTCTTGTACTTCAGGGTATAGAATGTACCTTTCTCCTGCCATAGCATATTAAATCTACCCATTGGAAACATTTGCATTTAATAAATACAGAATTGATTAGCTCATTCTTGAAATAAATCAGTTAAACTTGTGCTTTTTGAAGTTGAAGAAATTACTTTCGTAGTTACTAAAGAATGTGCATGTCAGGAAAGGAGGGCCTTATTTCTGTGTTTTTACTTTCTGTTTGTGGTTAGGTTTTTATTTTTGTTTTCTGGGTATACAGTTCTGAGAATTGTAATACATGTATCCATTCCTGTTACCATCACCAAAATCAGGTTAGAGACCAGTTTCATTACCTTGTAAAATGGCTTCATCTTGTGATACCCCTCTCAAACCCATGCCAGCCACCAACTACTGACCAGTTCTCCATACTATAGTTTTGTCTTTTGCGGAATATTATGTGAATGGAATTATACCGCATATAACCTTTTGAGACTGGCCTTTTTCACTCAGCATAAAGCCTTTGAGATTCATCCATGTTGTTTCATGTGCCTAGTTTAGCCCCTTTAATTGCCTGGTAGTATCCCAGTGGGTGGCTACACCACAGTTTGTTACTCATTTACCTCTTGAAAGAATTTTGGTAGTGGTCTATTTTCTTAACATTTAGCAAAATGTTTTTGAGGTTCGTCTATTTTGTGAGCATCTAATAATACTTTATTTCATTTTATGGCTGAATAGTATTCCAGTAAACAGTTGTATATTCCATTGTTTATCCATGCATCGCATGATGGACATTGGTTGTTATGCGTGATGCTGCTGTGAACATTCCTGTACAAGTTTTGGAGTGAACACATGTTTTCAGTTCTTGGGTATGTACCTAGGAATAGAATTACTGGGTCATATGTAACTATGGATTTAACCATTTGAGGAACTGCCAAATTGTTTTCTAAAGTGTCTTCATTTTACATTCTTACTGAAAGACAGGACTAGCTGGATTTCCTAGGCCGACTAAGAATTCCTAAGCCTAGCTGGGAAAGGTGATCACACCTGCCTTTAAACACGGGGCTTGTAACTCAGCTCACACCCAACCAATCAGGTAGTAAAGAGGGCTCACTAAAATACAAACTAGGCTAAAGCAAGAGGTAAAGAAATAGTGAAATCATATATCGCCTGAGAGCACAGGGGGAGGGACAATGATCGGGATATAAACCCAGGCATTCGAGCCGGGAGTGGGCAACCCCCTTTGGGTCCCCTCCCTTGTATGGGAGCTCTATTTTCACTCTATTAAATCTTGCAACTGCACACTCTTCTGGTCCATGTTTGTTATGGCTTGAGCTGAGCTTTCGCTCGCTGTCCACCACTGCTGTTGGCTGCCATTGCAGACCTGCCACTGACTGACACCCCTCTAGATCTGGCAGGGTGTCTGCTGTGCTCCTGATCCAGCGAGGCGCCCATTGCTGCTTCCGACTGGGCTAAAGGCTCGCCATTGTTCCTGCACGGCTGAGTGCCCAGGTTCATCCTAATCGAGCTGAACACTAGTCGCTGGGTTCCATGGTTCTCTTCCGTGACCTACGGCTTCTAATAGAGCTATAAAACTCTGGAATCCATAAGGCCAAGAACCCCAGGTCAGAGAACAAAAGGCTTGCTGCCATCTTGGGAGTGGTCTGCCACATCTTGGGAGCTCTAAGAACAAAGACCTGCCCGTAACATTACCAACAATGTGTGGGGGTTCTACTTCACATCCTCACCAACACATGTATTTTCTAGTTTTTTTTATTACAGCCATCCTTGTGATTGTGATGTGCTTTCTTGCTGTGGTTTTGATGTGCTTTTCCCTCCTGACTAGAGATGTTGAGCATCTTTTCATGTGCTTATTGGTCCTTCAAATCTCTTTTTGGAGAAATGTCTATGCAAATCCTTGGCTCATTTTCCAATTGAGTTGTCTTTTTATTATTGAGTTGTAACAGTTATTTATGTATTTTGGATACTAGACCTGTACAGACATATGATTTACAATTTTTTTCTTCCAGTTTGTAGATTGTCTTTCTTTCTTGATGGTGTCCATTGAAGCACAAAATTTGTAATTTTGATGATATCCCATCTATTTTTTTGTTTGCTTGTTCTTCTGGTATCATAGCTAAGAAAACATTGCCTAATCCAACATCATGAAAATTTACATCTATATCTTTTTCTAAGAGTTTCATAGTTTTACCTCTTATATTTAGGTCTTTGATCAATTTTGACTTAAATTTTGTATATGATATGAGACAAGGGTTCAATTTTATTCTTTCACATGTGGCTATCTAGTTGTCCCAGCACCATTTGTTGAAAAGACTGTTCCTTTTGCATTATACTGACTTGACACTCTTGTTGAAAATCAATTGACTATAAATGTATGGGCTTATTACAGTAGCTTTGTAGTAAGTTTTGAAATCAGGAAATGTGAATCTTCCAACTTTGATTTCCCAAGATTGTTTTGGCTATTCTGGATCCAAGCATTTCCGTATGAATTACAGGATCAACTTGTCCATTTTTGCAAAAAAAAAAAAAAAAAAAAAAAAAAAAATCTAGCTGGGATTTTTATAAGGGTTGTGTTGAATTTGTAGAACATTTTGGAGAATATTGCCATCCAAACAATATTGTCTTCCAGCTCAGAAGCATGGGATGTCTTTTCTTTAAGCTTTCTTCAATTCATTTCAATGATCTTTTCTAGTTTTTAGTGTACAAGTTATATCTCTTTTGTTAAGTTTATTCCTAAGTATTGTATTTTTTATGCTGTTATAAATGGAATTGTTTTCTTCACTTTAGTTTTTGATTGTTTATTGCACATGTACAGGAATCTCAGATTTCTGTGTATTGATTTTTGTACCCTGAAACCTTGCTGAACTCATTTATTACCTCTAACAGTATTTTTGTGGATTCCTTAAGATTTTCTAAGGAAGTCATCTGCAAATGTTACTTTACTACTCAGCCAGGCAGGCAGTTGACAGCCCTACCTTCGTCTTCCCTTCCTGCTTGTGCAAAGCCTCAAGGTCAGTCGGAGATGAGAGCTTAGGGCCTTCCCAGGCCTTTCCTGAGCATGAACACAGTGCTTGGCATGTACACAGCCTGTGTGCATGTGGCCTTTTAATTTTCAGCACTTTATTGGAGTTTTTCAAAGGACCTACAGACGTTTCATTCCATGGCTTTTTCCTTTAAGCTTTTTGGTTAGCCTCTTTTTGCCTTTTTGTTAACCACCACCTCTAGCAGCTGTTGTGGTTAATGATCACCTTCAACTGTTTTCAGCAAATGCCCCGAGGCTAAAGACATGTCACACTGAGCAAGGTCTGAGTCAGGTCAAATAAAAACAGCCTTCTAGGTGGTTTCTTCTAGAGAAACATCAGACAGGTCATTTCATGTCAGTTCTCTGGGAATGAGAATTTGAAGGAGCTCCAGCCATGTTTTGCCAGGGTTCTCACATGCACTGTGATTGTGGGCTATTGGTTTGCAAGGCTCCTGCCGAGACGGGTAGGTGGGAAGGGAATAGCACCAAGCTAATGTGCCACAAAGCTCACCTGTTCTTACCGAGATTCAGACATTTTTCTTGAGGAAGCACTCATCAGATTGCTGCAATCTGTTTTTAATTTTTAGGGTTCTGAAAAAGTTGATTCTGACACTTTCTGCCAGTTTTCTCATTGATTTTATGGAAGAGAGAATTTTCATTGGTCTTCAACTCTGGCATTTTTGTTGACATCATTTTTATTAAAGTTTGAGGATTCTTTTTATGTTCTAGGTACAAGACCTGTATCAGCTATATGCTTTGTAAATATCTTCTCCTGGAATGTGTCTTGTATTTTCATTCCCTTTACAGTGTGTTTTGAAGATGCCACATTTAAAATTTTGTTGTCATATGTAATAAATCTTTGCCTAATCCAGAGTTATAAAGATTTGTTTCCATTCTTTCCTTTACAGATTTTATAGTTTCATGTTTTACATTTATGTCTGTGATTCATTTGAAACTAACTCCTTTATGTGGTATGAGATATGGATTGAGGTTTATTTCATCTTTTCCCCAGATGGATATCCAGTTTTTCCAGCACCATTTGTTGAAAAGACTATCCTTTCCTCGCAGAATTGCTTTTGCACCTCTATCAAAGATTTTTTTCTGTATATGTGTGGATCTATTTCTGCAGTAGAGATTATACTGTATTGGTCTACTTGTCTGTCTTGATGCCAACACCACACTGTCTTAATTAATGTGTTTTAAAAATGTGTGTGTGTGTGTGTTTAAGTGTATGTATATATTCTGATGAGGAACAATGTCTCTGGATCAGAGGAAATATTTTATATTCACAGTGCCAACTAGTGTCAATTCCCCAAGGGACAGTGTGGTCAGTGCCACTTACTCCCCTGTGCGTGCAGTGCTGTTCAGGAGAGGCCCCTGAATTGCTATAGGGTGTCTAATAACTTTGCCCTTTTTCTGCCCCAGAGACAAAGAGGGAGAGACTCTTACTCTGCAATCTAAACAAATCCTCTCTGGGGAGAGGAGGAAAGTTCCCTAGTTTTATTTTACTGAAAGGTAGCAAATGGTTGCAAGACAGATATGTCTCTAAATCTCTCCTGGGCGTTATACTACTTCTAGCTTTCAAGGCATTCAAATCCTCTATCCTTATTTTTACAGTGCTGCTTGTTTAGAAAAACCACATATGCAGAAGTTCATGGAGAATTGTCTGTTAACATACTTTGACTTAATTCTTGAAACCTCTTGAAAGGTTATGTTAATTCTCTTTGTTCCTCTTCTTCAAAGTTGTTGCGGCTATGCTATATCCTTTGAATTTCTGTGCGAATTTTAGAATTAGTTTGTCAGTTTTAGAACAAAGCCTGCTGGGATGTTGATTGGAATTACACTAACTCTGTACATCAGGATTTTTCCACCTCGGCACTGGGAGTGTTGACATTTTGGGCTGGATAATTCTTTGTTGTGGGGCTGTCTTCTGCATTGTGGGGTGGGTAGCAGCATCCCATCCTTTACTCATTAGATGGCAACAGTACCTTCTGCCACCAAGTAGGGACAACCAACAGTGCCTCCAGACATTACCAAATATCTCCCGGAGTGACAAAATCACCCGTGGTTGAAAAGCACTTCTACAGATCAACTTGGGGAGAGTTGATGTCATAATAATATTGAGTCCTCTGCCCTATGAATACATTATATCTTCCCAATTATTTGGTCTTTAATCTTTCTCTACAGTAGTTTGTAGTTTACAGTGTACAGGAGTTACTTATCTTTTGTCAGATTTCTTCCTATTTATTTTACAGACTTTGATGCTATTGTAAATGGTATTGTTTTTAAATTTAACTTTCTGATTACTTACTACTAGTGTATAGAAATACAGTTGCATCTTGTATATTGCTCTTGTATTCTGCAGCCCTGCTAACCTAAACTCACTTATTAGTTCTTGTAGGTTTTCATAAAATACTTCAATTTTGTTTTTTATTCCAATGCAGTTTTTTAGCTTTACATTGTATGTGGATTACTCTTTTATTCTTCTAATTTTTTTTTTTTATAGGAAACATGGGCAGTGTTTTGTAGAATTGATGGGTACAATTTAATATAGGGTCAGGTGACCAGACTCAGGATTCCATTGTT
Organism: Homo sapiens; assembly: GCF_000001405.40. Lineage (NCBI taxonomy): Eukaryota > Metazoa > Chordata > Mammalia > Primates > Hominidae > Homo > Homo sapiens. Next base: position 1,795,995 of record NT_187660.1, on the reverse strand, counting down.
TCTTGGTGAAAAATATTGATAGTGAGTAATCTAGATAATTTTGGAAGCATGAAGGTAGAAAGTGAATTCATAGGTCACATATCACAGGTTGAATGGGTCTCTGACAGTCAGTTTGCTATTTGATCACCTAAATAAATAATTGTTTGCATTGGTCAGCTTTAGTTGAGACTTTTAAAAATGTATATCTGCCTGCTATATTTATGGAGAATATTATTTTTGTTCTTCAATAACACTTCAGATGAAGCTAGAACTATTCTTCAATTTGTAGGTTGTAGACTTTGCCATTTAGAAAAACATTAATTTTTATCCATGTCACATAATGCACATTTGGCCCTTCAAAGAGTGCAGGGGTTAGGGGACCCGTCATGCGCATCCATGTGAAGAGAGTCCACCAACAGGCTTTGTGTGAGCAACAAGGCTGTTTATTTTACTTGAATGCAAGTGGGCTGAGTGGGGCAGTTTTACAGGATTTGGGTAGGTAGTGGAAAATTACAGTTAAAGGTGGTTATCTCTTACAGGCAGGGGCGGGGGTCACAAGGTGCAGGGTGGGTAGATTTTGAGACTCATTGTCCAGGGGAGGAATGTCACTAGGTCGATTGATTAGTTGGGGTGGGGCAGGAACAAATCACAATGGTGGAATGTCATCAATTAAGGCAGGAACTGCCTATTTTCACTTCTTTGGTGGTTCTTCAGTTGCTTCAGGCCATCTGGATGTATACTGCAGGTCACAGGGCATATGATGGCTTAGCCTGGGCTCAGAGCCCTGATGGGACCCAACCTCCCTCACAGTCAGAAATCCATGTATAACTTTTGACTTCCCCCAAACTTAACTACTAATAGCCTACTGTTGACTGGAAGCCTTACTAATAAACACGGTCAATTAACACATTATGTAGGTTACATGCATTATATACTGTATTTTTGCAATAAAGTAAGCCAGAGAAAAGAAATGTTAATAGGAAAATCATAAGGAAGAGAAAATATATTTACTATTTATAAGTGGAGGTGGGTCATCATAAAGGTCTTCATCTTTGTTGTAGTCTTCATATTGAGTGGGCTGAGTAGAAAAGGAAGAGGAGGGCTTGGTCTTGCTATCTCGGGGTGGCAGAGGAGGAAGAGGCAGAGGAAGTAGGAGGGGCAGCAGGAGAGGCAGGCACACTCAGTGTAACTTTGATGGAAAAAAATCCACATATAAGTGGACTCGCCCAGTTCAAACCTGTGCTGTTCCAAGGTCAGCTGTATATTTATTGATAATCCTGAAGTTGTACTTGAGCTCCCAACTTTAGCTTAAAGGGGACTTTTTATCTACTCTGTGTGTGTATGTGTGTGTGTGTGTGTGAGAGAGAGAGAGAGAGAGAAAGAGGTGTATATTATTTTAGAATACCAAGAAATGTAGTGCTCCAAATAAATATGCAGGCTTGTTTTCCTGACTTGGTAAGAGGACTTGGTGCTTTTACTGAGAACAGCTTGGGGAGCATTTCAGGCAGTCTCTGAAGTACTCACTGGTGGAGAGGGATTTTCTTCCATAGAGCAAGGGTCTGCTTTTGTGTCGCAGTAGTGCACACCTTTCTTTGGAAAAGAGTTAGCAGTTCCTCTTGAAACGCCCTTGATCTCTGTTGTCCTTGTCATCTGTGACCTTCCTCTCTGTTCTTGCCATAAGAGGCTTTGTCAGGTGGTGGTCTTTTTCATTTTGACATTCTGGGAGAATTTCTGAAGCTTTCCCCTGTGTCACTAGTTTGGTTTTCCAGGGTGTAGGTTCTGATTTTTACTTCCTTCAGCGTGGGTTTCCCCCTGTGGTTATAGCTGTTGTCTCCATGGCATTCCTGTTGACCTCATCTGGCTCCATGCCTGTGGCCTTCCTCCTGCCCTTCCCGGCTGTCTACCCTGGATTCAGGGAGGTGCTGCCTGCCTGCAGTCCTCTGGGTTGCGGGTCCAGAAGGACTGTCCTGGGTCCTACAGATGTAGAGGTGTGTTCTCCCTCCTCATGTCCATGGCACGCCTCCTTTTCCTTGTGTTTCTATAGGAGGTGCATTTATTGGTATTTTCTTTTTTATTTGTTTTTTTAGAAATGTCATTAACTGAACATTTGTTGTGAAAATTTATGAATACCTGCTATAAAACATTCCAGCAATACAGAAAAGTAGAAAGAATAAAAATACTAAGTATCAGTTATGCAGGAGGAATGAGTTCTGAAGATCTAACGTACGGCATGGTTACTATAGTTGAGAATGCTGTGTTGTGGACTTGAAATATGCTAAGAGAGTAGTTTTTTTGTTTTGTTTTGTTTTGTTTTGTTTTGAGACTAGGTCTCACTCTTTCACCCAGGCTGGAGTGTAGCAATCATAGCTCGCTGTAGCCTCCAACTCCTGGGCTCAAGTTACCCATTTCCTCTGTCTCCCTGCTACAGGCATGTGCCACTATGCCTAATTAGATAGGGTCTTGCTGTGTTGCCCAGGCTGGTCTTAAACTCCTGGCTTCAACCCATCCTCCTGCCTCAGCCTCCCAAAATGTTAGAATTACAAACATGAACCACCGCACCCAGCAGTGCGGTTCTCGCCCCATGTACAAAACATCAGAGCTATGTGAGGTAATGGACATGTTAATTAGCTTGATTATGGTAATTATTTTGCAAGGTGAATACAAAAACATCACCTTGTAGACCTTAAATACATGGAATTTTTATTTGTCAAGTGTACCTCAGTAAAGCCAGGGAAAAACAGAAGAAGAAAAATGACATAAAATGTCACCTTTCACAAATAACCCCTCATAGACATTGGTGAGCGGGACTTCGACATCACGCTGTTCATGGATGTAAAGGGAGGATGTGTGTCCAAAGAGTTATATATTATACATTTTACTTTCAGGATAAATGGTAAGTTTGAAATTTACTTTAACAAGAAAAAGAATATGAATATGCTTCACAGTCAAGTAGAAAAGGCTATAGAATTTTTTAAGTGGTTAGAGTCCTTTTTTTTACAACGGGAAGTTCAAGTGTAGAAGCGCAGAGGACATTAGTGCAGGCATACCTAATTTCAAAGAACGGTATAATGTAGGGGTTAACATTTGGGACCCAGACAGCTGGGTTCAAATCCCATCTTGGCCACTTGACCTCAGGCTAATCACCAAACTTGCTGTGACTCAGTTTCCCTCTGTTACGTCTAAGATAGAAGTAATAGCAGTATCTTGTAGAATTATTCTAACAGTTGAGTTATTATAATTTATAATGTAAAGCACTTAGGGCAGTGTCTGGCACACTAATATTATCATTTCCCTCCCGTGGCTAGATTGTTGCAAATTGTTGCATGTGTGGGATGAGGTTGATAGCATTTGCTCTCCGCTGCTCCCCCGCTTCCTGTGGTATTTCCTCATAGTCTTATGTTTAAGTGCTCAGAGAACCCTGCCAACCTGCCTCTCCTCCTCCTGAGCTGCTGCCATGCTGCCTTTACTAAGGCCATTTCTAACTTCTTTATTTTGCCTGACTCACCTTTGGCCAGATTTTGTTGTCCAGTAGTTTTTTTTTTTTTTTTTTTGGCTCATAATTGTTTTATTTCCTTAAATTCTGGAAGACAATTGGCTTTCCATTTGAAGGAAAACCTACTAGGAATAAATTCCTCAATATGACATAGCCTAACTCACCCCAGAGAACCACCCTCCTCTGTGCTGCCCGCCCAGGGATAAACTCTTCCTGCCTGGAGATCCATATGTTGGTCTCTTTTGTTATTATGAAAAATGTTATACGCCCAGAAAAGAATAGAGAAAATATGACAACACACTTGTGTTCATAACATGGAGCTACAGCAAATAATACCACTTTACCATAATTGCTTCACATCTTCTAAAGTGAAATAAATTGCTGCATGGAAGTGAAGCTCTTTGTACCTGCACCCCCCCATCCCCTCCTTTGCTCTCATTTCCCAGCAGGTTTCCCCCAGCCTGCAGTTGGTGTGTGTTCTTCTTGTCCAAGTTTTTATGCTTTTTACTATATGTGTTTATAGTCAACAGGTAGTATTGTTGTGTACACTTCAAAGTTCATAGACATGATATTGTATTGTTACTAGTGTTTCTGCTCCTTAAGTCAACTTTGTGTTTTCTGTATTTACCATTGTTGGTATGTATAGATCCATGCATTTATTTTAATTGCTGTGGACATTCTATTCCATTGCATGAATGGAAACCTTAGCGTTTGCCATTTGTTGACATTCCAAGGCAGGGGTTCAGTTACCATCCATGTATCTGACTGTGTGTACCCTGTGTGACCGTTTCCCTGGGTCACTGAATCTCAAACTTGGCTGCATGTTAGAACCCCTGGAGACTTTTAAAAATACCAATGCCTGGGTCCCATCCCCTAAGTGCAATCTGATTTAATTGATCTGGGAGGCAGCTTGGGCATCAGCATTAAAAAAAAATCTCTCCAGGAAATCCTAATATGCAGCAACATTTAAGAACCTCTGCTTGAGGCTCTGCTGTTCATTGTAGGAGCCACTGATCACCCATGGCTATTCAAGTTTAAGGTAATTAAGATGACCTGTATTATAAATTCATTTCCTTAGTTGCACTAGCCATATTTCAAGGGCTTAATGGTCACAAGTGGCTACCATATTTGACGGCATAGGTATAGAACATTTCTACCACTGCAGAGAGTTTGGTTGGACAGTGATACTCTCGGGCACACACCTGGGGATATGGCCAGGGGATACATTCCCCATCAGTTGTACTAGCCACCTGGGCTGCTCATTAAAGTGGCTGTATTAGTTCCTGCTGCTGCTGTTACAAATGACCACACATTTAACAGCTTAAAGCAAAACACATTTATTTTCTTTTAGTTCAGTAGATTAGAACTCCAACACAGGACTCGCTGGATTACAGTCAAGGTCTTGTTCCTTTCTGCAGGCTCTTGGGGAGAATCCATTTCCTTGCTCATTCAGGTGCCAGCAGAATTCATTCCTTGTGGTTTGTGATGGTAACTTTATGTGACTGGGCTAACAGATGCCCAGATAGCTGGTGTTTCTGGAAGAGATGAGCATTTGAATCAGTAGACGGAGTAGAGAAGATCATCCTCACCAATGCAGGTGGTCATCATCCGATTTGTTGCCAGTCTTAACAGAGAGTCAGAGGAAGGGTGCGTTCTGTCTCTCTTCTCGAATTGGGACATCCATCATCCCCCCGACCTTTGGATATCAGCACTCCTGGTTCCTGGGTCCCTAGTGCATCTTGTTCATATTTGGGGTCTCATATCTACCTCCAGAAAGCAGTCCTCGGGTCAGGACTCAGGTCTGACCCACTCTGGCTGCTCTGCACTGTCTAGCTGGGGGTCCTGCTCCGCAGTCAGGATTTGTTCCATGGTTGAGTAGGTTGTGTCATGATTATTTGAGACTTTGGGAAGTCCCCACTTAATTTTGAATTCTTGAAATTCCTTTAACAGGTGTCAAAACTTTTCTTTCCAGAACTTTGAAGAAAGTGTTCGTGGTAGGTTTTCATGCAGACAGAGATTCCATCAAGGGGCCGTTCTTTCCTAGGCAGTAAGGACAGGGGGGCCCTTGGGAGCATGGGTGACATTGTCCTGTCTATCCTGCCGTGTTGAAGGACATGATGAGGGGCTGTCTTTTGGGGGAACTGACAAGTGCCTCTGAAAACAGAGCCAGCTGCTCACGTTCATGATTCATGTTTTCATTCTCCATTCCTCACTCTTTTATTGCACTCTGGTCCCAACAGCCCTGTGCTTTGAAGAAATCCATCTTTAGAAAATAGGTGATATTGAGTCCTCTGCAGTTTGTGGGAGTTGTTCTGAAAATGCAGGTGTGGGTTGCATAGCTACTGATGAAATAGTGCCAGGAAATAGACTAAAGTGGGAATTTCCCCCCTACAGAGAAGGTGGACAGAGGGCTGCAGAGGAAAGGAAAGGCATGGAACCACACTGACAGCTCTGTTTAAAACTAGGTCTTCACTGAAAGCAGGGAATCGAACAGATGTTTGCACACCTATGTTCATGGAAGCCTTGTTTACAATAGCCAAAAGGTGGGAGCTACCCAAGTGTCCATCAGTAGATGAGTGGATACATAAAATGTGGTCTGTATACACAGTGGAAGATTGCTCAGTCTTCAAAAGGAAGGAAATTCTGACACAGGCTACAACATGGATGAACTTTGAGGACATTATGCTAAGTGAAATAAGCCAGCCACAGAAAGACAAATGCTGAATGATTCCACTCATACGAGGCACCTAGAGACAGAAAGCAGAATGGTGGTTGCCGGGGGCTGGAGGGAGGGGGAAAGGAGAGTTGTTCATTGGATATAGAGTTTCAGTTTTGCAAGGTGAAGAAGTTCTAGAGATCTGTTGTCAAACAGGGTACATGTAGTTAACACTATAGTACTGTACACTTAAAAATGGCTAAGATGGTAAATCTTACATGTTTTTTACCACATAAAAACCGAAACAGAAGCAAAACACTTGCCCCAGCACTCCCTGCTCCCCCTATCTGGGCTCTGTTTTTCCCCCGGAGCACTCATCATTCTTTTGTGCCCAATTTAATTACTTAGGAGGTCTCTCCCCTCTAGAATGTAGACACTGCAAGGGTGAGATTGTTGTTTCTTTTGTTCACGGATGGTCAAGAACAGCGCCAGGTATTGATGAGGCACTTTATAAATGTGTTGAATACAAGAATGTGCTCCAGATCTGGCTGGGGCCATACTGCAGAGATGTGGACATGGACTCGGAGGTGCTCCTGGTGAGAGCCTCCTTAGCGTGTCCATGAAGCTGAGAGCTTGCATTTGGGTGGGAATGCTCCTTGTGGAATAGGGACAGAGAGTCATGGGTGAGACAAGGCTGCCTTTTGTTTTCAAAGTGGAGCACATGTTCATCATTGGCTGAATGAAGTTCTAACAGTCTTGCTAAAATGAGAATTGCCTGTTCACCCCACGCCTTTTTAAATGTGTGTCATGCACTCTCCCCTGTATCATGGCAGGTATGTGTATCAACACTGTGTCTTCCCTCCACGGAGAAGGTGGAGGGGACATGGTTTTGCAGAGGGAAAAATTCCTCATTTTGTTTGCTTCTTGCTAATGTTGACCAATGGTTTTCAAACTAGGTTCCGTGGAACCTTAGGGTTTTAAAATTCCTTTTCAAATAGAGTACATCCACTTTTAGTGGCTTCATATTTTGATGCAGCCTAATAATTAATTTGACAAAGTGTTGTGTTGTGTTTGGCTTTAGGGTGCTTTGGGCCGGGTGTACCGACTAGCTTTGTCACTTGGCCCCTTTACTGCTGGGTAGTTCAAAGCAGGCGGCCCTTGTGGTCCCTAAGATGCTTTATTTTGCCATTTTGAAAGCTCAGGGAGAGCATATGTAAAACAAGGCAGTGAGTGGAAAACAGCTTTTCTTTAAGGCTCAGTACTTAAGGCTAAGACGTCACACAAAAAGAGTGTTTAAAGAAGGATTTAGAGAGAAAATCTCACTGCAGATGAAAAGAGGCTGACTTTTTAAAGAATATGAGAGATTTCAGAGAAAAGAAAGAATCCTTGGGTGAATATTCCCCATAGCATTTATACAACATTGGCAGTTCATTATTTACTTATAAAACTTCAACAGAACCAAACTATAGAGCGTGGTGGTGGCTTCAATATCTGACAGTTTACCAGTGGATTTGTGCATCACCAGTTATAATCACTAGAGATGGAGTATGGAGGTGTTTTAGTCAGCTCGGGCTGCTCTCTAATGGGATACCATAAACTGGGTGGCTTAAACAGTAGACATTTATTTCTCACAGTTCTGGAGGCTGAGAAGTCCCAGGTCAAAGTGCTTGCAGATTCAGTTCCTGGTGAGGGCTCATATCCTGGTTTGCAGATGGCCACCTTCTTGCTGTGTCCTTGCATGGTGGAGACAGAAAGCTCTGGTGTTTCTTCCTGTTCTTATAAGGTCACTAATCCCAACATGGGGCCTCCACACTCATGGTTTCATCTATCCCTGATCACCTCCCCATCTCCTAATACCATCCCATTGGGGTTAGTGCCTCAACATACGAATTTTGGGAGGACGCAGTTCAGTCCATAGCAGCAGGAGTGATAATTAGGAAAGGGAGAGGGATTATTGGTCTTGTTGCCTTGGTGTGGTTATCTGGGCTTGCTTGTATCCTCACTTAAGCTGAAATGTTTCTATTTCTGTCTGTCTTTTAAAGCAGTCCACGTGGACTTGTTAGGTACTCCATATTTGTTGAATCCAAGACAGCTCATAGCTTTATGGGGCCTGAAGCATGTGTAGTTTGAGGGGTTGTTTTATGACAAATAACAAAAAATACAAATATAAACAAACTAGGGCTTCTTCCAGGGGCCTTTGGAAGGCCACAAAGCTTTAGTTTCATTAGGTTCATGGTAGTTCTGGTTGGCTCATTTCATTTTTTTTGTTTAAAATAATGTTTATTTACCATTTTTCAAATATTGGCAGTAATATCGTTCACCATAGAAAGTTTAGAAAATACAGATGAGCCAAAGCACCGGCCCTGATTTCATAATTCTAAAACAATCTCTGTTAATATTGTAGTATGCATGAGGTGTTTTGATTGCTGGATGTGCATATTTTCACATTTCAACACTGCCAGGGCCTGCATGCTTCTTTACAATAGATAACACGTCAGCATTTATTGGCAGCATACATTTTCTCTTGTGGTGTGCCTTACAGTTGTTGGCATCCTAGATATGCTGGGGTAAGGGGTTTGTTATGCAGGTACTAAGCTGTGGGAGCACCCTTCGAGGCTGGAAGTGATGGAAGACCAGAAACCAATGGTGCAGAAGTGACAGGTCAGTTTTTATCATTCAGAAGCAGCCTGTGAGGTTTCAGGCCAGGATACTTGCAGGCCCTTTGACAAATCTCTGACACTCTCAGTCGGGTGTGGTGGCTCACGCCTGTAATCCCAGCACTTTGGGAGGCCAAGGCAGGCAGATCACTTGAGGCCAGGAGTTGGGAGACCAGCCTCTCCAACTCTACTAAAACTACAAAAAATAAAAAAAAAAATCAGCTGGACATGGTGGCACACGCCTGTAATCCCAGTTACTTGGGAGGCTGAGGAGGAAGAATCACTTGAACTCAGGAGGTGGAGGTTGCAGTGAGCTAAGATCACGCCACTGGGCAACAGAGCAAGACTCTATCTCAAAAAAAAAAAAAAGAAAAGAAAAAAGAAGAAGAAAAGTAAAATCTCTGACACTCTGGATATAAGGAGGCTGCTTTGGGAATCTTATGTAAAAATGAGCCCTCCTCTGCAGGAAACCCGCTTAACACATGGGAGCATGTCTTCTTTTTCTTTCTTTCTTTTATTTTAAAATTATACTCTAAGTTCTGGGATACATGTGCAGACCTGCAGGTTTGTTACATAGGTATATATGTGCCATGGTGGTTTGCTGCACCCATCAACCCGTCATCTACATTAGTTGTTTCTCCTAATGCTATCCCTCCCCTTGCCCCCCACCGCACCGACAGGCCCCAGTGTGTGATATTCCCCTCCCTGTGCCCATATGTTCTCATTGTTCACCTCCCACTTATGAGTGAGAATATGTGGTGTTTGGTTTTCTCTTCCCATGTTAGTTTGTTGATAACGATGGTTTCCAGCTTCATCCATGTCCCTGCAAAGGACATGAACTCATTCTTTTTTATGGCTGCATAGTATTCCATGGTGTATATGTGCCACATTTTTTTTTTTTTTTGAGATGGAGTCTCACTCTGTCGCCGAGGCTGGAGTGTAGTGGCGGCATGATCTCAGCTCACTGCAAGCTCCACTTCCCGGGTTCACGCCATTCTCCTGCCTCAGCCTCCTGAGTAGCTGGGACTACAGGTGCCAGCCACCATGCCCGGCTAATTTTTTTGGTATCTTTAGTAGAGATGGGGTTTCATCGTGTTAGCCAGGATGGTCTCGATCTCCTGACCTCGTGATCCGCCCGCCTCGGCCTCCCAAAGTACTGGATTACAGGTGTATATGTGCCACATTTTTATCCAGTCTAACATTGATGGGCATTTGGGTTGGTTCCAAGTCTTTGCTATTGTGAATAGTGCTGCAATAAACATACATGTGCATGTGTCTTTATAGTAGAATGATTTATAATCCTTTGGGTATATACCCAGTAATGGGATTGCTAGTTCAAATAGTATTTCTAGTTCTAGATCCTTGAGCAGTCGCCACACTGTCTTCCACAATGGAGGAACTAATTTATACTCCCACCAATGGTGTAAAAGCGTTCCTGTTGCTCCACATCCTCTCCAGCATCTTTTGTTTCCTGACTTTTTAATGATCGCCATTCTAACTGGCATGAGATGGCATCTCATCGTGGTTCTTATTTGCATTTCTCTAATGACCAGTGATAATGAGTTTGTTTTCATGTGTTTGCTGGCTACATAAATGTCTTCTTTTGAAAAGTATCTGTTCATATCCTTCACCCACTTTTTGATGGAGTTGTTTGTTTTTTGTTGTAAATTTAAGTTCCTTGTAGATTCTGGATATTACCCCTTTGTCAGATGAATAGATTGCAAAAATTTTCCTCCATTTTGTAGGTTGCCTGTTCACTCTGATCATAGTTTCTTTTGCTGTGCAGAAGCTCTTTAGTTTAATTAGATTCCATTTGTCAATTTTGGCTTTTGTTGCCATTGCTTTTGGTGTTTTAGTCATGAAGTCTTTGCTCATGCCTGTGTTCTGAATGGTATTGCCTAGGTTTTATTCTAGGGTTTTTATGGTTTTAGGTCTTACGTTAAAATCTTTAATCCGTCTTGAGTTGATTTTTGTATAAGATGTAAGGAAGGGGTCCAGTTTCAGTTTTCTGCATATGCTAGCCAGTTTTCCCAACACCATTTACTAAATATGGAATCCTTTCCCCATTGCTTATTTTTGTCAGGTTTGTCAAAGATCATTTGGTTGTAGTTGTGTGGTGTCATTTCTGAGGCCTCTGTTCTGTTCCATTGGCCTGTATGTCTGTTTTGGTACCAGTACCATGCTGTTTTGGTTACTGTAGTCTTGTAGTATAGTTTGAAGTCAGGTAGCGTGATGCCCTCCAGCTTTGTTCTTTTTGCCTGGGATAGTCTTGGCTATACAGGCTCTTTTTTGGTTCCATATGAAATTTAAAGTAATTTTTTTCTAATTTTGTGAAGAAAGTCAATGGTAGCTTGATGGGAATAGCATTGAATCTATAAATTACTTTGGGCAAAATGGCCATTTTCATGATATTGATTCTCCCTGTCCATGAATGTGGAATGTTTTTCTATTTGTTTGTGTCCTCTCTTATTTCCTTGAGCAGTGGTTTGTAGTTCTCCTTGAAGAGGTCCTTCACATCCCTTGTAAGTTGTATTCCTAGGTATTTTATTCTCTTTGTAGCAATTGTGAATGGGAGTTTGCTCATGATTTGGCTCTCTGTTTGTCTATTATTGGTGTATAGGAATGCATGTAATTTTTGCATATTGATTTTGTATCCTGAGACTTTGCTGAAGTTACTTATCAGCTTAAGGAGTTTTTGGGCTGAGATGATGAGGTTTTCTAAATATACAATCATGTCACCTGCAAAGAGAGATAATTTGACTTCCTCTTTTCCTACTTGAATACCCTTTATTTCTTTCTCTTGCCTCATTGCCCTGGCCAGGACTTCCAGTACTCTGTTGAATAGGAGTGGTGAGAGAGGGCATCCTTATCTTGTGCTGGTTTCAAAGGGAATGCTTCCGGCTTTTGCCCAGTCAGTATGATATTGGCTGTGGGTTTGTCATAAATAGCTCTTATTATCTTGAGATATGTTCCATCAATACCTAGTTTATTGACAGTTTTTAGCATGAAGGGGTGTTGAATTTTATCGAAGACCTTTTTCTGCATCTATTGAGATAATCATGTCGTTTTTGTCATTGCTTCTGTTTATTTGTGATACATTACATTTATTGATTTGTGTATATTGAACCAGCCTTGCATCCCAGGGATGAAGCCGACTTGATTGTGGTGGATAAGCTTTTTAATGTGCTGCTGGTTTGGTTTGCCAGTATTTTACTGAGGATTTTCGCATTGGTGTTCATCAGGGATGTTGGCCTGAAATTTTCTTTTCTTGTTGTGTCTCTGCCAGGTTTTGGTATCAGGATGATGCTGGCCTCATAAAATGAGTTAGGGAGGAGTCCCTCTTTTTCTGTTGTTTGGAATAGTTTCAGAAGGAACAGTACCAGCTCCTCTTTGTGCCTCTGGTAGAATTCGGCTGTAAATCCATCTGGTCCTGGGCTTTTTTTGGTTGGTAGGCTATTAATTACTGCTTCAATTTCAGAACTTGTTATTGGTCTATTCAGGGATTTGACTTCTTCCTGGTTTAGTCTTGGGAGGGTGTATGTGTCCAGGAATTTATCCATTTCCTCTAGATTTTCTAGCTTATTCGCATAGAGGTGTTTATAGTATTCTGTGATTGTAGTTTTTGTTTCTGTGGGGTCAGTGGTAATCTCCCCTTTATCATTTTTTATTGTGTCTATTTGAGTTTTCTCTCTTTTCCTCTTTATTAGTCTGGCTAGCGGCCTATTTTATTAATCTTTTCAAAAAATCTGCTCCTGGATTCACTGATTTTTTGAAGGGTTTTTCATGTCTCTATCTCCTTCAGTTCTGCTTTGGTCTTAGTTATTTCTTGTCTTCTGCTAGCTTTTGAATTTATTTGCTCTTGCTTCTCTAGTTCTTTTCATTGTGATGTTAGGGTGTTGATTTTAGATCTTTCCCACTTTCTCCTGTGGGCATTTTAGTGCTATAAATTTCCCTCTAAACACTACTTTAGCTGTCCCAGAGATTCTGGTACGTTGTGTCTTTGTTCTCATTGGTTTCAAATAATTTATTTATTTCTGCCTTAATTTCGTTATTTACCCAGTGGTCATTCAGTAGCAGGTTGTTCAGTTTCCATGTAGTTGTGCAGTTTTGAGTGAGTTTCTTAATCCTAAGTTCTAATTGGATTGCACTGTGGTCTGAGTGACCGTTATGATTTCTGTTCTTTGGCATTTGCTGAGGAGTGTTTTACTTCCAATTATGTGGTCAATTTTAGAATAAGTGCTATGTAGTCCTGGGAAGAATGTATACTCTGTTGATTTGGGGTGGAGAGTTCTGTAGATGTCTATTAGGTCTGCTTGGTGCAGAGCTGAGTTCAAGTCCTGAATATCCTTGTTAATTTTCTGTCTCATTGATCTGTCTAATATCAACAGTGGGGTGTTAAATTCTCCCACTATTACTGCATGGGAATCTAAGCCTCTTTCTAGGTCTCTAAGAACTTGCTTTATGAATCTGGGTGCTCCTGTATTGTGTGCATCTATATTTAGGATAGTTAGCTCTTCTTGTTGCATTGATTCTTTTACCATTATGTAATCCTCTTGTTTGTCTTTTTTGATTTTTGTTGGTTTAAAGTCTGTTTTATCAGAGACTAGGATTGCAACCCCTGCTTTTTTTTTGCTTTCCATTTGCTTGGTAAATCTTCCTCCGTCCCTTTATTTTGAGCCTAGTGTGTCTTTGCATGTGAGATGGGTCTCCTAAATACAGCACATGGATGGGTCTTGACTCTTTATCCAGTTTGCCAGTGTTTGCCTTTTAATTGGGGGCATTCAGCCCATTTACATTTAAGGTTAATATTATTATGTGGGAATTTGATCCTGTCATTAAGATCCTAGCTGGTTATTTTGCCCATTGTTGATGCAGTTTCTTCATAGTGTTGATAGTCTTTACATTTTGGTTTGTTTTTGCAGTGGCTGTACTGGTTTTTCCTTTCCATATTTAGTGCTTCCTTCAGGAGGTCTTGTAAGGCAGGCCTGGTGGTGACAAAATCCCTCAGCATTTGCTTGTCTGTAAAGGATTCTATTGAACTTCACTTATGAAGCTTAGTTTGGCTGGATATGAAATTCTGGGTTGAAAATTCTGTTCTTTAAGAACATTGAATATTGGCCCCTACTCTCTTCTGGCTTGTAGGGTTTCTGCAGAGAGATCTGCTGTTAGTCTGATGGGCTTCCCTTTGTGGGTAACTCGACCTTTCTCTCTGGCTGCCCTTAACATTTTTTCCTTCATTTCAATCTTGGTGAATCTGATGATTATGTGTCTTGGGGTTGCTCTTCTCGAGGAGTATCTTTGTGATGTTCTCTCTAGTTCCTGAATTTGAATGTTGGCTTGTCTTGCTAGGTTGGTGAAATTCTCCTGGATGATATCCTGAAGTGTGTTTTCCAACTTGGTTCCATTCTCCCCATCACTTTTAGGTACACCAATCAATCGTAGGTTTGGTCTTTTCACATAGTCCCATATTTCTTGGAGGCTTTGCTCCTTTTCATTCTTTTTTCTCTAATCTTGTCTTCACACTTTATTTCATTAAGTTAATCTTCAATCTCTGGTATCCTTTCTTTTGCTTGATAGATTGGGCTACTGATACTTGTGTATGCTTCACGAAGTTCTCGTGTTGTGTTTTTCAGCTCCATCAGGTCATTTATGTTCTTCTCTAAGCTGGCTATTCTGGTTAGCAATTCCTCTAACCTTTTTCAAGGCTCTTAGCGTCCTTGCATTGGATGAGAACATGCTTCCTTAGCTAGGAGGAGTTTGTTATTACCCATTTTCTGAAGCCTACTTCCGTCAGTTCATCAAACTCATTCTCTGTCCAGTTTTGTTTTCTTGTTGGCAAGGAGTTGTGATCCTTTGGAGGAGAAGGGGCATTCTGGTTTTTGGAATTTTCAGCCTTTTTTCTCTGGTTTTTCTGCATCTTCATGGATTTATCTACCTTTGGTCTTTGCTGTTGGTGACCCTCGGATGGTGTTTTTGCTTGGTCATCCTTTTTGTTGATGTCGATGCTATTGCTTTCTGTTTGTTAGTTTTCCTTCTAACGGTCATCAGGCCCCTCATCTTCAGGTCTTCTGGAGTTTGCTGGAGGTCCACTCCAGACCCTGTTTGCCTGGGTATCACCAGCGGAGGCTGCTGAACAGCAAAGATTGCTGCCTGCTCCTTCCTCTGGAAGCTTCATCTCAGAGGGGCACCTGCCAGATGCCAGCCAGAGCTCTCCTGTGTGAGGTGTCTGTCAACCCCTGCTGGGAGGTGTCTCCCCATCAGGAGGCACTGGGGTCAGGGACCCACTAGAGGAGGCAATCTGTCCCTTAGCAGAGCTCGAGCACTGTGCTGAGAGATCCACTGCTGTCTTCAGAGCCAGCAGGCAGGAATATTTAAGTCTGCTGAAGCTGCGCCCATAGCTGTCCCATCCCCCAGGTGCTCTGTCCAAGGGAGATGGGAGTTTTATCCATAAGCCCCTGACGGGTGCTGCTGTTTTTCTTTCCGAGATGCCTTGCCCACAGACGAGGAACCTAGAGAGGCAGTCTGGCTACAGTGGCTTTGTGGCACTGGGGTGGGCTCTGCCCAGGGGGAGCATGTTTTCTAAACACTTAAACATTCTCCATGCCTTTTTTATTGTCTTTATAAGTATCCACTCTATGTTTATGGTTTGTATAAGATATTCCAATTTAACAAACAGTTGTTGGACATTTTTTCTCCTTTTTCTCTTGTCATCTACAAGGTGACTTGGCATTGTACATCCTTGTATCAAAATCTTTGCACAACTTCAGAAGAATCTCCTTATGAGAACAGACCTGCTTCTGCAAAGGGATAAATATGTTTTCAAGGCTTTCTAATGACCTAACATGACAGTGCCAGCCCTGGGTATCATCATGGAAGACACCAGAGCTTCTAGTTTGATAGATGAAAAATGTTATGAATGCATTATTATTTTACTTAGCATTTCATGAATTACTCATGACTGCTTTCCCCACTTCTTTGTTGGTGAGTTTGATCTTTAAGATTCAAGTATTTCCTCCACTCAGGTAAATAGTCTGAATCCAGCTTCAAATAGAAAAGGTCAGAGAGTGAGCCTAAGAATCCTAAGTATAAAAGCACGAGGCAGAATTCATGGATGCCTAAACTTGGAAACACACGCTTCAGTTCTTCTTCATGGTGTCTCAAAATATCACAGATCAAGTTACAGTCTCTCGTGTCCTTTTCCAACCTGTCTATTTCCTCTGTAAACAAAGAGGAATTTCTCTTTTACTTCATTTCTTTGTTTCTGGAATCAATATGTAGTACTTGTGTGCATGTTTCAAAACATCACACAAATGGTTTTAACTGTGATGTCATTCTGAAACTTGCTTTTCACAGTTGGTATTGTTTTCCACTTCCATGTGGGTTGATCTGCATAAAGTCATTTAACTCCTCTATAGAGTGCCCTTCTGAGAACATATCCCAATCTTCTGTGTTGTGTTGTTGCTGACCGTTTAGCCTGTTTCTGGTGTTCTGCCTTTACAACATGCTGCAGGGGTGCATAGGTAGAAACATGTTGGTAGAGCCTGTCTCTAGAAGTAGAATTCCTGGGGCACCTTAATGTCACTATAATCGTCAAACTGCTCTTCAAATTGTTTAAATCAATCTGTACTCCTAGTAGGGCCAAGGAGAGTTAACATTCGTCTACTTTCTCTCCAATACCAAGTATTATTAGACTTTTTAATTTTAGCTACTGTGATGGTTGTGAAAAGGTATCTCCAGTGGAGGATTCAAGTTTTGTAGGGCCCATCTCAGTTCTTTTAACAGAAAGAATACAAAATTGTAAATACAAATTTAGTCATGACAGTGGATATTTATTTGGAATGAAAAAACAAATCACAATGAATTATAAACTTAAAAATGCTTTAAATGCATGAAATATACCACACAGTTGAGAAAAATAACATTTACAAGTTAAAGAATTGCATGACCCATCTTTGTAATAGTTTTTTGCTGCATATTCATTAATTGTCTATTAGTATGATAATTTTATAATTTTATTTTCTCTAGATCCTAAAAAGATATTTAGCTTTACTTGCTCTAGCATAGCTGGCTGATTAAGATGATTTTATTATCCTTACTTCTTTTAATTATTGAGGTATTATTCACATAACATGCAAGTCACCATTTTGAAGTGTACAGGTTAGTGTTTTTTTAGTATAGTCACAGTGTTATGTTAAATCATCATGACGTAATTCCGGAACATTTCCATCACCCCAAAAAGAAATCTCATAACTGTTAGCAGTCACCTCCAATTCCCCAATCCTCTAACCCTTGGCACCTCAAATCTACTATCTGTTTCTATGATTTTGCCTCTTCTGGACATTTCACATAACTGGAATCATACAATATGTGGCCTTTTGTATTTGGCTTCTTTTACTTAGCATAATGTTTACAAGGTTCATCCATGTTATAGCATGCAATAGCACTTCCTTTTTGTGGAAAATGACATTCCATATGTATATACCACATTTTGTTTAACCATTTATCAATTGATGAACATTTGGTTTCTTTCCACTTTTAGACTATTATGATTGCCGCTGTGAACATTTAGTGTACTGGATTTTGTGTGAACATATCTTTTCAATACTGTTAGGTATATATGTAAGGGTAGAATTACAGAGTCACACGGTAATTCAGTGTTTAACTACCAGACTGTTTTCCAAAGCAGCTGCAACATTTTACATTCCTATCAGCAACGTATGAGTTCCAGTTTCTTCATATTCTTGCCAACACTTATTTTCTGGTTTTTTTTTCCCCCTTTATTCTAGCCATCCTAGTGGGTATGAAATTGGTATGTCATTGTGGTTTTGATCTGTATTTTTCTAATGGCCAATGATATTGAACTTCCCTAAAGATCTTTTCATGCATTTATTGGCCATTTGTATATCTTCTTACGAGAAATTTTTGTTCAAATCCTTAGCCCTTTTCCTAGTTGAGTTATTTGACTTCTTGTCGTTGAATGCTAGGAGTCCTTTATATATGCTGGTTACTAGACCTTTATCAGACATATGATTTGTAAATGTCTTCCCTCATTCTATGGGTTGTCTTTTCATTTTGTGGATAGGGCTGATTGAAACATAAAAGTTTTAAATATCGATGAGGTTCAATTCATCTATTTTTTCTTTGGTCACACATGCTTTCAGTGTCCTTTCCAAAAAACTTTTCCTTAACTCAAAGTTGCACAGATTTATATCTATGCTTTTTTTTTCTAGGATTTTTAGTTATAGCCCTTACATTTAGGCCTTTGATTCATTTTGCATTAATTTTTGTATATGGTATAAGGTGGGGTCCAACTTCATTCCTTTGTATGTGGATATCTAGTTTTAGAACCATTTCTTGAGAAAATTATTCTTTCCTTATTGAATGGTCTTGGCACTCTTGTTGAAAGTTACTTGGCCATAGATCTGTTTCACTGATCTATTTGACTGTCTTATACCAGTATCACACTGTCTTGATTACTGTAGCATTGTAGTAAATTTGGAAATCAGAAAGTGTGATTCCTCTCACTTTGTTCTTTTTCAAGATTGTTTTGACTTGTCTGGGTTTCAGGAATTTCCATATGAATTGTAGGATTAGTTTGTTGATCCTTGCAAAAAAAAATTCTCGATGAGATTTTTGATAGGAATTGCTTTGATCTGTCCATTAACATTAGATATATTTTCATTTATTTCAGTCTTTAATTTACTTCAGCAATGTTTTATGGTTTTCAGTGTATATGTCTTGCACTTCTTTAGTTAGATTTTTTCTGAATATTTTATTCTTTTTACTGGTATTGTTGATGGAATTGTCTTTTTCATTTCATTTTAAAATT
The DNA here is from genome assembly GCF_000001405.40 of Homo sapiens. Taxonomy (NCBI): domain Eukaryota; kingdom Metazoa; phylum Chordata; class Mammalia; order Primates; family Hominidae; genus Homo; species Homo sapiens. The sequence goes on along the minus strand of NT_187660.1, from coordinate 1,777,381 downwards.
TTTCATTGTGTGTATACAAATACAACTGATTTTTATACATTGAACTTATATCGTGTCACCTTGCCAAATTTATTAGCTTTAATATGTATGTGTGTTTATTATTTAGGGTTTTCTCTATATAAAATTAGGTCATCTGTGAACAGAGATACTTTTACTTCTTCCTTTTCAGTATGGATGCATTTTATTTCATCTTCTTGCCTACAGCATTCTTTTTTGCCCTGGCTATAACCTCCAGTAAAATGTTGAATAGAAGTGGTGAGAGGTAGACATCCTTGTCTTCTTCCTGATCTTAGGAGCAAAGCTTTCAGTCTTTCCCTGTTAAGTATGATGTTAGCTATTGGTTTTTCATGGATGCCCTTTATCAGGTTAAGAAATTTTCTTTTCTGTTTCTAATTTGTTGAGAATTTTTATCATGAAAAGATGTTGGAATTTGTCAAATACTTTTTCTGCATCTATTGAGATGATCATGTGGGTTTATGCTAATATGCTTTATTATGTTGATAAATTTTTATATGTTGGACCAACCTCACATTTCTGGGATAAACTCTACTTGGTCATGGTGAATAACCCCTTTCATATGCTGTTAGATTCCATTTGCTAATGTTTTGTTGAGAATGTTTGCATCTGTAGTCACAACGGTTATTGATCTGTAGTTTTTACTTTTGATGTGTTTCACTTCCACAGAATGAATTACGAAGTATTCCCTTCTCTTCTACTCTTTGTAAGAGTTTGAGAAATAATGTTGTTAATTTTTCTTTAAACATTTTGTAGAATACCCCAATGAAACCATCTGGTCGAGGCTTTCCTCATTGAAAGATTTTTTTTTAGAAAAGTTGACTCATTTCTTTATTAGCTACAGGTCTGTTTCTTCTTGAGTCAATTTTGGTAGATCGTGTGTTTCTAAGAATTTGTCCATTTCATCTAGGGTATCTAATTTGATGGTATCCAGCTTTCATAGAATTTTCTTAGAATTATGATATTCTCTCTTTCATTCCTGATTTTAGTAATTGGAGTCTTCTATTTTTTCTTTGCTCAGCCTAGCTAAAGTTTGTCAATATTGTTGATCTTTTCAAAGAACCAACTTTGGTTTTGTTGATTTTCTATGTTGTTTTTCTGTTCTCTGTTTGGCTCCAATCTCTTTTTTGTATGTGTTTGATTTAGATTTAATTTGCTCTTTTTTAAGTTTCTTATGGTGGAAGGTTAGATTATTGATTTGAGAGTTTTTTATTTTATTAGTGAAGGCATTTACAGATATAAATTTCCCTCTGAGCACTGCTTTTATTCAAATGGATTAAACTCTGATATGAAAGATTAAGCTTTAGTATATTGTATTTTATTTTTATTTTATCTCAAAGTATTTTCTAAGTTCTCTTGTAAATTCTTCTTTGACCCATTGGCCAATGGAATGTGTTGTTAATTTGCATGTATTTGTGAATTTCCAGTTTTCCTTTTGTGATTGATTTCTTAATTTATTCTTTTGTGATCAGAGAACATGTTTTGCATTATTTGAATCTTTAAAGATTTACAGAGACTTGTTTTTTGGCCCAATATATGTTTCATCAGGAAAATGTTCCATGTATGCTTGAGAAGAATGTGTATTCTGCTGCTGTTGGGTTGAGTGTTCTATAGATGTCAAGTTGATTGGTTTATAGTGTTGTTCAAGTCTTCTGTTTCCTTGCTGTTATTCTATTTGTTCTATTCATTATTGAAATTGAGGTATTTAATTCTCCAACTATTATTGTTGAATTCCCTATTTTGTATTTCAATTCTGTCAATTTTTTGCTTCAGGTATTTTTAGGACTCTGTTGGTAGGTGTGGTATATTTATAATTGCAGTATTTTCTTAATGACTTGACCTTTTTATTAGTGTATATTGTGCTGCTTTGTTTTTAGTAGCAATTTTTATCTTAAAGTGTATTTCATCTGATATTAGTGTATACACTCCAGCTCTATTTTGGTTTCTGTTCACATGAAATATCCTTTTCTTTCCTTTTACTTTCAACCTGTTTTTGTCTTTTAATCTAAAGTGAGTCTCTTGTAGACAGCATACAGTTCCACAAGTTTCTAATTTATTCTGCCAATCTCTGCCTTTCTCTTAGAGAGTTTAGTTCATTTACACAATATGTAATTACCAATTAGGAAGAATTTACTTACACTTCACTATCAGAAAGTAGTGTAGAGTTTTTGTATGTTATCAAAGTTAAGTTTTTGACTGGGCATGGTGGCTCACACTTGTAATCTCAGCACTTTGAGAGGACAAAGCAAGAGGATTGCTTGAGCCTAGGTGTTTGACATCAGCCTGGGCAACATAGTGAGACCTCATTTCTAAAAAAAAAAAAAAAATTAGCCTAGTGTGTGCACCTGTAGTCCTAGGTACCCAGGAGGCTTGGGTGAGAGGATCATCTCTCAAGGAGTTAGAAGCTGCAGTGAGTTATGATCACGCCACTGCACTCCAGCCTGGGCAACAGAGCAAGCCTCTGTCTCAAAACAAACAAACAAGTTTTTATCAGCTTAAACTGTTATAACTATAATATGCTTTATGTAAGCCTCATGGTAATGGCAAAGCAAAAACATATAGTAGATACAGAAAAGATGAAGAGAAAGGAATCAAAGCATACTGCTACAGAAAATTGTCAAGTCACAAAGGAAGACAGCAAGAGAGGAAGAAAGGATCAAGGCATCCTCAAAACACCCAGAAACAAATTAACAAAATGACAATTGAAAGTTCTTATCAATAATTACCTTGAATGTAAATGCATTAAATTATCCAGTCAAAAGACAGATTGGCTGAATAGATTTAAAAACAAGACTCAACTATATGCTGCCGTAAGAAAATCACTTCAACTTTAAAGACATACATAAACCGAATGTGAAGGAATTAAGATACTTCTTGCAAATGGAAACCAAAAGAGAGCAGGGGTAGCTATATTTATATCAGACAAAATATAGTTTGACTACAAAACTTTAAAAGAGATCAAAAAGGTCATTATGTAATGAAAAAGGGATCAATTCATTAAGAGGACACAATAATCATATATGTACCCAACATCAGACCACGTAAATAATATACAGCAAATATTAATAGATCTGAAAGGAGAAATAGACAGCAATACAGTAATAATGAGGGACCTCATTACCTAACTTTCAACTACAGACAGGATATCCAGAGAGAAAATCAGTAAGGAAACATTAGATTTTACACTTTATACCAAGTAGACCTAACAGATATATACAGAAATACAGAACATTCTATTCAACAGCAGCAGAGTACAGATTCTTCTAAAGTATACATGGAACATTCTTCAGGATAGGTTATACGTTGGGCCACAAAACAAGTCTTAATGTATTTAAGCAGATTGAAATTATATTTTAATTATATATCAAATTATGTAATATTTCTTTCTGATCATAGTATCATGAAACTAGAAATAACTAATGGAAGGGAATTGGGAAAATTACAAATATGTGGAAATCAAACAACATACTCCCAACCAATGGAGCAGAAGAAATCAGTAGGAAAATTAAAAAATATCTTGAGACAAATGAAAATGAAAACACAGTGTACCAAAACTTTGGGTATATCAGTCCATTCTCACACTGTTATAAAGATACTGAGACTGGATAATTTATAAAGAAAAGAGGTTTAATTGACTCACAGTTCCACATGGCTGGGGAGGCCTCAAGAAACTTAACGATCATAGCAGAAGGTGAAGGGGAAACAAGGCACATCTTCATAAGGCAGCAGGAGAGAGTGAGGAAGTGCCACACTTAAAAGCCATCAGCTGTCATGAGAACTCAGTCACTAACACGAGAAAAGCATGGGGCAAACCACCTCTGTGATCCAGTCACTTCCCACCAGTTCCCTCCCTCAACACATGGGGATTACAATTTGAGATAAGATTTGCATGGGGACACAGAGCCAAATCTTATCATAGGTGATGCAGCAAAAGTAGTTTTAAGAGGAAAGTTTATAGTGAAAAATGCCTACATGAAGAAAAATGAAAGATCTCAAATAAACAACCTATCATTACATATTGAGAAACTAGAAAAAGAAGAACAAACTAAAGTTAGCAGAAGGAAGGATATAGTAAAGATCAGAGAACAAATACATGAAATAGAACTTAGAAAAATAATAGAAAAGATCAGCAAAACTAAGAGTTGGTTTTTTGAAAAGATAAATGAAATTGACATACTGTTAATTAGATTAAGAAAAAAGAAGACTAAAATAAAATCAGAAATGAAAGGGAAGACATTACAATTGATACCACAGGATTACAAAGGATCCTAAGAGAGTACTACAAACACTTATATGCCAATAAATTAGCCCAGAAGTAATGGATAAATTCCTAGAAACACACAACCTACAAAGACTTAATCATGAAGAAAAAGAAGTCTTGGATTTAATCGTGAAGAAAAAGAAGTCTTAACAGGCTAATAATGAGTAAGAAGTTTGAATCAGTAACAAAAATCTTTCTATCAAAGAAAAGTCCAGGATCCGATGGCTTCACTGATGAATTCTACCAAGCATTTAAAGAAGAATTAATACCAGTGCTTCTCAAACGCTTCCAAAAAAAATTGAAGAGAAAATGTCTTAGTCTATTTTGTGTTGCTGTAACAAAATACCACAGACTTGGTAACTTACATAGAAAATAAATTAATTTCTTACAGTTTTGGAGACGGGGAAGTCCAAGATCTAGGGCCCACATCTGGTGAGGATCCTCTTGCTATGTCATTGCATAGCAGAAGGCAGAAGAGAAAAAGAGTGCGAGAGAGCAAGAGATGGAACTCACAGCTTCAAGCCCTTTTATAATCAGCATTAATGCATTGATAAGGATGGAACCCTCATGACCTAAGCACCTCCCATTAGGCCCTACTTCCTAATACTGTTGCATTGGGGATTAAGTTTCTAACACATTAACTTTGGAGGGCATATTCAAACCATAGCAAGAAGGAACATCTTCCAACTTGTTTTATGAGGCTAGCATTACCCTGATAGCAAAGCCAGGCAAAAATTCTACAAGGAAAGAAAATTACAAGCCAATATCCCTGATGAATATATGTGTAGAAATCTTTAGCACAATACTAGAAAACTGAATTCAATAGCATATTAAACAAATAAGTGGGATTTATCCCTGGGATACAAAGATAGTTCAATATAATCAATAAGTGTGGTACAACACATTAACAGAAAGAATGAAGGACAAAAATTATATGATTATCTCAAATATTTAAACCAACATTTGACAAAATTCAACAATCTTTTATGACAAAAACTCTAAACAAATTTAGGTATAGAAATAATATGCCTCAACACAATAAAGGTCATATTTCACAAGCTACCATCATAGTCAACCATAAATGGTTGAGAGCTTTTTCTCTAAAATCAGGAAGAAGACAAGGATGCCCACTCTCACCACTTTTATTTAAAGTAGTAGTGGAAATCCTAGTCAAAGCAATTAGGCAGTAAAAATAATTTTATTATTTTATTTTATTTTATTTATTTATTTTATTAGTCATCCAAATTGGGAAGGAGGAAATTGTTTCTGATTGCAGGAGATGTGATCTTGTAATAGAAATTCCTAAAGACACCACCCCAAAACTAATTAGAACTATAAATGAATTTAGTAAAGTTGCAGGATATAAAAAGCAGTTGTGTTTCTGTACACTAATAACACATTAGTGTACAGTATTAGAAAAAGAAATTAAGAAATCAGTCTGATTTACAATAGCATCAAAAATAATAACATAAATAAACTTAAATAAGGAGATGCAAGATCTATACACCAAAAACTATGAAACATTGATAAAAGAAATGGAATGATACACAAATGGGAAGATATCCCATGTTCATGGATCAGAATAATCAATATTATAAAAATATTCATAATACCCAAAGTGATCTACAGATTCAATGCAGTCTATCAAAATTTCATTGGCATTTTTCACAGAAATAGAAAAAACAATCCTAAAATTCATAGGGAACCACAAAAGACCCCGAATAGCCCAAGCAATTTTTAACAGGAAGAACAAAACTGAAGTCATCACATCTCCTGATTTTAAATTATATTACAAAGCTATAGTAGCCAAAAAAACATGCTACTGGCATAAAAACAGACACATAGACCAATGGAACAGAATAGAAAGCCCATAAATAAACCCATGCATATATGGTCAACTAATCTTTGACAAAGGTGCCATGAATACACAATGGGAAAAGGATCATTGTTTTCAATTAATGGTGTTAGGAAAACTGGATATCCTCATGCAAAAAAAGAAAAAATATGAAAGGAAACAAAATTGGAGAGTTATCTGACACTGTACACAAAAATCAAGTTAAAATTGTTTAAAGATTTAAAGGAAAGGCCTGAAGCCACAAAACTCCTAGAAGAAAACATAGAAAGCTCAATAAGATGGATCTTAGCAGTGATGTTTTGAATATTACACCAAAAACAGAAGCAACAAAAGTAAAAACAAATAATTGGACTACACCATACTAAAATATTTCTTTAGAGCAAAGGAAACAATGAAATGTAAAGGCAACTCACAGAAGACATACAAATGGCAACAAGTATGTGAAAAAGTGCTCAACATCATCAATCATCAGGGAAATACAAATCAAAACTACAATGAGATGTGATCTCCCACCTGTTAGAATGGCTATTCTCAAAGTACCAACAGATAACAAGAGTTGGTGAGGTTGTGGAGAAAAGGGAACCCTTATATATTGATGCTGGGAATGTAAATTGGTACTGCCATTGTGGTAAACAGTATAGAGGTTCCTCAAAAAATTATAGAACAACCATATGATCCAACAATTCTACTTCTGGGTATATATCCAAAGTAATTGAAATCAGTGTTTTAAAGATAAATCTACACCCCCATGTACACTGCAGCATTAGTCACAATAGCCAAGATAATGGGAACAACCTAATGTCCATCAGTGGATAAACTGATAAAATGTGACACACATACAAACACACATCCAGACACACACACACATGCACACAAACACACAGGCAGAGGAGTATTAGCCAGCCTTCAAAGAAAGGAAATCCTGCCTTTTTGAACAACATGGATAAGCCTGGAGGACATTACACTAAGTGAAATAAGCAAGCCAGGGAATGATAAATACCACATGGTCTCACTTATATGTGGAATCTAAAAACGTGGCTCATAGAAACAGAGAGGAGAATGATGGTTGCAGGGGCTGGGCCTGTGGGAAATGGGTAGGTGTTGGTCAAAGCGAACAAACTTTCAGTTACACGATGAGTTAGTTTTGGAGACCTAATGTGGCTATAACTAAAATAATAATGTTTTGTATACTTGAAATTTGCTAAGAGAGTAGATTTTAAATATTCTTACCACAAGGATAAAAATGGTAACTATGTGAGGTGATGGATATGTTAATTGGCCTGATTGTGGTAATCATTTTACAGTGAATATGTGTATCAACTTATGTTGTTCACCTAAAATATATACAATTTTTATTTGTCACTTATACCACAATAAAGCTGGAAGAGTTGAATACATTTTAACGTATTTTGGCACAATTTTATGTGTATAAAGTTCTTGTGTCTTAGTTTTTTTCTAGGTACCTGGTGGAGTTTATTGCTAATTCTAAAAATGGTTTTTAATTGATTGTTATTGAAATATTGGAAAGCGTTTTTAAAGTTTTTTTTTTCCTATAGTCTTTCCAAACTCGTATTAGGTCTGATACTTTGTATATGTTTTTGAATTTTATATGTAATCATTCTGTCAGTAAAGAATGATAATATTGTCTCTTTTCGATCCTTGTTACTTATTTTCTTAATTGTGCTGGCTGGGAATTCCCATTAAATATTGAATAGTAATAGTGAAGGAGAGCATTTTTGCTGTGTCTTCATTGGGAATGCTTTCTTTAAATTTTTTGAGATGGAGTCTCACTCTATTGGCCAGGCTGGAGTACAGTGGTGTGATCTTGGCTCTCTGCAACCTCTGCCTCCTGGGTTCAAGCAACTCTCCTGCCTCAGCCTCCCGAGTACCTGGGATTACGGGTGTGAGCCACCACCCTGGCTAATTTTTTGTATTTTTAGTAGAGATGAGGTTTCACCATATTGGCCAGGCTGGTCTTGGAACTCCTGACCTCAGGTGATTCGCCCACCTCAGCCTCCGAAAGTGCTGGGATTACAGGCCTGAGCCACCATGCCTAGCCAGGAATGCTTTTATTATCTCTATCTGTCTATCTATCTATATTCTGTTTATTTCTATCTGAACTATTTATTTATTTTTAGAGACAGGATCTTACTCTGCACACTGGCTGGAGTGCAGTGGTGTTATCATAGCTCACTGCAGCCTTGAATTACTGGGCTCAAGTGATCCTTCTGCCTGAGAATGCTTTTAAATGCTCAGCATTAAGCGTGCTGTTTGCCTCAGGATTTACATAGCTTCTCTTTATGAGGTAAAAAGAGTTGTCGGCCGGGCGCGGTGGCTCACGCCTGTAATCCCAGCACTTTGGGAGGCCGAGGCGGGCGGATCACGAGGTCAGGAGATCGAGACCATCCCGGCTAAAACGGTGAAACCCCGTCTCTACTAAAAATACAAAAAATTAGCCGGGCGTAGTGGCGGGCGCCTGTAGTCCCAGCTACTTGGGAGGCTGAGGCAGGAGAATGGCGTGAACCCGGGAGGCGGAGCTTGCAGTGAGCCGAGATCCCGCCACTGCACTCCAGCCTGGGCGACAGAGCGAGACTCCGTCTCAAAAAAAAAAAAAAAAAAAAAAAAAAGGGTTGTCAGGGAAGCATTGGAAATACTATTATTGAATTACTAATAAGTTCACTAATTAGGATTTTAACTGAAGTCACTGTTATTTAAAATAATTTATTTCAACAAAAACTTTTTTTTTTTGGAGACGGAGTCTCACTCTGTCGCCCCAGCTGGAGTGCAGTGGCGTGATCTCAGCTCACTGCAACCTCCGCTTCCAGGGTTCAAGCGATTCTCCTGCCTCAACCTCCTGAATAGCTGGGATTACAGGTGCCCGCCACCACGCCTGGCTAATTTTTGTATTTTTAGTAGAGACGGGGTTTCACCATGTTGGCCAGGCTGGTCTCGAACTCCTGACCTCAGGTGATCTACCTGCTTTGGCCTCCCAAAGTGCTGGGATTACAGGCATGAGCCACCGTGCCCAGCCTCAATAAAAATTTTAACAATTATTTTAACAATAGGCAGTGTGTTTGGCAGCATGTTAAAATAGTAATTGCCTTTTATTTCCTATCGGGAAAAGTTATACCTCTATATTAATATGTTTAACACTTGAAGGTCATAACCGATAGCTCATAGAATTTAGCAACCTTCCTATTGAGTCCTCATGGCTCTTGAGGTATCTGCCTGGCTTCTTAGAGTTTTATAGAACACAATTTGTCAATCTGATGTAGAATGTACTTCTCCTTTTACAATGGTGATAATTATGACTTGCTCTCTAACACATGGAAATCACATGATATCGTAATCATAATTAGAACCAAAGAATGTTAGACCAAGGTGTTTCCCACTATGCATATATGAACTTATTAATCAATCTAAATAATGCCAGGTAATAATCAGTGCATTCCTAACATGAGCTGATGTTTTCCTCATGCTACTGCTAATTCTTACAATGACTTTGCAGTCTGAGTATTACTGCGCCAGTTTTATACAGGTGATTAAACTGTGGGGTTGAGAAGTGAAGTAAGTTACATGCAATAAATGGGGATGTCTATGGTACAGCCTACTGGAGATTCTTTTTCTCCCTGAGACTTTTAGCTGCCTTTGTCTGCCCTGAAACCCACAAGCTAGAAAAAAAAAAAAATCAAACCAACAGTAGAAATAAAGGCAGTGAATCGTATGGCTTTGACAGATTGGGCCTTGCTGTGTGATTGCAAAAAAGTTAAGTTTGACATCCTGAGTGTTTGAGCTTTTCATGGAGTGCAGGAAAAGGTCTAGCTGATGGAAATAGTTTTTTCCCCTCAGTTGAGTAACGAGATTGATATGTATAGTGTCAATCAGAAGGGTGTGGTTGTGAATTCTCTAACTTAACTTTAATGTCTACTGTGAGGCAGGAGATGACCATGATTGGAAACTTGTTTTCTAGTTGTTCTAAGTCGAAAAGGTAAATAATTTCCCCTATGCTGGCTATCTCCATGAAATAAATCTTCATGTTTTTTCCTTTACCTTCTCCCAACAACTTTGGGCTGTGTGAGAGAAGTTGAAGGAAAATACAGAGATTTCTTTCTTGAATGCAGTCAGATAGCTACTGTGTGAAACTTCCTGAGATTTACTTTGCCCTTCCATTTATCCAAGGACTCTTTAGATTTAAAGCCTTCTACAATATGAAACCTAGGGACCCTAGGGCTCACCAGATTGGAACTTAAAATTGTAGGGAGCAAAAGAATTGATGGTTTGTTCCAGAAAGGGCAGGTACTCACACTCAACAAGTCTAGATGAGAGGTGACAATGTGCTAGCAGTGCTCGCTCGCTCACTCTCTGCACCTCCTGGGCCTCGATGTCTGCTTTGGCCACGCTTGAGGAGCCCTTCAGCCCCCTGCTGCACTGTAGGAGCCCCACTCTGGGCTGGCCGAGGCAGGAGCCAGCTCCCTCTGCTTACGGGGAGGTGTGGAGGGAGGGGTGCGGGCAGGAACCAGGGCTGTGCACAGGGCTCGTGGGCTAGCCCAAGATCTGGGTGGGTGCAGGCAGCGGCCCCACACTCGGAGTGGCCAACTGGTGCCACTGGCCCTGGGCAGTGAGGGGCTTAGTACCTGGGCCACCAGCTGTGGAGGGGGCGCTGGGTCTCCTAGCACTGCTGGCCCGCCTGTGCCACACTCGAATTCTCGCGGGGCCTCAGCCGCCTCCCCACGGGTCAGGGCTGGGGATCTGCAGCCCGCCATGCTGCCCCCTGCAGTGGGCTCCCGTGCTGCCCGAGCCTCCTGCCTGAGCCTCCCAGAGGGGCATCACCCCCTGCTCCATAGGCGTCCAGTCCCATAGACCCCCAAGGGCTGAGGAGAGCAGGCGCCTGGAGTGGGACTGGCAGGCAGCTCCCCTTCGGCCCTGGCACGGGATCCACTAGCGGAAGCCAGCTGGGCTCCTGAGTCAGGTGGGGACTTGGAGAACTTTTATGTCTAGCTGGAGGATTGTATATGCACCAGTCAGCACTCTGTGTCTAGCTCAAGGTTTGTAAATGCACCAATCAGTGCTCTGTGTCTAGCTAATCTAGTGGGGACTTGGAGAACTTTTACACCTAGCTAGAGGATTGTAAATACACCAATCAGCACTCTGTGTCTAGGTCAGCGATTGTAAACGCACCAATCAGCACCCTGTCAAAACAGACCAATTAGCTCTCTGTAAAACGGACCAATCAGCTCTCTGTAAAATGGACCAGTCAGCTCTCTGTAAAATGGGCCAATCAGCAGAATGTGGGTGGGGTCAGACAAGGGAATAAAAGCAGGCTGCCGGAGCCAGCAGCCGCAAACTGTTTGGGTTCTCTTCCATGTTGTGGAGGTTTTGTTCTTTCGCTCTTTGCGGTAAATCTTGCCACTGCTCACTCTTAGGCTCTGTATTACCTTCAAGAGCTGTAATACTCACAGCGAAGTTCTGCAGCTTTGCTTCTGAGGCCAGAGAGACCATAAACCCATTGGGAGAGAAGGAAGAAACTCCCAACATGTCCGAACACCACAAGGAACTAACGACTCCAGATGCACCGGCCTTTAAGAAGTGTAAAATTCACCGGGGGTCCACGGCTTCATTCTTGAAGTCAGTGAGACCGAGAACCCACCAATTCCGCACATACAGAAATGTTTACTGGAGAGCGAGAATGGACCACCTTTGACTATATAATTCATTTTCCATTGTTAAACTGCTTTGAACCCAATAGAATTATTGAATTTTATTGCTGAGCTATTTAGAGACAGTTTCATTTCAGAAGAATTAAAACATTTTGATGCTTGAACATTTTTGTGGTGATCTTTGTAGCAAAACTTCAGGATGCATCAAAAGCATCAGCCATCTCGAGACCTGTGTCAGCACAGCCTAGTTGGAAGAACTGCGCCGTCATGGCCTGTGGTTGTGTAGCTGAGCGATGGTACCCAGACGTGCAAATGTGCCTAGCTTTGTGGACGGCATCAGGCAGGGGCGTGTTCACCTAGAGTGCTGTTAAGTTCTCCTTCATAGAGCTGCAGGCTCTGATGGACGGGTACTGTTGGGGTTGTGCATGGGATATCCAGAGAGACATGACATTTTGTGCGTAAAATACATATGTTCTTATTTATTGGTTTAGAATTGATGCCAGTAATTGGCATTGGGATGCACCTATGTATAGAATGAATTCAATTAAAATAGTTTTTGGACTGCTCTTACATTCTTGTAAAATACGCACATACAGAATCAAAGTTCAGGTGGCCTTTACACATGGAATTTTATCCTGTTGCTGACTGTTGATAAAGATCACCCCACCATGTTTTCTGTCTGCACCCAAGGGCAACGTCTTACTTTGGCAGGTAACTCATGTCCTTGGCAGTTCATGGTTCCATATGGTTTAGTCTATATTACATTACCTTTTGATATTGCTACAAGCACCCAGTTAGCATATTATCTTAAATCAGTACCCTCGCTCCATATTTCTCTCGGCCAGGCAGGTAAGGAAGGAAGGAAGAGATCTCAGGGTAATCCATGCTGCTTCTGCTACTGCCTGTGATTCAGAACTTTGATCAGTTTGTCAGAAGCCAGTTTTTCCCATGTTTTATTTTTCTTTACTGAGGTGAAATTAACTTAACAGTAATAATTTTTGTGTGAATAATTCTTTGACGTTTAGTACATTCACACCGTTGTGTAACCACTCCCTCTATAAAAGTCCAAAATTATTTTCATTGTCTCCAGAGGAAATCCCATACTCATTAAATTGTTTCTCCCTATTTCCCCTCTCCTAGCCCCTGGAAGCCATCAGTCTGAATTATGTCCCTGTGGATTGTTACCTGTTTCTGATATTTTATACAATTGGAGCCATTCAATATGTGGGTGTAAATTTCTCCTTCATTTTTCAAGGGTATTTTTGTAGGATGTATCATACAATGCTTGGTTGGAAGCATCACCCCCATCCTGCCCATCACTTTAAAATGTCATTTCATTGCCTTCTGGTCCCCTGGTCTCTGATGAGAAGTCAGCTGTTAATCTGATTGAGGATCCCTTGTATGTGAATCAGTGGCTCCTCTCTCGCTGATTTCAAGATTTTTCTCTTTGCCCTTGGCTTTTTGACTGTTTGATTATAATGTGTCTCAGTGTGGATTTCTTTGTATTCATCTCACTTGAAACTCACTGAACTTCTTGTGTGTGTAGATTTGTATCTTTTATCAGGTATGGTAAGTTTTGGCAATTATTTCTCCAAATATTCTTTGTGTTCCTTTCACTCGCACCTCTCCTTCTGGGATTCCTGTTATGTACTTGGTATTGGTATGCTTGATGGCATTTCATACCTGTTAATCTTTTATCATTTTTGTTCTTCCTCTCAGACTGGATAATTTTCATTGCCCTGTCTTTATGTTCGCGGGTTCTTTCTTCTGCCTAGTCAAGTCTGTTACTGAGATGCTCTAGTGATTTTTAAAAAAATTCAGTTGGTGTACTTTTTGACCTTAGAATTTGACTCCCTTTTATAATTTCTATATCTTTATTTCAATTCACTTATTTGTTCATACATTCTTATCCTGATTTCCTTTAGCTCCTTTTCCTTTCTTTCCTTTAAGTCATTTAGCATATTTAGGGCAGTTGATTTAAAGTCTTTAGTAAGTCCAGTGTGTGTGTTTCTTCAGGGACAATGTTTGTTAATTTCTTATGTGAATGAGCCATATTTTCTTGTTTCTTTACATGGTTCATAAGTTATTGTTGAAAACTGAACATGCCAGGCATGGTGGCTCACACTTGTAATTGTAGCAGTTTAGGAGGTTAAGGTGGGCAGATCACTTGAGGTCAGGAGTTTGAGACCAGCCTGGCCAACATGGCAAAATCCCGTCTCTACTAAAAATAGAAAAATTAGCCAGGTGTGGTGGTGCATGCCTGTAATCCCAGCTGCTCTGGAGGCTGAGGCAGGATAATTAGTTGAATCCAGGAGGTGGAGGTTGCAGTGAGCTGAGATCGAGCCACTGCACTCCACCCTGGGTGACAGAGTGAGACCCTGTCTCAAAACAAACGAACAAACGCCTGGACATTTTGCATATTAAACAGAGGTAACTCTGGAGATCAGATTCTTCCCCCACCTCAGGGTTTGTTGTTGCTTGCTATAGACTGTAGAGTTTTGCAAGATCTGTAATTCCTTACCGTGTGTGGTCTCTGAAGTCTCTGTTTAGTTGTTTGTTCAGCTAGTGCTGTCAAAGAGATTTCCTTGAGCACCAGATGCCAAAACATGATAGAGAGAGCGAGGGGGTTGGAGAGAGAGGCAGAGAAAAACAGAGAGAGAAGAGACTGACCGCTTATCTGTATGGAGTGGCTCTGTGGTGGAGTCCTCCTTTAACACTTAGCCTGGCTTTTTACAGCTATGCCTTGACCTTCATTTCTTGTTTATACTGAACCTGGAGCTCATCCAGAGGTGAAAGACTGGGGTCTTCTCAGGCTTCTTCTGAGCATGCGTTCTGCTCTGGGCATTCACATGGCTGTCTACATTCCCACCCATATGCATAGGTGCTTTGGAATGCTTGAATTTCTTTTTCCCTTTTATTTTTAGTTGTCAAATAATAACTGTACATATTTATGGGATACAGAGTGATATTTCAATATGTGTATACAATGTGTAATGATCGAATCAGGATAATTAGCATATCCATCACCTCATTTCTTTGTGTTGTGAACATTGAAAATCCTCTATTCTAGCTTTTTGAGAATATATAATAAATTGTAGTTAACCATATTCACCCTATAGTGCTATAGAACACCAGAATTCATGCTTCCTATCTAGCTGCAACTTTGTATCCATTAACCAACCTCTCATCATCCTCCCCTCACTGGTACCCTTCCCAGACTCTGCACCCACAATTCTAATTTTCTATATCCATGAGCTCATTTTTTTTCAGCCATCACATATGGTTGAGATCATGTGGTATTTGTCTTCCAGTGCCTGACTTACTTTGCTTAACATAATATCCTTCAGGCTGATCTGTGTTGCCGTAAATGACAGGATTTCATTCTTTTTGTTTGTTTGTTTGTTTTGAGGCAGAGTCTCGCTCTGCCGCCCAGGCTGGAGCGCAGATGTACAATCTTGGCTCACTGCAACCTCTGCCTCCCAGGTCCAAGCGATTCTCTTGCCTCTGCCTCCTGAGTAGCTGGATTACAGGCGCACGCCACCACGCCAGGCTAATTTTTATGTCTTTAGTGGAGATGGGGTTTCACCATGTTGGCCAGGCTGGTCTTCAACTCCTGACCTCAAGTGATCTGCCCACCTCGGCCTCCCAAAGTGCTGGGATTACAGGCGTGCGCCACTGTGCCCGGACAGGATTTCATTCTTTTTTTTCTTTTTTTATGGCCAGATAGTATTCCATTTTCATTCTATCTTATGGCCAAATAGTATATCATACGTACACCGCATGGTATTTATCATTCTCTGGCTTGCTTATTTCACTTGGTGTGATGTCTTTCAGGCTTATCCATGTTATTAAAAAAGGCAGGATTTCCTTCTTTTTAAAGTGTGAATAGTACTCTATTGTGTGTTTGTGTGTGTGTGTGTCTCCCATTTTCTTTAACAATGTATCAATTTATCATTTTATCAATTTCTTTATCCATTGATGGACACTGAGGTTGATTTCCTATCTTAGATATTGTGAATAGTGCTGTAATGAACATGGGAGTATGGATATCTCTTCAACATACTGATTTCCTTTCCTTTGGATAAACAGCCAGCAGTGGGATTGCTGGATCATATGGTAGTTCTGTTTTTACTTTTTTGAGAAATCTCCATACGATTTTCCTTAGCAGCTATACTAATTTACATTCTCACCAACAGTGTATAAGAGTTCCCTTTCCATCCTCACCAGCATTTATTACGTTCTGTCTTTTTGATAATAGCCATTGCAACTGGGTTGGGATGGTATATATCATTGTGGTTTTGATTTGCATTTCCCTGATGATTGGTGATGGATGTCGAGCATTCTTTCATATATCTCCTGGCCATTTGTATGTCTTCTTTTGAAAAATGTCTATTCAGATCCTTTGCCCACTTTTTAATGGGATTATTTGTTCTTTGCTGTTGAGATGTTTGAGTTCCTTGTGTTGAATGCCTGAATTTCTTAAACCCTGTCCCCAGCCTTTCCTTTCATGGTTTTGGCACTCTACCGTGTGCCTCAATGGTAATCTTCTGTCCCAGGGACTGCAGGTTGCTCATTTGCCTTCTAGTGTTTTCCAGGAGTGCCTGCCACTTTTCTGCCCTGAGTGCATTCTGAGTTACACAGAACAGAGAGGAGCCCCTTGAATCAGTCCTTCAGCAGCCTCCAGACAGGTTAGAGCAAACACAATTCTTTGTGAATCAAGTCTGCTCTGCACCCTCGGGAACCAGGGGCCAGGTCCTGCACTGGGAATGCTGCTGCTGTCTTCAAGACAGGGGCCAGGTCCTGCACTGTGGAGCTGGAGAGGAGGGTGGATTTGGGTAGATGAAAACACCACAGGGCCTTCCTCCTGCTTTTATTTTACCTTTCTCTCCATTCCATTTTTGCTTGGTTGCTGCGAACCATTTACTGTTTCCATTATTCTGACAAAGTTGATTCTGACAGTTTTTGCTTGAATTTTCAATGGTTTTGTGGAGGATGGACCCTTGGAGCTGCCTACTCTGCCTTTTTGCTGATGTCCCAGGCCAGAAGCCAGAAATGCTTTAATGTTGCCAACAAAGTATGCTTTTGGCTTGCAGGGTGAGTCTTGGGGTTAAAGCTTTCATGCTTCAAACAGGCTAGGTGCCCAATAAAACCCTGCAAGCAATAGACAAATAAAAATTCTAATTCATAACCAGTTAACGTTTTCCTGCTGTAGCCCTTAGTTCATATTCTGTATTTATATATGATAATACGTGCTTTTAAAAGGCTTTTTTCCATATCATAGTCAATAGATACTTTGTGACTTAAGTTCTTATTTCATTCAGTAAAGAATTTATTCCACAAGTGAGTTCTATGGGTTAAGGTGTGGCAGGCCCTTAGGAAGCAAGGTGTTTATAAATGAATAGAATAGCATCTTAGCTGAGTGTTTCTGTTATCATGATTACTTTAAAAAATCTGTTTTTTGCATATTATAATCCCTTTTTTCTCAGTAAAAGACAAGCAAATATGAAGTATGTGTGTGAGAGTCTGTGCGTGTGTGTGTGTACACATGCATGTACCTATGGCATGTGAATGATTATTTTCTGTTGGTAGTGTTTGTGTTTGTTACAATGCATGTATACACTGTTGACAGTTTGGGATCTGACACTTAAAAGGAAGAGAAGTTTAATCTTCATGCAGTACTGCTTCTGGGCCATGGTCCTGGCCCTCCAGAACTAGCTGTGTTGTGGGTGGTGTGACAGATTTATTCCTTCCGCTAGGGCAGTGGAGTGCCCTCTGAACAATTGAAGATCTTGAAAGGGACCCCTAAATCCACTTGTAGTCCATGCTGAGGCTCATGGATGGGCATTATGAATGGAAGGGCCATAGGGTAGCTTTCTGTTTTAATTGAACATTCTTGTTATTAGATGTGAAGTTCAGTTGTTCTAGCTCTTGAAGGAGCTATTTGCTTTCAACCTATATTGTAAAAAATTAAAATATTTTTAAAAATCTTTAAAATTTTTGGTTCCTTCTGAGCTTTGACATCCTGGGAAAACCCTGGCTGCCCTCCTGGGTTGCACATGTCTACCTGTGCATGCAGCGTGTATCCTGCAGGAGCTCCAGGACTGCAGAGGAGGCTGTCAGCAGTGAGGTGTCATCATAGTGTGAAAGTTTTTGTATGAGGACTTGCAGATTTTATAACAGCTGAAACGTAGACTATAGCCAGATAGGCAGTTTCCAACAAACTAATAAAATCAATCATTTTGTAGTTATTTAAAAAATGTAATAATCAGAAATCTCAGCAAGTGATTTTGAGGATTTGAATAAACTGATTCTGAAATTTATGTGGAAAAGCAAAAGATTCAGAATAGTTGACACAATAGCGAAGGAGATCAACCAAATTAGAGGACTAACAATACTCGACTTCAACACTTACTTAATCAGGATAGTGTAGTCTTGATTAAATAATAGACAATTTATTTCTAACTAGTTAGACCACACAATATAGTTAGCTAATATCTGAAACATGGAACAAAAACAATTCAAGGGCAAAAGGATAGTGTGTTCAACAGATGGGGCTGGAACAGCTAGAGGCCAACACGCAAACTCTTCCCAAAAATGCACTTTAAAATAGATCATAGACCTAAGTGTAAAACATAAAATTATACAGCTCTTCATAAATTACACAGAAGGAAATCTTAATGACCCTAGGTTTGGTGATGGATTTTTTAGATACAACACCAGAGGGACAATACATGAAAGAAAAAATTGGTAAGCTGGACTTCCTTAAAATTAGAAACTTCTGTCTTGCTAAAGACAGTGTCAAGAGAATGAAAAGACAAACCTAGGAGAAAATATTTGCAGAAGTTATATGTGATCAAGGACTTTTATTCAAAATATACAAATAACTCTTAAACCTTGATAATAAGAAAACAAATAACCTGATTAAAAAATGGGCAAACAACCTGAACAGACATCTCACTGAAGATATACAGTTGTCAAATAAGCATATGAAGATGTTCAACATCATATATCATTAGGAAAATGCAAATTAAAACAACAGTGAGATACCACTGCACACCTGTTAGAATGGCTAAAAGCCAAAACACTGATAGCATCAAATGCTGATGTGGAGGTGGAGCAACAGGGAGTCTCATTCATTGTTGGTGGGAACACTAAACACTACAGCCACTTTGGAAGGCAGTTGAGCAGCTTCTTACAAAATGAAACATACTCTTACCCTATGAGCCTACAGTCATACTCCTTGGTATTTACCTAAATGAATTAAAAACTTATGGCCCTACAAAAGCCTGCACTTGGATATTTATAGCATCATTATTCATAATTGCCAAAACTTGGAAGCAGTGGAAATGTCCTTCTGTAGGTAAATTGATAAATAAACTGTGAGATATCCAAACAGTGGAATACTTCTAAGCACTAAAAAGAAATGAGCTATCAAGCTATGAAAAGATCTGGAACTTTAAATTAATATTACTAAGGGAAAGAAGCCAGTCTGAAGAGGCTACACACTGCTGTGATTCCCAAGATATGACATTCCAGATAAAGCAAGACTGTGGAGACAGTAAAAAGAACAGTGGTTGCCAGAGGTTTGGGGGAGGGAGAGATGAATAGGTGGGGCACAGAGAGCAGTGAAACTGTCTCTTAAGATACTACAATGGTGGATACACGTTGTTATACATTTGTCCAAACCCACAGAATGTACAACACCAAGAGTGAACCCTAATGTATACCATGGACTTGGGTGATAATGATGTGTCAGTGTGTAGGTTCATTGATTGTAAGAAATGTACTGGCCAGGTATGGTGGCTCACGCCTGTAATCTCAGCACTTTGGGAGGCTGAAGCAGGCAGATCACCTGAGGTCAGGAGTTCGAGACCAGCCTGGCCAACATGGTGAAATCCCATCTCTACTAAAAATACAAAAAAAAAAAAAAAAATTAGCTGCCTGTGGTTGCAGGCACCTGTAATCCCAGCTACTTGGGAGGCTGAGGCAGGAGAATTGCTTGAACCTGGAATGTGTAGATTGCAGTGAGCTGAGACTGTTCCACTGTACTCCAGCCTGGGCAACAAGAGCAAAACTCCATCTCAGAAAAAAAGAAAGAAAGAAAAGAAAAAGAAATACACCACTCTGATGGGGAAAGCTGTGCTTCTGGGGAGAGGGGGAGTATATGGCAACTTTCTGCCCTTTTTTGCTCCATTTTGCTGTGAACCAAAATCTGCCCTAAATAATAACATGTATGAATTAAATAAACCTTAAAAACGTCATGTTTGGCAGTATGTGGGGGTAGAAGGCAGGATCCGCTTATTCGTGAAGTCAGAGAACCATTGCAGTCCTAACAAGGCAAATGGTGTCTAGGACTAAGTGACTTGATTTATAGAGGAAGATCAAGGCACTGCTCTTTTCCTTATGGCCTTATCCTTGCCTTCAACCCCCAGAGTGCACTTAGCCAGGCTATGTTAAGCATATAATTTAATATTTTTAATCTTTATGCCTTATAAATGTTTCCTTCAGAATTTTTATTAGATTATAAGTAGGTGTAGTGGAGTTGCAGAGTACAGTATTCACACTAATCTCAGATGTGGAGGGTACGTCTGTCTTCCTTATTAATACTATTTTTTTGTATAATCAGTCTGTCTTCTGCATGAATCTTACATCTACTTGAGAGCGGGAGGGTTGTTTTAATTCTGTTTCATTCACAGAGGTCCCTGAGGGCCTTACTACTCTGAGTGTGGCCCATCCATTAGGAGTCTCTGCATCTCCTGGGAGTCTGTTAGAAATG
Organism: Homo sapiens; assembly: GCF_000001405.40. Classification (NCBI taxonomy): domain Eukaryota; kingdom Metazoa; phylum Chordata; class Mammalia; order Primates; family Hominidae; genus Homo; species Homo sapiens. Next base: position 1,756,817 of record NT_187660.1, on the reverse strand, counting down.
CAGGGTCTCAGGCCCCACCCCCAGATATTTTGTAGCAGGATCTGCATTTTAACGGCATTCCCATGGGATTCCTATGCACACTTCTAATTGAGAAGTGCCCGTATAGGTAGTGCTGAGCCTCTCAGATTTCTCAGCCTCTGCCTGCCCTGCAGGCTCGTCTTCAGAATGGCATCTGGAAGCAGGGATGGTGTAGCTGTCTGATGTCACTGGGGGTGAGGAGCAGAGACTCTGGGCACAGCATCCTTTGGTGCCATGGACCCCCAAGGCAGCACTCCTTCTCCACCTGCTTACTGCTGTCATCTGTTCTCCCATGCTGGGGTATGGTCTAGGGACTTTCCCTCGCTGACTCAGTTCCCCTGGGTTCCTCTGCAGGATTTCTGAGTGTTTGACACATTCCCCCATCTGGCCCTTGGGGGCCACCTCACCTCCTTCCCATGGTGGTCCCCTTGTCTCGCCTCCACATTGCCCAGCTGTTACCTCCCAGACTCTCACCCCCCAACTGCAGCCGTGAGGTTTTCTGGGTCCCACTCACACCTTCGGAAAGTCAGAGTTGCCCGGGAAATGGGATGTTCAATGCCTCTAAACCAGTGTCCACCAGGTTTGCTCTGGCACAGGTTTGCTCTGACAGCAGTCCAGGTTGGCAGGCTCTGCCCCCGCTCCCCCTCCTAGACGTTCCTCCTCTCTGCTGGGACATGGGAGAGTGGGCCCCATGCTGCCTCCCCATGCCCTGCCTAACTCTCTGCATGTTCCCTTCCTTCCACCACATCCGGCTCTTTTTCTTTGCATCACGTCCTTCTGTGACCGTGCTCCAGTGAGCCTGTGGCCTCCCTGCCCTACCAGGGTGCTGTCCACGCAGGGAACAAAGAACGCTGCCCACTGGGGGGCCCTCTGTGCCAGAGGGAAGCTATCTCCTTAGGACTGGACACCCACTTATTTCTCAGTGTGCATTTGTGGGTTTTTTTTTTTTTTTTTTTTTTTTTTTTGCTATAGTGAATGGTCTTGTGTACACATTTTTGGACACTTGTCTGGTTATTTTCGTAGGATGAGCCCTTAAAACTGAAATTGTAGCTTCAAAAGAAATGCAGTGTTTTGAGGCTTAGATATATTCAGACATGTTATTAAAAGCATACTAGTAACTTGAATCAGTAAGAAGAATTCAACAACAATATGAAACTTTAAAGTTGCTAGAAGGGAAAAAAAGCAGAGATAATTAGAATAATGAGGTGTATTATCTGGGACTATTTTAATAACAGATCACATCAGTGCAGCCCAAATTTGCGTAGTGAACAAGCAAATTTTTTAGCACATGAGACTGAAAAATCCAAGAGTAGGGGATATATCTGTTGATGCAGAGGTTCCAGCCATGTCCACAGAACCACATTGCTTTTCCTTTCTTCCTGGGCTCTGTTCTCCTCTCTCTGTGGCTCCATTCCTAGACAGCCTCTACCTCATGGCCTCAAGCAGCTGCTACAATTCCAGACCTCACATCCTTTCTCTCACCTTCAGCCCAATGGGAAAAGTGTCTGTTTCTTCTGCAAGATTCCTGGCAGATCTCTCATTGACTTGACCTCTGTGGCTAGAGGGATAGAACAGCTTATTCTAGGTCCCAGCATGTGTGTGTGTGTGTGTGTGTGTGTATGTATGTGTGTGTGTGTATGTGTGTGTGAGACAGACAGAGAGAGAGGGAGGGAGAGAGAAAGAGAGGGAGGGAGAGAGAGAATTGCAGCCAAAGCTATTCACAGTAGCCCTTAGGGGTGGAGTAGTGGGGAGCAGGTACTCCTTCCCATAGTTGTGCTGTCCAGCTGGTTCCGGAGCACTGATGTGTGGCTGGTGCTGATTGCGATGTGCTGCTGTATGTGGAAAACACCCACTGTATTAGGCCCTTCTTGTGTCGCTATAAAGAAATACCTGACCCTGGGTAATTTATAAGAAAAGAAGTTTAATTCACTCTTGGTTCTGCAGGCTGTGCAGGAAGCATAGCGGCATCTGCTTCTGGGGAGGCCTCAGGGAGTTTTATTCACAGAGGAAGGCAAAGCAGGAGCAACCGCATACCATGGGGAGAGCAGGAGCGGGGGTCGGAGAGGTGCCACACACTTTTTTTTTTTTTTTTTTTTGAGACAGAGCCTCGCTCTGTCACCCAGGCTGGAGTGCAGTGGTGTGATCTTGGCTCACTGCAAGCTCCACCTCCCGGGTTCACGCCATTCTCCTGCCTCAGCCTCCCAAGTAGCTGGGACTACAGGCGCCCGCCACCACGCCCGGCTAATTTTTTTTTTTTTTTTTTGTATTTTTTAGTAGAGACGGGGTTTCACCATGTTAGCCAGGATGGTCTCGATCTCCTGACCTCGTGATCCACCTGCCTCGGCCTCCCAAAGTGCTGGGATTACAGGTGTGAGCCACCACGCCTGGCCTGCCACACACTTTTATTATTATTTTCAATTTTTTTTGAGACAGAGTCTCAAAAGATCTCAGCTCACTGCAACCTCCGCCTCCCCGGTTCAAGAGATTCTCCTGCCTCAGCCTCCTGAGTAGCTGGGATTATAGGCGCCCACCACCACGCCCAGCTAATTTTTGTATTTTTAGTAGAGACAGGGTTTTGCCATGTTTGCCAGGCTGGTCTTGAACTCCTGACCTCAAGTGATCCTCCTGCCTCGGCCTCCCAAAGTGCTGGGATTACAGGTGTGAGCCACTGCACCTGCCCCATACACTTTTAAATGACCAGATCGTGCAAGAACTCAATATGACAAAGACGGCATCAAGCCATGAGGGATCTGCCCCCATGATCCAAACTCCTCCCACCAGGCCCCACCTCCAGCATCAGGGATTATATCTCAACATGAAATCTGGGCGGGGACAAATATCCAAACTACATCACACACGCACTTTAAAGACTTGAGGTGCATGAAAGAATGTACAACATCTGAATATTTTTTATGTTGTTTACACATTGAAAGGATAATATTTTTAATGTATTGGGTTGAAGAAAATATATTGTTAGGCTGGACGCGGTGGCTCACACCTATAATCCCAGCACTTTGGGAGGCCAAGGCAGGCGGATCACGAGGTCAGGAGATCGAGACCATTCTGGCTAACATGGTGAAACTCTGTTTCTACTAAAAAATACAATAAAAATTAGCCGGGCGTGGTGACGGGCGCCTGTAGTCCCAGCTACTCGGGAGGCTGAGGCAGGAGAATGGCGTGAACCCGGGAGGCGGAGCTTGCAGTGAGCTGAGATCACGCCACTGCACTCCAGCCTGGGTGACAGAGCAAGACTCCGTCTCAGAAAAAAAAAAAAAAAAAAAAATATATATATATATATATATATATATAGTTAAATTTAATTTCTTTCTATTCTTTTTAATGTGGCTATGAGGAAATTGTAAAGTACACCCAAGGCTTGTGTTGTGCTTCTGCTGGACAGTGATTCACAGAGGGAAGCAGAACGTGATTTGCAGGACAGTGATTGACCAGTGAGGGCCATCCAGTCCATTCTTACCCACGTGCACCTCGGGAACGCTCATGCCCACGTGAAGTACACCCACCCCCTCCCCAAGTGGGTACAGCCTTGAGTCTCCCCTGTGTATGGGGTGGGCATGGTCTGTATAGAGATCTCCCTGGACCATTTTCCCCGGCCATGTCTGAGATGGACAGGGTCCCCTCTCCAGGCCTGCAGCTTTTTCTCAGCCATGTCTTGCAGGCACAGGTCTGGAGATTGGTAGCAGAGTACCAGAGACCACTGATGGCCAGGTTTGGTGTTTCTCTGGTCCTAAGATTCCTTGAAAAATTTAATGGGCTTTCAGCGTGTATCCACAGTTCTCCAAGCTCTAAGGGCTAATAACCAAAGCCAGAATCTTCATTTCTTTGTCTCCTAGCAACAGTTTCTCTCCTCAGCCCTTATTTTTTTTTGCACTTTTTGTTGAAGTCTAACATACATGCAGAGAACTGCACAAACAGTTGAGTGTATAGCTCAGTATGTTTTTTACAAACTGAATGTCTCTGTGTAGCCGGCACCCAAAGGCAGAACATCAGTTGCACCTCAAGGTCCCCCTTGTGCTCCCTTCTACTTACTGCCCCCAAAGGTGAACCTTTCTTCTGATTTTTAGCATCCTGTATTAATTTTTCTTGCTTTTGAACTTTATATAAATGGATTCATACAACATGTATTATTTAGTGTCTGATCTCTTACACTTTCAACAGTGTGTTTGTGAAGAGCCATCTGTATTGTTGAGTGGTTCATTCATGTTTATTGCTGTAGAGTGCTCTCTTGTATGAGTGCACTTACCTACCAGTGTGCTGTTGATGGCACTAGGGTAGTTTCCAGTTTCGGGTCTTAGAGTCAGTGCTGCCGACACATTCTCGTACGTGGCCTTGGTGAGCATACGCGCCTGTTTGGATGGGTGTATGCCTAGGAGAGTGGAATTGCTGGGGCACGGAGTGTGCCTGTGTTCAACTGTTGTCGTGGCTGGCAATCGGTTTTCCAGGGTGGTGGCATCGCTGTCTGCTCCCGCCAGCAGCATGTGAGAGGTTTGGCCGCTCCTTGCTGGCACTTGGTGTTTCTCCGCCCTCACTTTGGTACCTCTGTGGCTTCTACTCTAGGGAAGTGTGAGAGACTCACTCGTCCCCTGCTTCCAGGTGTCATTTCTGCCTCATCTTTGCAGTCGAGGGAAATGTCTGTCCTCAGGTCCAGAAGTGTCCAGGAAGGACAAGGGTGGTCAGGGGCAGAGGTGGGGTATTGGGGACGCATGTCCAGGTCTGGCCCTGCCTGGTGGTGGTAAAACCTTGGTGGCTGGACCACGAAGAGGGATGTGTCCTTTCTCTTTGTGGGCCCCATGCTGACCTCCTTGGTGTCTGCAGCAGCAGCCACTGAGTAGCTGTTTGGTGAACGGGCATTCTAACGTCATTTTCTCCTCCCACTTTAGCTCAGAAGCCTAAAAATAATGAAGGGTCAGCTAATGGCTTCCCAGTGAGTCCAATAGAACTACACATAGACGTTTTCCCTTTTATGGGGTGGCAGTGGCAGGTGGTCAACTTTATGGTGGCTTCTGAAACAATAAACATATAATAAAATACACAAAATGCTTTTCCACGCTATTGAACACGTTATGTAAATAGCCAGTTTCCTGTTAAAACATTGTTATTTGGGGGGATAGAAAAGAATTGCAGATTTTAGTTATAAAAATTTAGAGCTAAAGTTTCCTTTTGAAGAGTATAATTTGCTGTCTAAAATGTATATGTGTGTATTATTGCTTTGCATTTCAGGTTGTTGGACTCTTGACATTTTGTAAGTTGGCCTTTGTTTTCACTTCAGGTCTGTCACATTTTCCCCAAATGCAATCATCTTGTCTGTGAATATTTCTTAGTGGCTCTTGTCTCATGAGCAGATCTTACTATGAACAAGATACAGATGCCAACCACTTGGGCAGGGAAGTAGGAGACCTGTCACCATGGGTCAGCTCGCCCTTCCGTAGATCCTGCTTCTCTGGAGGTCTCTCCTCTCGGGAAGGCCTGCCTGGAGAGGGTGTGCCATGGACCAGGGAGAGTGGACATTAGGGCTGGCATCAGAGGTGCTAACTAGCTTCTCAGGACCCATACCCCTCTCTGGGACAGCCTCATGTCCCCTCTGCGGGATGGTACGGCCCTTCAAGGGACCCTTCCTCCTCCTCCTCATTTCTTTCCATTTGGACATCCAGGGATGTGTCTGCCCTTGGTGTCCCCTTCCTTTTGCCCAGCACTGCCCCCTCGCCCCCTACTCCTCCTCCCTCAGCCCCTCTTGCCCACTGGGTTGTGTTTTTTCCTCTGCCCTGGTGGGAGTCAGCTTCGGGCCACCGCCAAGTTGAATGCATTCCAAGGTGCGGTGAGTGAACGGTCCTTCCAGATCCTGCTCTGAGGTTGGGACCCTGTGAGGTTGCTAAGGGAGCCGGATGGAGCACAGAGCATTTTTTAATGGGGCTGTGGTCACAGGACTCAGCCCTGTGCAGGGACCGCTGTGGCAGGGTGGGCCTTCCTGCTCAGGCCAGCAGTAGTGATGACACCAAGAGCGTGCGCAGATGCAGCCTGCTGTGAGCCTGTACTCTCTCAGCGTTCTGTCTCCAGCTCACCCCTTGGAAGCAGCAGTGATTATTGGCATCTGTGCAGTGAGGACCGGGGGCCCAGAAAGGCTGTCCGGGGTCCCACAGACCATTCTTGTCACCCCCTCCCACACACTCTCGCTCAGTGCCGCATGTCTTTGCTTGCTTTGGTGTGAACATGTGCTTTTTATGGTGGAGGGCCAGAATCTATTCTGGATCATACAATGTAGGGCACACAGGTTTCTGCAGGATAAAAATGTTCATACATTTGCCTTATATAAGGAGGTGCTTCCACATTGGGAAAATGGGGTTTCTTTCTATGAATAAAACTAGGAAAAATCAATATGTAATGAGCAAGATACGACATCTACACAAAAGATCCCCCGAAGAAATGACCTTGGCCGGGTGCGGTGGCTCACGCCTGTAATCCCAGCACTTCGGGAGGCTGAGGCGCGAGTAAATCACTTGAGGTCAGGAGTTCGAGACCAGCCTGGCCAACATGGTGAAACCCTGTCTGTTCTAACGATACAAAAATTAGCTGGGAGTGGTGGTACATGTCTATAATCCCAGCTACTTGGGAGGCTGAGGCACGAGAATCACTTGAACCCGGGAGGCGGAGGTTGCCATGAGCCAAGATTGTACCACTGCACTCCAGCCTGGGTGACGGAGTGAGACCCTGTCTCCAAAGGAAAAAAAAACAACAACAGAAATGACCTTGAACTGTGTGGCCAAGGAGGTACCTAAGTCCCCACGCAGTGACCAGGACATATAGATTGTCAGGGAGAGATGGAAGGACTGGACTTGACCATGAACCTGAACCGTAGTCATTTGTGTTTTAATGTGTTTGAGAAGCATGACTGTGTTTTCTGAAGGGCTGATCTGTGTGAACTGTCATCTCAGGGCCCCTACCCAGGAGGGGTGCCCTGACGCCGGGCGCAGCCTTTCTGAGACTTGGGGTAGGGTGGGGATGGCCCCCGCCCCAGCCTGGATGGCTTATCTTTGCTGGTTTCCCTGAACCGTAGGTAGCCTCTCTTCTCGCCCACCAACTCTAAACTTGGTGATTTAGGCTTTCTCCCTCCATTTCAGTGAGGTAGCAGGATGGGCACTGGTCTTTATACAATGAGGGCCTCTGCTCTCACTCCTAGTAACCGTCGCAAGCCCGTCTGTAACTAGGTCATAGGGTAGGGCAGCACGCACTGTGCTTCAGGGTTTGCTATTGAAGGCTGTAGATGGGGGTTTGAAGGTTGTCTGCAGAATCCATGGCTAGGTTCAGTGCTGTCTTCCAGGAGGCCCAGCTTGATGTGGGAGTCCGGACTGCCGTGGCCCACGGGGTGACCTTGGGTATGTTGTTGAACTGGAGCCTCCGGGGGCCTCCTAGCTTTGAGATGTCCTCGTTGTCATGAATGAGTGCTAGAGCAGCAGCATTCAGCCCGGGAGATGGGGCCGTGGCTGCGGCCGGGGCCCTGAGGTCAATTTGCCAGCAGCCTCAGGCGGTTTCTTGAACTGAGGACAGCCGGTGTCCAATGGTCCCTCGCTGCTGTGCCTGGTATTGACGTGACATAGAGTAGACGTCTTTCTGACAAGTTATTATTTCTTTCAAAAACATATTTTTCTGTTCACCCTGAGCACTGAAGTCTATCTTTTTGTTCAGAGGTCCTAAAACCAAGACCACAGGTGGCCTTCCGCTCCCAGGTATGTTTTCTTTAGCTCATGCGGTGTTTAAAAATGTTTATTTGATAACACTTAAAACTTGGGAGAGTTCACAGTACAGAATGGACTTTGAATTCTTTTGCAGAATTGGAAGATCCAGGCATGCTGGGTCTGGATTGCCGCAGGGAATCCTCTACATGGGGGGAACTGCAGCTGCCACCATCCCTCGGTGGCCTCCTTATTTTGTTGGAAGTGTTATGGTTTTCCAGGAAAAGAGACACCAACATTCAGCTATAGAAGAGGGCACATTCCAGCTGCCCAGGGACAGGTTACCCGGGTTAGTCAGAGCTGTAGCCAGAGAGGGGAAAGGAGGGGGTGGGAGCAGCCTGGGTATGGTGTGGCTGCAAGAAAGTCACACTTGTCATAGGGTGAAGCTGGGCCACCTGCTCCTCCTTCTTTCCCAAGTGAGATTGCTGGAAAAACACCGTCCTGTCCAACAGGTAAACCAGCTGTACAGTGAGTGCTGGTGAGCTGCCCCTCCCCTGCTTCCCCCACCCTCAAGAACCTACCCTGCCTCCTTTCCCCCTTCCTAACTGGCCTCTTGGGACTACTTTGAAGACTTCTCTGGTGACTGAGTGTACTGACCAGCCAGTGGCTGTTTTGTCATCCTTCAGCAGATAGTTACAATCTATTTTTTATTCTCTTTCTAGTAGTCAAATGTAAGTACTTGTATGCTTAAACCTAAAATCTTTAAAAAATGGATAAAAGGGAGATTCTTGTATTTATATCACATGTATTATTACACTAATTTATAAAATAACTTATAATATAATTGATTATAGGCCGGGTGCAGTGGCTCACACCTGTAATCTCAGCACTTTGGGAGGCCAAGGCAGATGGATCACATGAGGTCAGGAGTTAGAGACCAGCCTGGCCAACATGGTGAAACCTCATCTCTACTAAACATACAAAAATTAGCTGGGCGTGGTGGGGGGAGCCTGTAATCCCAGCTACTTGGGAGGCTGAGGCAGGAGAATTGCTTGAACCCAGGAGGCGGAGGTTGCAGTGAGCCGAGATTGCGCCATTGCACTCCAGCCTGGGCAACAGAGCGAGACTCCGTCTCAAATTTATATGTGTGTGTGTGTGTGTGTGTGTGTGTGTGTGTGTGTGTGTGTTGTGTGTTGTGTGTGTGTATAAAATATTTAATATTAACACACTGAAGCCAGAGCTGCCTTGTCTGAACAGTTCATCATGATGCCATTTTTAAGGTGGGTTTTGATTATCGAGACCTGCCCTTCCAGAGCTGTTTTCCTCCTGGTGCCACCTCTTCCTGAATTGTCCCTGCTGATGCTGGGTGAATTGCATGACAGGCCTGGCTTCAGCATTTAAGCGTCCCCAGAGTTGGAGACAAGGTAACAAAGGCAACACCATCAGGAGAGCTTTGTTCTGTAACATGAGCACATTGAGGCCTCATGATGATTCCTGCTTTGCATTTCTTGGGGGAAGATTGTTTTGGGGTGCTCCTCTCCCCAGCTTGTGGGGGCCCACTGCCCTGTTGCTTGGCCCAGCCCTTCTGGGCCCCCACCGCGTGCTGCTGTGTTCCACCCTCTGCTCCACCCCAGCCCTCAGGGCCACTCCTCCTTGGGTGACCACTGTCAGCATTGATCTTGAATCAGAGAGTTGTGCATGTGGACTGCAGGTTCTGATTCTCCCGGGGCTGCTGGATCAGGGCCCCCAAATCTCCACGTGTGCATGTGGGCTGCCTGCAGCTTGTTCAGAATCTTCTTTTTCAGAAGAAGGCATGAGGTAGAAAAAAGATTGAGAAACAATGTGTTGTAGATCAGTGTGACTAATTGTTTTCAAAGAAACACCCAGGGCCTTTGCACCAGAGGTGTGCTGTCCTACTGGCGGGTGCGGGGCTTACGTATTACCCCGGTGTATGCGTGCATTGCCTTTTGTGGCCCTTGGCCCCCGTGCTGCCGTGTGGGTTATGATGGGCATATGGGCTCTGGTGAGCATTTGCTTGGAGCTTTGCTACTCCCTTTATTCCTAGGGATCTGCCAGCCCTTCCTGCCACTTTGTAGCCGCTGTTCTGCCTCTCTGTTATCCCGGCGCCTCCCGGGGTCTCTCTGTTTTCTGTGCTTGTCTTTCTGTTCTCTCCTGTGCCTATTCTCAGCCACCTGTGCCCTCACTTTCTATTTGTAGCACATCCCAGTCCATGCTGGCTGCCCCTGCAGCTCGAGGGGCCGCTGTGTGGTCAGAAGTCCTTCTTGGAGCTTTTTCTATGTGCACATTCACTCTCTGCACAATGCATTAGCCAACAGTTGGGAAACGTTTTTACTCTTAGTGATGGAGCCTTTTCTACCAATGAAATCTTATGAGGAAGCTCAGTATGTGAAAATGGAGTTGATCTGGATGAAGGTGGGGCCCAGGCATTACAACCCTCTCCACTTAGCAACTCCCCACCCAGGACCATCAATGTCCCCTAGATCCTCTGGGGCTGTGTGGGGCACTATAAAAAACCAGTGCATTGGGCTGAGCTCTGCTTAATGAATTCAGGAGTCGGCAGGAAAATGTGGAGTGATTCCAATGCCCCACCTCTGTTTACTTAGCAGAGTCACTTCGAGCCATAGCCAGTATTTTGAGTTGGTCTAGTGAGATCACCTGTAATAGTGGTTGCTAATGTGAAACAAGGCATGACGTTTGTCAAATGACTGTGACTTGAGCAATTTTTAATTGTGACTTGGTATTAAGGAATGAACATTAATTACCAATTAAACAAAAAATTAATCTAGGAAGAGAATCAAGGAGGAACTGCTCACTGTCAGGGCTAGCATATCTTTGAGGGACTGTCTCATGTCAGACGTCTTGAAGGCAGAGCGTCCTTCAGGCTCATGAGCCCCGAGCTGGCCACTGTCAGGATGCTGTGGAAGAGTCACACGCATCACCTTGTCTGCCAGTGCTTGTCAGTTGATTGTGGCTTCCGGCAGCGTTTGTAGGACTGGGAAGGATTTCGAAGTGCGTCTGGGCTTCCCTGGAAAAGACCATATGGTTGATTAGTAGCGGCAGCCGCGGTGAAGGATGGGCCCTGGTTGTCCGAGTGACGAGTATTTGCCTGCCCTGGATTGCAACAGAGGTGAACTTGGCAGGAAGGAGGGAGGCGTGAGGTGAATGAAGTTTGCAAGGGAGCTGGCAGGAGGCTCCCCGAGACGAAGCAGGTAAATGTACTCTCACCTGCTGATTGATGAGTGTCCTGTAGCCCTTGGCAGGGCCCAGGACCTGTGGGCTTCACCTGTGACCTCAGTGGGCTGGCACTGCCTCAGGACCCTCCGGATGCTCAACCACACATAGAACAAACGTGGCAGTGGGGGGCACCGAGCAGCCCCTCTGCCAATCTTGAGTGGCTTTGCTGGATCCTGCCCGTGTTCACACACACGCCGTGACTGTCTGTGGTATGTGTGTGAAGGTTTTCAGTTAATTTGGGATCCATTCTTTGATCTTGTCTTAGGCTCCTTTTAGTGATTTAAAGAAATCTATTCTGCGGTTTTCAAGGCTGTGTTGAACATACATGATATTGAATCTGTGGCTTGCTTGTCAAAAAATCAGTGCTTTTAGCTCTTACTTTTGATGACCCAGGGGCACTGAATGTGGAAAAGGAGACAAAAGTACTTCTTTAGTGGTAAAGAAAATTCAACTATAGATAGAAATATGGAGGTGGCAGTTTACAACTTTAATCAGAGTCTTACGGGGGACCTGCTGGGTCCCTTCCAGGAGGCTGTCTCAAAGGTAGCCTTTGGAGCTGGAAGGGAGGCTTTTTAAAAAAAATTAATTTATTAAAAAATGTTTAATTGTGGTAAAATACACATATGTGAAACTGATCCTCTTAACCATGTTGAAGTGTACAACTCAGTGGCATTGAGTGCGTTCACACTGTTGCTCAGCCATCACCACCATCCATCTCTATAACGTTTTCACCTTCCCAAGCTGAAACTCTGTAGTCATTCAACACCAACTCCCTATTTCCCCTCCCCCGCCATGGCAACCACCACTCTACTTCTCTGTGAATCTGACTACTCCAGGTACTGCATAGAAGTGCAGTCATGCGGCTGGGAGTGGTGGCTCATGCCTGTAATCCTAGCACTTTGGGAGGCCAAGGCAGGTGGATCACTGGAGGTCAGTAGTTCGAGACCAGCCTGGCCAACATGGTGAAACCCTGTCTCTACTAAAAATACAAAAATTAGCTGGGCGTGGTGGCGTGCGCCTGTAATTCCAGCTACCCAGGAGGCTGAGGCAGGAGAATTGCTTGAACCCAAGAGGCGGAGCTTGCAGTGAGCCCAGATCACGCCACTGTACTCCAGCCTGGGCGACAGAGCGAAACTCTGTCTCAAACAAACAAACAAACAAAACAAAACAAAAAAGAAGCAGAATCTTGCAGGATTTGTCCTCTGTGACTGGCGTATTTCCCTCAGCACCATGTCCTCGAGGTTCATCCATTGGTGGATGTTGCATGTGTCAGCATTTCTGGAAGGGGGCTATCGGGATGGGGTGGAACCACCTCGGATGCTCTTCCAGCCTTATCCTAAGCCGGAGCCCTAGGGAAGAAAGGCCACTGCATTTGGCTGCATGGGGCTGCTCTGGTGGCCTTTGTGCAGGTTTTGTGTGTGTTACCTTAACGTTGGAAGAACTTTTTAAAAAATCATATTAATATATTTTTTTTGTAGCTCCACAGTTGCTTGAAGCCCTGAAAACTGGGGTTACATAAGAAAATTTTCAACAGTTTCAAAACAGATTTAATTATCATATAATTGTTAAAAATGTATGTGTTGGCTAATGATTAGAACTATATTTTAAAATCATATTCAGAAGTTTAACAAAAATGCATCCAAATTAATAATTGAAAAGCAACTTCAGACACTATTAAAGATTTAATTAGTTTAATCAACCCTGCAAATGTTCATTTGGATTATCTGTCTTGCTTTTTTTTTTTTTTTTTGAGATGGAGTTTTGCTCTCGTTGCGCAGGCTGGAGTACAATGGGGCAATCTCGGCTCACTGCAATCTCTGCCTCCTGGGTTCAAGCGATTCGCCTGCCTCAGCCTCCCAAGTAGCTGGGATTACAGGCATGCGCCACCACCCCGCCTAATTTTTGTATTTTTAGTGGAGACGAGGTTTCACTATGTTCGCCAGGCTGGTCTCGATCTCTGGACCTCAAGTGATCTGCCCACCCTGGCCTCCCAAAGTGCTAGGATTACAGGCATGAGCCACCATGCCCAGCCTGTCTTTTCTTAATCATTCACATTTAGGTACCATTGGTGGTCTAGTGATGCAAGTTAGATCCCACCCCCAGAACCAGCTTATAAAATGAATATTTGCTGTCTTGGAATTTCTTAATTATGTTCAGTATACATTTAGAAATATTTATGGCTTTACAGTCGATCACTGTTGGAAGGAGGGTGCTCCCAGTATTGGAAACACTGTCCTAGGTTCTTTGGGGGAATAAAAACAATGCATGATGATCTTGCTTTCAAGCAGCTTGTCTTCTGTCCGGCACGTACCATCCACTTGCAGGAGAAAGAGCTGTGAGCCTTGTGCTGTGGTGCAAGGTCTTTAGGCAGCGGTTTGTTTGGCATCTGGAGGCAGGAACAATCAGAAGAGGCTTCAGGGAGGGGCAGAGCTGGAGCTAGCCATGATTGCTGGGTGGCTTTCATCCAGTGGATAACAGAGAAGGGCAGTGGGTTGTGGGTACCCCAAGTTAGGCACAGGGGAGCAGAAACAGAGTGTGATTGAAGGCTGGTAAGTCATGCTGCAGAAAGGCCAGTCTGGAAGGGGAACAGAGCTGGACACTGCCTTCTGTGCCTGGCCATAGATGGTCTTAATTGGGCTACGGATGTTCAACTTCCTCAGAGTAACGTGTGTTCCTCTAAGGAGTGATGTGATGAAAGCAGGGGGATGTGGTAGTTTCACCGGGTGGTCTCTGTGCATTGAATCTCTTTGACACAGCCTTGGAAGGGCCTATAACTAGGACAGCCCAACCACAAAGCACTGCAGCCTTCAAAAGCATCCTCTTAACCTGCATCTCACACTGTGTTCCCATCGAACACTCAGGTGGCCGTTTCCTTGGCGTTTTAGCTGAGCCACCCTGGAAATGGAACAGTACTTTATTCTAGCCATTTAGTTTCTGAAGGGAACAGGCATGTTCTGCCTTTATTCATCCCTGTTTACTGATAGATGAACAGACCACAAGTCTGGCAGTTTGCATTTTGCATTTTGGCAGTGACTTGGATTTGAACTTTGGGTGGAACACTACCTAAGCACATCTTTAAAACATGGCTTCCTTTCTTGTCCATTGTTCACTCCAATAGCCTGAGAGGCATCTCGATTTCTCCTTTTCCTTTAGCCCTGCCCATCGCTTTGCCGCAGGACACACCCAGGCTGGATTCCCTCCCTCCACCCCTGCTGCTGTTCCTCTGGAGGAGCTCCAGTTTTACTTGGGGGCTGCAGCATCCTCCCCTGGGCCCTCCCCTGGGGCCATCAGCATCCTCCCCTGGGCCCTCCCCTGGGGCCATCAGCATCCACCCCTGGGCCCTCCCCTGGGGCCATCAGCATCCTCCCCGGGCCCTCCCCTGGGGGCTGCAGCATCCTCCCCTGGGCCCTCCCCTGGGGGCTGCAGCATCCTCCCCTGGGCCCTACCCTGGGGGCTGCAGCATCTTCCCCTGGGCCCTTCCCTGGGGGCTGCAGCATCCTCCCCTGGGCCCTCCCCTGGGGGCTGCAGCATCCTCCCCTGGGCCCTCCCCTGGGGGCTGCAGCGTCCTCTCCTGGGCCCTCTCCTGGGGGCTGCAGCGTCCTCTCCTGGGCCCTCCCCTGGGGGCTGCAGCATCCACCCCTGGGCCCTCCCCTGGGGCCATCAGCATCCTCCCCGGGCCCTCCCCTGGGGGCTGCAGCATCCTCCCCTGGGCCCTCCCCTGGGGGCTGCAGCATCCTCCCCTGGGCCCTACCCTGGGGGCTGCAGCATCCTCCCCTGGGCTCTCCCCTGGGGGCTGCAGCATCCTCCCCTGGGCTCTCCCTTGGGGGTGCAGCGTCCTCTCCTCGGCTCTTCCCAGGGGGCTGCAGCATCCTCCCCTGGACCCTCCCCTGGGGCCATCAGCATCCTCACCTGGGCCCTCCCCTGGGTGCAGCAGTGTCCTCCCCTGGGGGCTGCAGCGTCCTCTCCTGGGCTCTCTCCTGGGGGCTGCAGTGTCTACCTTGCTGGCTGGTCTCTTTTCTGTCTTTCCTGCTTCTCTGCTGACCATCTCCACCCAGCAGCCAGAGTGACCATGACAGAAACATAAAGCAGACATCATTGTTCTCTTGTGTAGTCTCTCTCACTGCTTTCTTGCTCTCCCCTCCTTTCTTCTTTAACCTGCCCTTTGAGGCACTGTTGCTCGGAGCTGCTCTCACTGGCCCTTCCTGCTGAACTCATGCCTCGCTCCATCATGCCATCATCTTGGTTTTCCTGATCCTCAAACCATATGCTTCCAGCTTCAGGGGCTGGTTGCCCTCTCTGCCGGTACAGAGAACAGCACCTGGTACATAACTGGCACTCAGTAAATATTTGTTGGATAAATGAATGAACCTGGCAGTTCATCAGTATTTGGCAGAGCCAGGCCTGGCCCAATCTAGCTTCAGCAATGCCAGATCTCAGGCCACAAACAAAGGAGCTACCTGCTTCCTCGAGACCTTATCAAATCTGAACATTGTTAGGTATACCCTGATGTCTCGAAAGAAGAAGTCGGTCAGGTATTAGGACTAATTAAATGTTAGTGTTAGGCAATTTTTATTATAAACTTGATAGACTCTTCCTTTTAAAGAATTATAAAAATTATTTATAACTGTCATCCCAAAGAACTAATGATTTATGTTAAATATCTTTATGTTGGGGTTTGATTGTTGATTGTATTTATAATGGACCATACAATTTGAGAATCAAAGACTCAGAGTCAGGAAGCCTTTAGAGTACATCCAGGATTGCCTGGCTGCGGTCAGGACTTAGCAAATGGAAGTTGTTATTTTCATCACTGTTACTCTTTTACTGTAGGGTATCAGAAGGTGTTTATGGTCCACTTAAGTCAATCCTCTGCAGAGTGCACAGTCCTTCAGTGGCATTTCTGATGTGTGGGCACTCCGTTTCCCTGAGCTGGGGATGGGGAGCTTGCAGTGTCACGTGGCTCAGTTGTCAGGCAGCTTTAACTAGAGCCAAATCTATTTTTGGACAATGATTCTGTTTGCCTGGCTCTTCCTGGAGAACCAAGAAATGTCCTTACTTCCCTTCCAACATTGAAGTTCTGCAAATGGAGAAAACCACTTCTGCACCCCATTCCCTGCATAGCTCTTTTTTCTGCTTGCACATTTGAAGGCTGGTCACCCAGTTTTCATCTGGTGGCTTCTGGGCATCTTGTCACTTTGGACATGGCACCAGTGCTGAGTGGGGGTTATATCGGGGGCAGACATTGGGTGGTTTCCACTATGGCCTGGGCAGCTCCCAACCGCATCGTCACTGCCTCAGGTGAAGGGGCTGCTCCTCCTCTAAAGCCCCATGCTTTTTTCCTTTCCACTGTGTCCTACAGCTCATGGCAGTTAATGAATTGTGGTACCAAATTGCGGAACATTTGTAAGACTGATAAATTCATCTGTTCGCTTTAAAAGTTAGCATTCCAGCCTGTTGAGATGATCTCATCTTGATTGGGAGGCTCGTCTCTGAGGGTACAGGCCCGATGGTGTCAGCCTGTTTTAAACAAGTTCCCCGTCCTGCATCCAGGCTGGGCCGGAGCTCTGTGGCTGGACCAACTGCTCCTGCTGTTTCCGAGGTTGTGCCATGAGCGGCCTCGCTGCCCCCTGCCCAGGGGGCCCCTCCACATCGCCTCCTCTTCATAGGGTCCACGAGCGACTGTGTTAACTTCTTGCTGAAATAAAGGCCCTCATCTGCTCAGCATTTCTCTAATATGCCAATCTCATAACCTTATTAAAAGAGAAATCAAGATGCATTTGGCCTGGCACTTGCTTCCTGAAGTACTCACGAGCCTTCTGCTCTGATAGTCCCCTCTCAGATCTGGCCTGTGATTGACATCAGGCTTATTGGTGTGTAGCTTCCATGATTTGATTTTCTCTTCATCTCCGCCACTCTCCATCATGTTTTAAAATTAATGCTTAAAAATCTGTCTAGTATATAACAGAGTCAAAGTGAAATTGTGTTGAGAAGCTGGTAATGAAAGTGGCTGTTCTTGCCCCATGCTGTGCAGGTGCCCCCAGTTGCAGGGACACCCACTTCCACGTTTCTCAGCTGTCCTTCTTTTCTTTATTCTTTTCTGTGCAAAAATAGCATTCCTTATCTTTTTTTTTTAGTATCATGGTGAAATATCTATAACATAACATTTACCGTCTTAGCCATTTTTAAGAGTACGGTTCAGTGGCAGTAAGTACATTCTCATTGCTGTGCAGCCACCACCGCAATCCATCTCCAGAAGACTCCCTCTTCCTCAACTAAAACTGTCCCCATTGAACATGATCTCCCTTCTCCCCGGCCCCTGGAACCCCTATTCTCCTTTCCATCTCAATGAATTTGATGACTCTGGGCAACTCATATGAGTGGCATCTTGCAGTATGTGTCGTTTCATGGCTGGCTTATTTCACTCAGCGTAACATCCTCAAGGTTTATCCGTGTTGGAGCATGTGTCAATATTTCCCTCCTTTTTGTAGCAAAATAATATTCCATGGTGTGTCTGTGCCACATTTTGTATATCTGTTCTGCCATTGATGGACACTTATGTTATTTCCACCATGCAGCTACTGTGAGTAATCCTGCTGTGAACATAGGTGCACAGATATCTGTTCGAGCTCCTGCTTTCAGTTATTTAGGGTATGTACCCAGAAGTGGAATTGCTGTGTCACATGGAAATCATTTCTTATTTTTTAAAATAATTCACCTTATCTTGTTCTCAGACTCATATTTTGTTGGGTAGCAGGAAAAAAAAATCAAAAACTTGCCACATTGATAGTTCCTTGGTATTTTGGTTACTTCCGTCTCTCTCTCATCTGTGCATTTTTAAAGTTTTGCTGCTGTATAATTTACAGACTGTCCTATTCACCTATTGTAAATCTACGGCTCAATGATTTTTTAATACATTGTATAATTGTGCAGCCACATGCCCAGTTTTAGAAAACTCCCATCCCCTAAGCAGCCCCTGGACCTGGTGAAGATCGGTTGCTGAACTCAGCCCTGGGCCGCTGAACCTTTCCTGATACTTTCTCCAGGGACTGGGTTTCAGTATCCTCTGAGGTGTGTGGTCACAGTGCTTCATGAGACAGGTGGAAGTGCCTGGGCCAAGCCTTCTTTCCAACCCCTGGTTTCCAGCCTGGTGGGTGTCTCTGCAGCCTGCCTCCTGGGGCCCCAGTGGCTCCAACCCACAGGCTCCTAAGTTCTGCAGGGGAATCAGCCTGAGCCTCGTCACTCCCCCTCCATGTACCTGCCATCTCAGTCGCCATTCCTATGTCCATGTTAAGGCTTTGAAAAGGCTGTTGGACTCTCCTGCCCCTGGAGGCACCTCCTCATCTTCTTGTCCGAGTGTGTCCAAGGTTTCAGGAGGCAGGAGAGAGGTAGGTGCACAAGATCGAGTTATCACTATTAACTGGAACTTCCTACCCTTCATTATTTTTAAAAACTATCAACAGGAGTAGAAACTACATATCTTAGGAGTCTGTTTCTGATTTTATTGTAGAGGGTTCTCACTGGTGGGATTTCTTTTTTCTGTGATAAGCTACAGCCACCTGCCCAGAGCCTGGTTGGGCTGACACTGTCCTCTGGACATAGGGGTCATGCCCAGAGAGAATATTGCTTTGCTGAAAAGGTTGTGATGGGACTCCTAGTGATTCTCAGAACTTGCAGAGTACACCAGACACTTGGCCACCACTTTTCATCTTGAGGAATTTAATTGTATTATTATTATTATTATTAGTTTTGAGATCGAATTTCGCTCTTGTTGCCTAAGCTGGACTGCAGTGGTGCGACCTTGGCTCACTGCAACCTCCACCTCCTGGGTTCAAGTGATTCTCTTGCCTCAGCCTCCCGAGTAGCTGGCATTACAGGTGTGGCCCACCACACCTGGCTAATTTTTTGTATTTTTAGTAGAAACGGGGTTTCACCATGTTAGCCAGGCTGGTCTCAAACTCCTGTCCCAAGGTGATCTGCCCGCCTCAGCCTTCCAAAGTGCTGGGATTACAGGTGTGAGCCACTGAACAAAGGAGAGTAGTGGTTCCTCAAAAAATTAAAACAGAATTACCATGTGATCCAGCAATCCCACTTCTGGGTATATACTCAAAGGATGGAAAGCAGAGGCTCAAAGAGATATTTGCACAGCCATGTTCATAGCAGCATGATTCACAATAGCTAAAACATGGAAGCAACCCAAGCGTCCATTGATGGAAGAATGGGTAAACAGAATGTGGTTTACACCTGTCATGAAACATTACTCAGCCTTAAAAAGGAAGGAGATTCTGACACATGCTGCACCATGGATGAACCTTGACATGGTGCTGAGTGAAATAAGTCAGTCACAAAAGGATGAATAACTGTATGACTTCACTTTATATGAGGGACATAGAGTAGTCAAACCCACAGAGACAGAAAATAGAATGGTGGTTGCCAGGGACGGGGCTAGGGAGGAATGGGGAGTTGTTCAGTGGGTGCAGAGTTTCAGTCTTGGAAGACGTTCTGAAGATGGGTGGTGGTGATGGTTGCAAACACAGTAAATGTACTCAATGCTGCTGAACCATACACTTAAAAACTGGTGAAAATGATGGCCGGGCACGGTGGCTCATGCCTGTAATCCCAGCACTATGGGAGGCCGAAGCGGGTGGATCACAAGGTCGAGAGTTCCAGACCAGCAGGGCCAAGATAGTGAAACCCCAGCTCTACCAAAAGTACAAAAATTAGCCTGGCACAGTGGCAGACACCTGTACTACTCGAGAGGCTGAGTAAGGAGAATCGCTTGAACCTGGAAGGCGGAGGTTACAGTGAGCCAAGATCGCACCACTGCTCTCTAGCCTGGGCGACAGAGCAAGACTCCGTCTCAAAAAATGATAAAAAAATAAAAAACTGGTGAAAATGGAAAATTTTATTTTCTGTGTATTTTATCATAATAAAAATCAACACCATCAAATGAAAAATTACCTTTCTTGAGCAAAATATTGGGATATTTTGGGCCATCAGAAATTTTTTTGAGAAGCAACTCATGTTTTCTGGTGTGTTGATACTGATATAAGCATTGTTTTAGAACAGTTTCAACAGTTGTATTTGGTTAACAAAGTCATGTGACAGTAGGTTTAAATAAACTTGGCATTTATAAAATGAAGGGAAATAACAGTCATGGAGGCTTTCTGTGACACTACATTTATCACAAACATCACACAGAGCAAGGCAATACATTTACAAAATGGGATAGTGTTGGGCATGTCCAACATCCATGAAAATAGATAAAATATTGATGTCTTGCAGTCATCCTCGTGTTGATGCCGTAGTTATTGTCTTGAGAAAATCCCATTTGTATAGAATAAATGTTCTATAGTGAGGCACTATAAGAAAGTTGTAACTTGACAAGCTTTTTGTTACATGAAGACTAAAAACAGGTCAGAAGATAACTGTAAAGCTGAATCACTTTTCTTCCTGCTAGAGTTCGTAGAAAATTGACTTCTAGGTTTTATTCACACCACCAATGGCTTACTAATTGGAAAAGACGTGATAGTGGCTTGGATGTTATTCTCTGTTGTGGTAAGCCAGAGCATTTGGTTTTGTAGTTAGAATTTAGAATTGTTAGCTTAGAAGAATCCTAATAATCTTTTTGTTATTGCTAAATTTCTCAAATGTGTTAATGACTTGACTCCAGTTAGATGTGATGATTTAAGAATTGTGTTTTTTCTTGTTGCTGTTTTGTTTTGTTTTTTGAGACAGAGTCTCACTCTGTCGCCCAGGCTGGAGTGCAGTGGCACAATCTCGGGTCACTGCAGCCTCCGCCTCCGGGCTCAAGTGATTCTCCTGCCTCAGCCTCCCAAGTAGCTGGGAATACAGGCATGCGCCACCGTGCCGGGCTAATTTTTGTATTTTTAGTAGTGATGGGGTTTCACTATGTTGGCCAGGCTGATCTCGAATTCCTGACCTCAAGGTGATCCACCCACCTTGGCCTTCCAGAGTGTCGGGATTACAGGCATGAGCCACCGCACCCAGGCAGACATAATGATTTAAGAATCGTAACTGACACATACATTGTTTCATATTTTTAAAGTTAAAGGCTTAGTCTGAAATAGCTGTCTTTGTTGTTGTTAAGAGATAGAGTCTTGCTCTGTCACCCAGGCTGGAAGGCAGTGGTGCGATCGTGGCTCACTGCAGCCTCAAACTCCTGGGCTCACAGGATCCTCTTGCCTCAGCATTTGAGTAGCTGGGACTACAGGCGTGCACCACCACACCCAGCTATTTAAAAAAAAATGTTTTTTGTTGTGACATGGTCTTGCTGTGTTGCCCAGGCTGGTCTTGAACTTCTCATCTCAAGCAACCCTCCTGTCTTGGCCTCCAAAAATGCTAGGATTTCAGGTGTAAGCCACCTCATCTGGCCTGAAATAGCTGTGTTTAGGTGTTTATACCTCTATTAGAAAGTAGATCACTTGATAACTTTTAATGAAGCATGATAATATTACCATAGCTTGCAGGTAGTGGTGTTTGTAGTAACAAAGGGAACTAACCTATCAAGTCAAGTAATTAACTGAATTAGAAGCTGTGTTAATGGAAGAGTCACCTCCCAAAGGTTGGATTCCCCACATAGAGTGTGAGAAGGGAGTCCATGGGCTTTCTGGGCCAAGTTTGTGCTGCATGTGGGGCTCACAGGAGAAGGCCAAGGCACTATGCAAACCTTGGCTTCACTCCCTCCTGGCTTACAACCCTGCAGAGTCACCTAACGTTTCTCAATGTCAGTGTAGTTAGTCTCTGAGGGAGTTAGGGATAATAACTGGCTGTTGGCGATAATCTTTATATAACATCATGTACAACTCCTAGTTTGATTAAACTACTGTACCTGTGAAGACTGGAGAATTGAGGACCTCTTACAGTAAGGGTGAGAAATAATCTATGAGGATGGTGGAACTGGCCTTGCTTACATTGCTCCCTAGAGAAGAGTGCCTGTCCTCAGGGCAGATGATGGGACTCATCTCTCCTCCCAGGAAATGTCCCCTCCCAGGAAATGTCACACCAACGATTTCATAGAGCTGCCACTTCTCCACAGGCCATGGGCCAGATGACTGTCCTTGCACCCCATCTTTGAAGGTCTCTTTGAAACTGCATTCTTAAGAAACAGCTGGGTTGCTCAGAAGGACCAGGACTGATAGTCTGGCTGGGGACGCATGGAGTGGTGCGGGAGGCTGGCTGAGCCCCGCAGCAGGAAATAATGGAAATCTTAGCTTCTTGGGACCCCTGTTGATTGGATGGGTCGGAGAAAGAGTCAGTGGGTGCAGAACAATCCCTTGTCAACCCTGTGTGGCAGCTGGCCTGGTGAAGTTTGCCTGCCCTGGAGATTGGGTCTGTTCCTCTTGCTCTGCGCCTGGGAACATGTGGGAATCAGCACCGGACACCTGCTGAATCCACGCCTGCCATTAGCAAGTCCTGGCTCTGGATAAGTCTCCTTTGTGTGAGGGAAAGCAAACAGAAAATGTACCAAGGAGTCTGTGGAAAAAATACTACCCCATTAAGGAAAGGGAATGGTTTCCTGAAGAGTCAGAGGAGACGTATTCTGCTGAAAGTGAACGTGAGTACAAACCAGAAAAAAACGTTTGTGTTCAAGCATGTGTTATCCTCAGCAGAGAATCCTCCTTTTTCATATAAAAATGTACTATGAGCTATGATTGTTTGACATTATGGTGCTGGAGAAGTTGGGTCGACTGAGGATCCAGAGGAGGCGTGACCATGACCTTGGCTTATCTCTAGTGCATCACTCCTGGGTCACCTCCAAGTCCAGGGCAGGGATCGGAAGCTCCAAAATTGGGAGGAGGGGCAGGGAGGCTTTGAGAAGAGCTGGAGGGATTGGGTAGGGGGCTTGGTGGGCTCAGGATTGCTTTCCTTCTCTACCGTGCCCGTGGCTCTGCGATGGTTAATTTTATGTGTCAGTTTGCCTGGGCTAGGGGTGCTGGTAAAACATTATTCCTGATAGCGTCTGTGAGGGTGTTTCAGGAAGAGATAAACATTTGAATCAGCAGACTGAGGAAAGAAGATCTGCCCTTGCCAGTTTGGGCATGCATCCTCCAATCTGTGGAGGGCCCAGATAGATCAAAAAGGCACAGGAAGGGCAAATTTGCTGTCTCTACTTGAGTTGGGACATTCATTTTCTCCTGCCTTCGGACATCGGTGCTCCTGGTTCTTGGGCCTTTGGACCCTGTCCTCAGGCCTTTAGACTCAGACTGACCGACATGCTAGCTATCCTGGGTCTTCCTCTTGCAGAGAGCAGATCATAAGACTTCTCAGCTTCTGTAATTGTGTGAGCCAATTCCCATAATGAATTTCCTCTGATATATGTGTCCTATCAGTTTTGTTTCTGTGGAGAGGCCTGACTCATACAGGCTCCAGCTCCTTGCCAGGCCTGGGCTCTGTGGGCTGAGACAGCTGGTCCTCTTGGTTCGGGTGTGAGGAAGCCGTGCCTCATCCTGCAGGCTACAGGCAGTAGGTTCCCACTGGCCTGCAGTGTTCTTATTTGGAATTTGGGGTTCGTGTGGTCCTTGATGGAGGCAAGCAAAATCAAACTGCAAATCTGGAACCCAAGGGGCAGCAGAAGTTTCTCTCGAGTGTGTCTCTCCCGTGTGACACTTTCGACTGTTTTGGGGGACACTTAGCAGCTTCATGCTGATGGGGAAGTGAGGCCTCCACTGCTAGTTAGGCCCTCATTAACACAGCCAAAGGAACAGGCAGTATAACTGGGCCCTGGCAGCGGGTGCCAGCGCTGACAGGACAGGCTCTGTCCAAGCCTCAGGGCTTCTGTGACTGCAGCTGAGCCTCTGCCCCGAGCACCTGTCTCTCGTGATGCCCCTTTCCAGCAGGCACCAGGGCCAGGGCCTGCCTTCCTGCACAGTGCAGCCCCTTCCCACCATGGAAGACTCTGCAAGGGACACAGAAGATGTTGCTCTCCTGAGAGCTGTGGATGGATCCTTAGACTAGGACCTTGCTCATGCTTGTATTTTCATTTCTAAACGTTGAGGCTCAAAGCTGATATTCAGTACAATTTGAAAATAAGCAAAGACGTCATTTTCTTAGCTGGCCCATGCCTGCTCTGCACCAAGTGATGGCAGGGGCAGGGACATTCCGACTGGATGTGTGAGAGGGCTGGGGTCCGGCTGGCCTCTCAGGCATCTTCCCCTGGGAACCATGCCGGCTTCTGTGCTTCCTTTCCTTTGGGAAGTCGTGCTCCTTTTTGAGAATTCTAGGGAAGGCAGTTCCTTCTGCTGGAGCCACTGGGGAATGCTGCATATGTCACAGAACCGTGTCAAGAACACGGGGCCCTGTGAAGGTGCACAACCTGTAGTTTCCTACTCTTATTACCTAAAAACACACATTGTTTGCTCATTTCTCTTGAAGACCAGACCTAACACTGAAGATCTTCCATCAGATTGGCCCCTATGCCTTCATCAGCCTCACTGCATAGTGTACCTGTTTATAGACTTTTTACGCTAACCAAGTAACTGATGAGTCCACATGAATTATGTGTTCCAGCCTCCTGCCTTTGCACACACCACTCTTTGCTGATCTTACTCCTCAGGATCTGAAAACTTTCCTCCAAGTAGCCATCCATGATTGACCTGTGGGGCTTCTAAGCTCTCCTTCCGTTCTATATTATTTGTATTATATTAATTTGTGTTCATCTTGGTTTATACATATTTTCTCCAGGGTTTCGTAGGTGGCACTGTCTCCCCTCTGCGGCTGTGAACACCTGGGAGGGGGCACTGTCCCACATGCTCCTTGCACCTTGCCAACCCCTTCACAGGGCCTAGTGCCCTGCTCAGAATCAGCTTGTGGAATTTGGCAGCCGACTGACTTAGAAAGTTAGGGCAGGTTTTGTTTCTGTTTCAGACAAAAAATAGCCTTGACGTCACCCCCATCCCTTTGGTGACTGTGACTGTGTCTGTCTCTTGATTCATGTTGCTGCTCTCCCTCTCCTCCTGCACCTGCCCCAGCAACTTCACTACCCCTCCTCTTCCATGCAGTCAGATTAGTGAGCATTTCTCCTGCCATGCCTCAGTGGAAAGAACATGCAGTATTATCCTGACAAAATGAAAACAAACCAGCTGTATGGTATTGGGTCAAGATTTACTATTAATACTATACCAATAGAAATGATCACTGGAAATGATATCACCAAATTCTCTACATCAGCAGTCTCCAGCCTTTTGGGCACCAGGGACTGGTTTCATGGAAGACAATTTTTCCATGGACAGGGAGGGGGTGGGGATGGTTTCAGGATGATTCAAGCACATTACGTTTATTGTACACTTTATTTCTGTTATTATTACATTGTACTATATAATGAAATAATCATGCAACTCACCATAATGTAGAATCAGTGGGAGCCCTGAGCTTGTTTTCCTGCAACTGGACAGTTTCATCTGGGGATGATGGGAGATAGTGACGGATCATCAGGCATTAGCTTTTCATAAGGAGCCACAACCTAGATCCTTTACATGCACAGTTTACAATAGGGTTCATGCTCCTATGAGAATCTGCTGCTGCTGCTGATCTGACAGGAGGCAAAGCTCAGGTGGTAACACAAGCAGTGGGGAGCAGCTGTAAATACAGATGAAGCTTCGCTCACTTGCCCACTGCTCACCTCCTGCAGTGCGGCCTGATTCCTAACAGGCCATGGACTGATACTGGTCGGTGGCCTGGGGGTTGGGAGCCCCTGCTCTGGATTCTAATATGTGAAAACAAGGTGTTGCAGTTTTATGGAGAAGGGAGAACTGGCTGTGTGGCAAAACATTGTTAGGTCCTCACCTAATATCATACACAAAAATAAGTTTCCTATGGATTAAAAAGTAAAAGCATAAATATACTGTTAAGAAATATGTATGATCATGTAACTGATCCCAAGACAATAATAGTAGTAATAATGGCAGCTGTATTAGGTATCAAATGCTGTGTAACAAACTATTCCAGAACATAGTGGCTTCTACCAGCAACTACTTACTCAGTGGGTGATTTGGGTTGGAAATTCAGGCTGGGCTTGGCTGGGTGGCTCTCTTCGCTGAGCTCATTCATGGTCGTGCATTGATGGCCTCACATGGTTAGTATGGCTTGCCTGTAAGCTGGGGCGGGCAGGGGTGATGGGCTGCATTGTCAGGATGGCTGCCTGTAAACTGGGGTGAGCAGGGGTGATGGGCTTTGTAGTCTCATCCCCCAGCAGGCTGGGCTTCTTCACATGGAGACAGCAGAGTTTCAGGAGTTGTAAGAGGCAGGCTCCTGTGTGTAGGTGACTTCACGTTTGCCACAGCTCCATTGGTCAGAGCAAATCACACAGTCAAGCTGAGCTACCCCAGGTGGAGACGGATTTCCTCTTTCCATGGGAGGACTGTCAACGTGTTAGGCCTTTTTTGTGTGATCTGCCACAGCCACTGTTCTAAGTGCTTTACGTGTATAATGCATTAGTAATCTCCTGCTGCATAGCAAATCACCCTTAAATGTAGCAGTTTACAGCAACGAATGTGTATTACTTCCCAGTTTTGTGGGCCAGGAATCTTGGCACAGCTTTGCAGGTTGCCTCTGGCTGAGGATCTCACTAAGTGTTGGCTGGAGCTGCGTCATCTCCAGGGACCACTGGGGAGTATCTACCTCCAAGCTCACTCCGTGGCTGTTCGCAGGCCCTGGTCCCTGCTGGCTGGACCTGCAGGGATCACATGTGAATGCCATTATAGGAGGTGGGGGGCATTGGGGCCATCTCTGAGGCTGTGTGCCACATACTAACTATATGGATTAAATGCATTCTCATTATCCTGCACGTTCAATCAAGGAAATTGAGGCAAAGAGAGGGTCACTGAGATAGTGAGTGGGGGAGCTGAGTCTGGATCCCAGGCTGAAGGGCCATGACACTCTACTTGCAATGGAAGTCATAATAAGGGGAAAGATTGATACAATTGACCACACATCCATTAGCATCCTGTGTGTGTCAAACAGCATCAACAGAATTGGTAAATCAGGACATACGCTGTCCACCTGCCAATCCATCCCTATTATACTAAAAGCAGTCATAAATCAATAAGAAAACATTAACATCAAATGGAACAAATCTGCAGTGGACTCTAGTTGGCAAGTCACTGAAGAAAAATAAAAGGCAAATAGAAAAGTACCAAACCTCACAAGTAATCAGAGAAATGCAAATTTAAAAAATTCTTTTTTGTTTTTGGGTCCACCAAACTGGTGCAGTCTCATAATTATTCTCAGTATGGGTGAGTGCTGGAGGATGAATACTCTCATACTCCAGTGGAGGAAATGTCAAGTGATGGAACCTTCTGGAAAAGAAGTGTTTGTGACCTTTGACTCAATCATCCTCTTTCTAAGGGTTTATATTAAAATCGGAGATGTCAGTATCATTTGTATGTAAAGAGACTCACTGAAGCTTTACTTATCATAGTTGAAAATTGGATGCAGCTTGAATATCTTAATAATAGCAGGGTGGTTATACTATGTCATTCCCAGATTCTGTGGCCATTAAAACCGTGCTTTGAAAGAATATTCAGTGGCCTGGAGAAGGTCTCATGTTATTTTAAATGAACACAGCAAGATTCCCGCTATACAGTAGGATTCCAATTTTGTACAATGTGCATGTACAAAAAAAAAGTCTGATTGGAAACACATCAAAATATTAGCAGCAGTGGTTATTTCCTGGTGGTGATATACGTTATTTCTTTTCTTCTTTTCTGTGTGTTCTCCACTTCCTTCCTTGAGGATGTATTATTGAGATAATTGGACAAGAAATCAACAGGAAGTGTGCAGCCCAGCCCAGGGCACTCTGGCCGGTGGGGGTGTCTATGCTCTGTATTTGCTGGGGCAAAGCTAGCAGGTCCTCCCCAGGCCTTCTGTGCAGACCTCTGCGAAGAATCCTGCTCAGCAGTAGATATTTATTGTATTTTAATATCAGGGCCAAAAGCTACAGTTCACTTTTCAGTTAAGTAAATGTGTGCTTTTCATCCCTGGGTTAGTACACTGCTTGTGAGGCACAGTCCTCCTCCCCTCCGCCACTTCCAGGACAGGGCTGTGAAATTGTCCTGCCGTGCCTTGCAGCACCGTGATCACTGCACCACAGTAACAGTCCTACCGGCCTCTGAGGCTTAAGTGCAGATTCTTAAGAAGTTATTACATTCTCTCCCCCTGCACCGGGGTGTTCAGTGAAGGCCGGTGACTGTGGTGTGGCATTGGCAGGCCACTAAACAGCCGGGAAATTTCTGATCTCCTTTTTTATTGTGATAGAAGACTATTTGTGGTCAGTTGCCTCGAGGTGATTTTAGAAAGGGCAGGAAGCAGGGAGGCATTTCCTTTCATGTTTGCTCGTTACTTGGCTCTGCCTCCTCCGGTTTAATTTCCTCTCGGCCTCTCTCAGCTTTTCCACTCATTTCTGCCTGCTTGTCCCGCATCCCCTGCCGCTCAGCCGGCCTGACCAGGTCTCCTGAGGCCTTCTTTCTCTTCCTCCTGCCCCTCCACTGGGATATGGCTGCTCTTTACTCCCCCCAACCCCCCACCCTCTGCTTTTGGGTTTTGCTTTAAGTGTTATGTTGAGACACCAGTTAAATATATTCCTTCAGATATGAGAAATGCATTCTGTATTTTAAAGATGAGAGAGCTCCCAGTAGCAGAAAAGACGTGGATTTGGGCAGCATGCTTGCAGAAGCATCTCTGGAGCCTGGAGCGCAGACTCACACCTACCCTGTGACGCTAAAGGATTCCCGTCTGTTCTTAAGAATCTGCACTTAGGACTCAGAGGCAGGTAGGACTGTGACTGTGGTGTGGTATAATTGTCTCTGATAGGCCAGATACTACCAAGAAAACAGAAGCAGATGAAACAGCCAAGCAGCCCGTGTTCTGCTTATTCGCCACATCACATTAGTTGAGCCCCATTCCACAACATGTGGCATGAGGCCTCCTTCCTGGTGTTTCAGAGGCTTCTGGGAGCTGACGAGGGTGAAGGGCTATGGCTTCCCTTCTCTGGTTACTGCTTGCCCCAAATTCCTGCTCTCTCAGGATTCCCAATATCCACTTCCCCTCTTGCCTGCTCTGGGATGGGGAATGGGAGATGGGGGTGGGTGAGGGGCTGTCAGCACCAGGTGCCAGTGCTGCTGAGAAAGCAGATGGTTGTGGGTAACACTAGAGGCCACTCATCATTTGTGCCTTAGTGTCAATAAAGTGTGTGTTAAACATTTCTGGGTTTGGCTTAGGGAATTAATTGAGAGTTGTCTATATAGAAAAGTGTGTAAAATGTGGCTTAGAAAACATGCATTTTAAATGAGTAAAAGTTAACAATATAAAAAGGCATTTGATGGTCTAGAACATTTTTTTCAGGAAAAAGGTTTTAAAACCCTTTAGTGAATACACATTTACTTAACTGAAAAGCGAACTGTAGCTTTTGGCCCTGATATTAAAATACAATAAATATCTACTGCTGAGCAGGATTCTTCGCAGAGGTCTGCACAGAAGGCCTGGGGAGGACCCTCTGGCTTTGCCCCGAGCGTTGCCTCCAAGCTAGGCTTGCCAGTGAGCAGGACTTGCAGGGGGGTGGGGCCCCTAAGGTCACTGGGATGAGCAGGACAGTGGCTGTGATAGGAGTGGTGGCCCCTCGAGGGAGCCCTGCAAGGTTCCGGTGGGGAGGGGGCTTCGCTGCCTGCAGTCTTAATTCCTCACTGATAGTGAAGACCCTCCCGTGGTGGGCAGAGGGGAGCTGCTGGGCTGTTCTTGAACCATCCTTTCATGCATTTCAGTCACGCCCCGAGTCATCCACAGCTGCCCTGACCTCTGCCTGCTCTCTGTGTCCCTGTATGGACTTGCCTGACTTGTGACTGGCCCCTCTCAGCCCCTCGCGCCCCCGACATGAGCTCTCTGTGACAGCGGTCTGGGAGTGCCTTTTCTCTGTGGGGTCGGTGTGCTGTGTCTGCAGATGCTCAGCTGAGCCACCTGCTGGCCTGGTCCTGCAGACTCCTGTGGGAGAGGCGAGAAGGGGTGGGGAAGGATGTGGAGAAGTCCAGGGTACCTAACAGGCGAGAGGCGAGGGCCGAGGGCCGAGGGCCGGCCAGAGAGCTGCCACCCCCCATCATCAGCGAAGGACCAGGGAGACCGGGGCACTCTTTCTAGACCCCATAGGGATTGGGGTGGGGCCACCAGAGGCTCAGTGGGAACAACTGCAGGGAGTGGACAGTTACTCTTACTTATTTGGAGCTGTTAACACTTCTTTTTTTTTAACCTTTATTTTAGGTTCAGTGCAGGTTTGTTATACAGGTAAATTCGTGACTTGGGGGTTTGGTGTACAGATTATTTCCTCACCTGAGTACTAAGCATAGTACCCAACAGTTTTTTTTTTTCCTGAATCTCTCTCTCCTCCCACCCTCTTCTCTCAAGTAGGCCCCAGAGTCTGTTGTTCCCCTCTTTCTGTCCATGTGTACTCATTGTTTAGCTCCCGCTTTTAAGTGAGAACATGCAGTATTTGGTTTTCTGTTCCTGCATTAATTTGCTAAGGATAATGGCCATCTATGTTCCTTTGCAGGAACATCATTCTTTTTAATGGCCGCATCATATTCCATGATGTATATGTACCACATTTTCTTTACCCAGTCTACCATTGATGGGCATTTAGGTTGATTCAGTGTCTTTGCTATTGTGAATAGTGTTGCAGAGAGCATATGCATGCATGTGTCTTTATGATAGAATGATTTATATTCCTTTGGGTTTATCCTCAGTACTAGGATTGCTGGGCTGAATGGTAATTCTGTTTTTAGCTCTTTGAGGAATTGCCACACTGCTTTCCACAATGATTGAACTAATTTACACCCCCACCTGCAAAGCAAGCAGTGGGGAAAGGGCTCCCTATTCAATAAATGGTGCCAGGATAGCTGGCTAACCATAGGCAGAAGACTGAAACTGGGCCCGTTCCCTTCACCATATACAAAAATCAACTGAAGATGGATTAAGGACTAAAATGTAAAAACCCAAAACTATAAAAACCCTGGAAGATAACCCAGGAAATACCATTTTGGACATGGAAACTGGCAAAGATTTCATGACAACACCACCAAAAGCAAAAATTGACAAATGGTACATAATTAAGGAGCTTCTGCACAGAAAAGAAACTATCAATAGAGAAAACAGGCAGCCTACAGGATGGGAGAAAATATTTGCAAACTATGCATCTGACAAAGGTCCAATATTCAGAATCTACAAGGAACTTAAACAAATGTACAAGCAAAAAACTAAGAAACTCATTAAAAAGTGGGCAAAGGACATGAACAGACACTTTTCCAAAGACATACGTGCAGTCAACAAGCCTATGAAAAAATGCTCAATATCACTTATCATTAGAGAAATGCAAATCAAAAGCACAATGAAATACCATATCACACCAGTCAGAATGGCTTCTATTAAAAAGTCAAAAAACAACAGGTACCGGTGAGTTTGTAGAGGAAAGGGACTGCTTAAACACTTCTTAATACAAGTAAATATTAGGATTTCCCAATTTCACCATAATGTGAATGTGTATTTAAAAGATAGAGAATTATAGTACTCTACAAAATGTTTGTCTAATTAAAACCATGAAGTGGACCTTTGAGGATGAGAAAAATAAAGTCTTGAGTCTTAAGCTGCCACATTGTTCTGTTAACAAGTTTGGTGTAATTTTGTTGTAACAAACTTCTATTTTCTTCTTTAATATTAAAGTTTTTGTCTTGTTCATCTTACTCTGCTTATTCTTCTGTGCTTCAGAGTGGTTCTTTAGTGTGACTAACATGTTGGTTATTTATTCTGCTGAGGTTTTTGTCCTATAAAGGACATAAAGGGTGATCATTCACATTCATCACATTCCGAAAGCAGAGAAGGGTAGGTATTTGTGCCTGCACTTCACCTGCCAAGCTCCTTCTTCTTCCTGTCCCTGTCTTTCTATCCAGTCAGTGATCAAGCCTTCATCTTCCACCTCCCTGGGCCTCCCCAAGCTGACCCCTGTCAGCACCATGGCCAGCACCTCAGCTCAAACACATCCTTTCATGGAGGTTGTCCTGTCCCTGGTTGCTTCTTTCTCTGAGCTTCTCCTAGTTTGGATGTCACACCTGCCTTCAGATGTCTCTTTATGCTGCCTTGCCTCCTTTGAGCTTGGCAGCTTCACAGAGACCCCTCTGTTCTCATTAGGTCAGTTTCCCTGATTAAGGGAAAAGCTGAGTCTGGCAATTAAGCTTTAAATGTCCACTACTCTTTCTTTCTCATTCAGACCATTCTTCAGTGATCGCAACATTCTCTCTTAACTCTTTTGAGCCATTTCATGTAGATGCAGTAACAGTGTTTGTTTCTAAGGAAGGAGGTGCTCCATCCCAGGCTGGAGACCTTCAGGCCAGGGGTTGGGAAGAGACCACTGGTTGGAGCTGCAGGTGAAATGTGTTCTTGGAGTCAGGCTCCTAGACCCAGGGGCTCCAAGACCCAGATTTCATTTGTATCTTTTATACTTTCAGATTGATTTTTCAAAACTAATTTAAAATAATACAAGATATTTAGAAAACAGGATGGAAAAAGCTGGATTAAATTTGATTCACCTGGTTGAGCAATCTAATTTCCATCTCTACCGATGTGATGTGATATTTATCATATGGAAGAGTTTTCAAAAGCTCTTGCATGTGAACTGTATTATTATTGATTTGAAAAATTTAGCCTCTGCATTATTGGTTCGTCTCGATTTGTTCTTGAAACAAACCTTGTGGTCAGTTGATGGTTTCTCTGCCTCACAGTAAGTATGACACTTAGTTTCATAGGTTAGTGTCAACATTCAGTACTAGGACACTGTAGAAAACAGTCGCTTAAGTGCATTTAGGGTACAGTACAGTGAGGGCTTTATGACCTGGGCATGGTTTTAAGCAACAGGCAGTCAGAGCTGTCCTGGGTACTCATCCTGACGTTCTGGAAGTAGGTGAATTCCAGTTATGAAGATACTTGTATCAGGACTGAATGTTTGGGAGATATCTGCCAGGGAGATTCTTGAAGGTCAGTGGTGTGTCTTCGTTTTAAATCCACAGAATCCCATCATAGGTGAAGCACTGGAGCCCATTGAGGCTCCCTCCCCGAGGTGCTGTTGTAGGAGGGCTTGTGTCAACGGAGAATGGTGACCCACCTATAGGCCACTGTTTTTCAAGATGCTCACCTGGTAGCATTAATTAGAAAGGAGAAAGATCTTGTTGGGCTTATTAAGTTCAAAAAAATTTAAATAATTGGAAATTGCTTAAGCCCTTTTTTTTTTGAGACAGAGAGTCTCGCTCCATCACCCAGGCTAGAGTGCAGTGCTAGAGTGCACTCAATCCCGCTCACTGCAGCCTCCACGTCCCGGGTTCAAGTGATTCTCCTGCCTTAGCCTCCCAAGTAGGTGGGATTACAGGCACTTGCCACCACGCCCAGCTAATTTTTTTTGTATTTTTAGCAGAGACGGAGTTTCACCATGTTGGCCAGGCTGGTCTTGAACTCCTGACCTCAGGTAATCCACCTGCCTTGGCCTCCCAAAGTGCTGGGATTACAGGGGTGAGCCACCACGCCCGGCCAAGCCCATTTTTTAAAGTAAATTTAAAAATATTCAAAGCCAGGTGGGAAGGTCACTTGTGCCCAGGAGTTCGAGACCAGCTTGGGCAACATGGCGAGACCCCCATCTCTACGAAAAAAAAAAAAAAAATCAGCCAGGTCTGGTGGCATGCACCTGTAGTCCCAGTGGCATGCACCTGTAGTCCCAGCTACTCAGGAGGCTGAGGTGGGAGGATGGCTTAAGCCCAGAGGTTGAAGCTGCAGTGAGCTGCGATTGTGCCACTGCACTCCAGCCTGGGCAACAGAGTGAGACCCTGTCTCAAAGAAAATAAAAAAATTCAACCTTTTGCATGGGATGTGAAGGACTAGCCCAGTCAGACACACAGGAGCTGGGAAGCAGCCTCAGCCTGGCGAAGACTGTGCTATGCAGAGCTCCCTGTACTCTGTTTTTTATGAGTAAAGGCATGCCCACTGATCAGCAGAGGTGGTAGAAGGGGCCTGTTCTCATCTAATCCCAGAATGACTTCTTTTCTCCATGGAAATCTTAGCATTCTTGATTCATTGTGCTTTAAAGGTTGGACTTTCTTTTTTGATTTATTGGATTACAGTCCCAATTTTTAATATTCAATTAAAATATTTTAATTAAAAATTATTTGATTTGTGTTTTAAATAACAAAAGGAATTTGCTTGCTGTAAGAATTTGTGGTTGGCTGAATAGTGACCCCCCTCCACAAAGATGTCCATGCCTTAATCCCTGGAACATGTTAGGTTATGTGGTAAAGGGGAATTAAGGTTGTGGATGGAATTAAGATTGCTGGTCAGTTGACCTCGAAAAGGGATGTAATCCTGGATTATCTGGGTGAGAGAAAGTCCCATAAGTGGAAGAGGGAGGCAGAAGAGGAGAATCAGAAGGAGGTGTGACTGCAGAAGAATGGCTCAAGAGATACCATGCTCCTGGCTCTGGAAGTCAGGAATGGAGGAAGGTGGCTGACAACCAAGGAATGTGGGTCACCTCTAGGAGTGGGAAAAGGCAGGATAATGGATTCAGCCCTAGAGTCTCCACAGGGAGACCTGTTTGGGACTTCTAACCTACAGAAATGCAAGATCATAAATTTGTGTTGCTTTAAGCTGCTGACTTTGAGGTAATTTGTTGTGGCAGCCATACAAAACTAATGCACAGGTGAAACAGTATACACGTATATCAAGAAAAAGCCATGATCTCACTCCCCACCCCATGGTGCCACTGGGGACCGAGGCTCCTCCTCCTTTCTGCTGGCCAACTTTGGCATGTTGGCTTTGCTCTGTGCGTATTGTCTCAGGATTACTGCAGGGCTTCTATTTCTCCAAGTAGCGTGTCTGTCTTCCAGGCAGCAAGAATTGGAAACAGAAACGTGGGGAACCTGTTCCAGGAAAAAAAAACCTTCCAAGAACCACCTAGCAGACTTCCCCCCTCACCTCTTTAGTCTGAATTGGGTCACATGGCCACTCCTAAGCCAGTGTGGTCTGGGAAAGGAGTGTTAGTTGGTGTCTTAGTCCGTGTGGGGTTGCTATAACAAAATGCCTTAGAGTCGGTAGCTTAAAAACAACAGGCATTTATTGCTCACAGTTCTGGAGCCAGAAGTCCAAGATCAAGGTGCTGGCAGATTCAGTGTCTGAGGAAGGCCTGCTTCCTTCTGCATCATGCCTTCTTGCTGTGTCCTCACTTGGTGGAAGGGGCGAACTAGCTCTCTTCGGCCTCTTAATTTATAAGGGCACTGTTCGAGATATAGAAAAACACAGTTTTTCCAGCCCTCACTCTCAATAATTTAGAATGCTTCTCTGGTCGCCCAGATGTGTGTGGGATGTTTTCCCATACAGCAAGCAATTCTCCAGCAGACATCAGCTGGGTGTCCTCTAAGTCAGTTCAGTCCTGACACTGTCTGCCTGGAATTCGCATCAGATCCCACAGGTTGAGGGCTCAGATGCTTCCACTCTAGATGCCAGTTGCAAATCCCAGGTTGTGATCTGTACCTCTGACTGATGGTCTATAAATTGGGGTTCTCACAACTCCCTTCTCCAGGAGTGGGATGGCTGGCATGGCTCAAGAACTCAGGGAAACATTCTTGCTTACATTTACCCAATTATTATAAAGGATATTACAAAGGATACAGATGAACAGCCAGATGGAGGAGATGCACAGGGTAACCTCTTATTTGTGGAAAGGGGTGTGGAGCTTTCTCTGGGCGCCACCCTCCAGGAACCTCCATGTGCTCAGCAACTGGAAGCTCTCCAAATCCAGTTATTTTAGGTTTTTATGGAGGCATCATTGCATAGCTTGATTGATTACATCATTGGTTGTTGGGTGATTAACTCAACCTTTGGCCCCTCTTCCCTTCCCTAAGGTGAGGGGTGGTGGTGGGATTGTGGGCCTGAAAGTTCCAACGCTCTAATCACAGGGTTGGTTCACTTGGCAACCAGCCCCCATCCTGAGGCTGTCCAGAAGCCCCTCACTACCACTCATCTTATTAGCACACAAAAAGACACATCACCTTGGAGATTCCAAGTGTTAGGAGCTGCATGCCAGGAAACAAGAAGAGCAGATATATATTTCTTCTTGTAAATCCCAGTATCTCGCACTAATTCCATTCATGAGGGCTCCACCGTCATCACCAAATCACCTCCAAAAGCTCCACCTCCTAATACAATCACATTGGGTGTTAGGATTTCAACATAGGAATTTTGGGGGGACCCAAACATTTAGACCATAGCAGTTGGGCACATTGCCACCCCAACACATCTGCTATTCTATGAGGAAGCAAGGTGTCAGTATTGGGCTGGCAGCCCTGTTTCTTTTAGTCTTTGTCCACAGTCTGATACATCCATCCTTAAACCTTATTGGTACCTGCACTTCCTCCCTTTTCTAGAGCCAGGGTCTCAGCCTGAGTGGCCGTGGACCGCCTGCCAGTGCCCCCCTCCAGGGACTGTGGAGCCTCTCTAGCCATCTTCATCTCAGGGCTTGTCCAGTAGACCACGCATTTGTGAAAGGAAAATGAAATCTGCCGGCCAGGTGTGATGGCTCACACCTGTAATCCCAGCACTTTGGGAGGCCGAGGTGGGCGGATCACAAGGTCAGGAGTTCGAGACCAGCCTGGCCAATATGGTGAAACCCCGTCTCTACTAAAAATACAAAAATTAGCCAGGCATGGTGGTGGGCGCCTGTAGTGCCAGGTATTCGGGAGGCTGAGGCAGGAGAATCGCTTGAACCTGGGAGTCGGAGTTTGCAGTGAGCTGAGATCAAGCCACTGCACTCCAGCTTGGGTGACAGAAAAGAAAAAAAAAAAGAAAAAAAGAAAAAAAGAAAAAAAAGAAGGAAGCTGTGGACCCCAGACTCACTATGCCAAAGGGAAAGTTAAGCTTGAGAACTGAGTCATGCAAAAAACCACTTTCCTTTTTATCCCGCACCCCGCAACGGATAGCCGTGATTTCACATGCTTGCTTATATAAAATGTAGATTTGCTGAGCCTGAGAAGAATGCATACTTGGCTTTTCCCCTATCCCCTTCTTTTCTCTTTCTCTTTCTTTCTTTCTTTCTTTCTTTCTTTCTTTCTTTCTTTCTTTCTTTCTTTCTTTCTTTCTTTCTTTCTTTCTTTCTTTCTGTGTCTGTCTTTCTTTCTTTCTGTCTGTCTTTCTGTCTGTCTGTCTTTCTTTCTGTCTGTCTTTCTTTCTTTTTGAGACGGAGTCTCGCTCTGTCGCCCAGGCGGAGTGCAGTGGCGCGATCTCGGCTCACTGCAAGCTCCACCTCCCAGGTTCACGCCATTCTCCTGCCTCAGCCTCCTGAGTAGCTGGGACTACAGGCGCCCACCATCACGCCTGGCTAATGTTTTCTATTTTTAGTAGAGATGGGGTTTCACCATGTTAGCCAGGATGGTCTCGATCTCCTGACCTTGTGATCCACCCGCCTCCCCCTCCCAAAGTGCTGGGATTACAGGTGTGAGCCACCGCGCCCGGCCCCTTCTTTTTATATGTAAGATGCAGATTCACTGAATGCCAATCAAAGCCTCCGAGGATGTAACCACTTGCCTCATGGGCACCCCTCTCTCCTTTTCCCCTCCTGCTTGCTCTTTCTCAGACCCCTCTTTGGAGAAAAGCCCAGGCCGCAGACCCTACTGTAACTTGTGTTTCTTTTGCTTGGGTACATCCCAACCTTGGCAAAATAAACCTCTAAAGGATTGAGCTCTGCCTCGGACACTTCTTGGGCCACACCCTCATGCTCACTTATCCAGCCCCCAGTGGGCGAGAAACACCCACCAGACCCGTGGGCCCCATGGGATGTTCAGTGTCATGGTTTCCTGGTGGGCTAGTGTATAATTACTTAATCCTGCTCCTTGGCTATTTCCTAATGTACTCATCCCCAAGGTAGGGCCTCTTCCCTGGATTTCTGGTGTTTTGGAACGCCGGGCATCTTTGGATGTCAGCACAGGGAGAGGTTCCTGGGCTTTGGAGGGTCTGGTAGGAACCTTGTCTTCCCACTGCATAAGGTGGGTGGGGAATGTTGGAAGGATTCCAATGACAGTGGTGCTGTAGGGCCCCTCCTTTTGGCTTTTACATGTGGGACAAGGAGGCTGGTGAGCAGCTTCCACTGAAGAGTGACCACAGGAGTGGTGACAAATGTAGAGGCCAAGGGCCAGAACCTTTAGAAACCTGTTGCTCTGTTCCAGCAAGAGGTACCTGAGGACCTCACAGGTGCCGATCATAAATCTGCACTGTATCTCAGCATGAAAACATGCGGCTTCCCTCCTTCGCAGAGACGCTGTCTTTGGTTTGAAAGGGCTGGGACAGAGAGAGGATTGGTCCCTGCCCCTGGTTTCTGTCCAGTGAGGACTGAGGCTGTGCCCTGACAGTGCTGTTTTGGGAGCAGGCACCTCTGGGGGCTCTAAGGGAGGCTTTGTTATGTGAACAGATCAAGTGTGTGGTTTTAATTGGGGAGGGTAAAGTATGGATAGTGAGCAGTGCCAGCATTGCTGACAAGTGCAAACAGCCTTTTCATCTTCTGTTTTTCCCATTTTAAGAGGCCCCGAGAGCCCCATCGCTGAGACTGACTTTCCAGGTCGGGGGGCACGGGGACCCTCCATATTATTGATGTGCCCTCCAATCAGGCCACTGGAGCCTCTTTGGCCAGGTGGGCTCTCGAGGGAATGAGAGGAAGTGACAGCATGCCCTGATTTGGGGCTGTGTGTGCCCTGATGGGGGCTTCCCTGGAACATGTGTTTTCCTGATGATTGGGACAAGTTGCAGAACAGAACTGGTTCTCGGCAGAGTACTCTGCCCACAGAGTTCCCCCTCTTTGATATGAAAAATAAAACGTGATTTCTCCAAGAATAAAAATTAGAATCAGGGTTGTGTTCCCTTTTTACACTCCTTAGAGCCTCTGATCATTTCCAGCCAAGGAGCATGCGGCTGTGTTTCCCAAAGATAGTTGCACACGGTCTTCCCAAGTCAGAGTAGCTTGCTGGAGGCACAACCCAGTCTTTACCCAGATGGCGATGGGGTGGTTCGAATAGTTGGTTTGGAAAATGATCTCCACTCTGACCCCATACCAGTTTTTATAACGCTTATCTGATTTTGAACATACTCTGTTCCTGGTGCTTCCTACCCATCTATTAACAAGGGGTCCGTGCTGGGAGGGTCACTGTGTGCAAACGCTTCCATTAGGAATCCCAGTGAGGAGGCTTTTCCTTTCCCTTGGTGCTTCAGGGGGACAACAGCAACAGAGGTTATAAAACAAGGAGCATAGATGCTGGAGAGGAATTGGGAGGGAGGGATGGAGAGAGAACTGGGTTGGTATTGGCTGTCCTGACTTTGAGAGGCTCATGGGAAATGTTGGGTGGACACATGGGTGTGGTGTCTGGAGCTCAGCAGATGGGCCTGGACTGGAAAGGAAGACTCAGAGCCATCACCACAGAGATGGCGGTGAGCTATGAAAGTGCGTGAGCTCACCTGGGCAGATGAGGAGGGACAGAACCCCAAGGACTCCACCATATGACAATGCCAGCAAAGAAACCAAGAAAAAACTGGTGATGGTGTAGATGGAGTCAGGAAGCAATACAGGGCAATTTGGGGGGATTATATGGGATGATGCATGTAAATACTTGTGTAATTTCTGATAATGGTAGTAGATGTTCAGTAAGTGGAATTAAAAAAATATCGTCTATATGCATATATGTACATAAATGCA
Source organism: Homo sapiens (assembly GCF_000001405.40). NCBI lineage: Eukaryota > Metazoa > Chordata > Mammalia > Primates > Hominidae > Homo > Homo sapiens. The sequence continues at coordinate 1,717,094 of NT_187660.1, read as the reverse complement.
CACCCAGTATAATTCATAACGTATATTCTCACACACACACACGTGCGCATAACTGTCCCTCAACAATTGCAGAACGAGAGCTGGGGAGCAGCGGGCTTAATGCTGTAGAAGTTGGTTAGCAGTGTCAGATGCCATGGAGTTCTGAGAATGGGTGATGGGATTGGGCATTTGGGGGATTATTAGTCACCTTCGTATGACTACCACCATCCATCCACAGAACGCTTTTCATCTTCCCCAACTGAAACTCTGTATCCAGTCACCATTCAACACGAATTCCACATTCCCTCCTCTCCCCAGGCTCTGGCAACCACCACTCTACTTCCTGTCTCTAAGAATTTGACTACCGTAGGTACCTCACAGAAGTGGAGTCACACATATTTGTCCTTTTGTGATCGGCTTATTTTGCTCAGCACAGTGTCCTCAGGGTCCATCCATGTTGTGGCATGTGTCTGAATTTCCTTTCAAGGCTGAATAACACTCCATTGTGTGGATGGACTCCATTTTATCAATGCACGCATCTGTGGATGGACACTTGGTTTGCCTCCACCTTTTCACTATTGTGAGTAATGCTGCCGTGAACATGGGGGTACACATGCCTCTCCCTTCTTTTGTTCTTTTGGGTATATACCCAGAAGTGGAATTGCTGGATCATATGGTCATTCTGTGTTTAATGTTTTGAGGAACTGAGGAACGTTCTTTTTTGGGATGGGGAGACAGTGTGGCTGTGTTTGCTCATGGGTGGGAGGACTGAGTAGAGACAGAGTGGAGGCAGGGGAGGGGATAACCCCTGGAGCGGGCCCTGGAGGAGCCAGTGGTGCTGGGATTCAGGAAAAGGAGGGAGAGCGATGATGGCAGCCCTGAGGCAGAGGATGGTGACAGTGGAAGAGGCAGGGAGGCCCCTTGTCATCCTGGGCCCAGCCGACCCTGTGGTGAGAGGCAGGACGGGAACCACAGGTGAATTGAGTATGATTGAGGAACAGGAACACACAGAATGGCAGCTGAGCTAACGTTGGAAACTGGATATTTGTGGTGACATTAATTGCGGTTTTCTCCAGTAAGATGTGGAAACCTGGGAGTAACCATTTTCTTCATGCTAATGTTGGAAACGAGTGAGGGTTGTAATTTTATAGGTGAAAAGTTAACTCAAGTCTACTGCAGAAAATTTTATGATCAATGCATACTATTCTATGATATGCAGAATAAAAAATATTTCCCCACATGTAGGATGATGCAAAAATGATGTGCTTTGGCTGGTATCTGGCATTAGAACAGGAAAAGGAAGTGAGGGGACTCCTGTATTAATCATTTAACACAGAAGCGGGGAGTTGCTCAAAAATCAGCATCTCATGTAACCATCATACATTTGTCAAAACTAAAAATAACTAAACTACAGACTTTTTTGGGATTTCACCAATTTTTCTACTAATGGTCTTTTTATCCAGGGTACCATGTTTCATTTAATCATCATATCTCTTGAATCTCCTCTAATCTCAGTTTCTCAGTCTTTCCTTGTTTTTCATGACCTTGACACTTTGAAGTATATGGATCAGGTATTTTGTAGAATATCCCTCAATTTGGGTTTGTCTGATGCTTTCTCATTGTTAGACTGGAGTTACGAATATGAGGAAGACCACCACAGAGGTAAGGTACCCCCCTCATCACATCATATCATGATGTCAACATGTGACTTACTACTGGTGAGTTAACCTTGATCACCTGGCCAAGCTGGTGTCTGCCAGATGTCTCCTCTGTGAAGTCACCATCTTTCCCCTCCCTTACTCCTTGTTAGAAGCCAGTCACTAAGTTCAGCCCACACTCAAGAGGAGGAGGATTAAGCTTTGCCTCCTGGGGGAGAGCGTGTCAAAGAATTAGTGGACGTGAGTTAAAGCCATAGTGATTAATAAATATTCTGGGGGAGATACTTCCAGGCCTTGCAAATGTCCTGTTTCTTCTTAAAATTTCAAGCACTGATGTTAGCATTCTAGAGTGGATCTGGGCCCAGCAGCAATCACCCTGGTGTTCTGGGGGTGACTTTCTGTTTCCCTCCTTTGTTTTTCACATTTCTGATTTGGAATTCTTTTTTAAGGAAAATTGGTCTCTTCCTCCATTGTTAATTTAGTCATTGTGACATTAATATGGACTCCTGTCTATTTATTTTGGCCTTTAGGTTGTAATTCAATAGTGTGGGTATTTATTTTGTTGCTCAAGTTATTTGACCTTTGGCCATTTGGCTCCTGCTTCATCTTCTCCCACCCTCTACTGTTTGTGTGTGTGTGTGTGTGTGTGTGTGTGTGTGTGTGTGTGTGTGTGTGTGTGTAATTCCAATTTTCTAGCACTATAAGATGCTCCTGGTTCATCTTACATTCTGATGCTTTCCCTGCCCCTACCATCAGCTGCTTATGTGTTTCTCCTTTTATCAGAGAATGTCCTCCCATAGCTCAGAGTGATTGGATCGTCTGAAGCCTTGGTATTAGAAAACCAGGGTGCTAGTTGAGCTCCTTACTATTGGGTATCATTGCTTCTATGCTCTATTAGGGGACAGAACTAGGAAATATATGTATTGCCAGTTCTCATCATTTGCAGCAGTTTTGTTTTATGAAGTCATCATGGATACTCAGTTAGTGAATACTGAGCCATTGCCTTCAGGGGAAATACACATGTACATGGTTAAGTTCCTGTTGCCTCTGGCCTCATTTTCCTCAACTGGTTAGTACATAACCTTGTTTCATGTGTGTTTCTGTTTAACCTGTTTGACCTGTTCCTCTGTCTCATGGCATGCATTTCAGTCCTGCAATTCTATCTTCCCTTACGGGTGTTAACAAAAGACCAGTGAGATCTGCGGAGGCAAAAGGATAACTTTATTTTCTAAAAGCAATCTGAAGATTGGGAGAGACAGCCTTCAGCAAAAAACAAAAATGTACTCCAAGGAGAGACTGGGGATAGAAGGTCATAAAGGTGCAAACCACAGGATAGCTGGGGATTCAGGTACAGGGGCCGGGTTGGATGGTCTTTAAGGAGGACATCACAAGTCTGTCTTCATGGGCTGGCCTCAGGGGGTCTCTGGGTGGTCAGCTGCGGCATTTCCAGCTACACTCTATTTCAGCACTGACAACAGGAACTGGTTTGACTGGATGGTAGAAAGGGAGGTCCTGTGACACTTTTACAATATATTTCTGAGAACACAGAGAACATGACCTTTTCCTCACCCAACTATGGCCACCTGGCTCTGCTTTCGTTTTGCACACGTCAGTTAGCCACGGGGAGTCCATTTTGACTGTCCACTGAGGACATACTTTAACACTGGGGAGGCTGCATCTGTGATCTTTGTAAAGCGGTCATTTGTGGAGGCCTGCTATGTGTTGGGGACAGTGCAAGGCACTTCCCCTTCATTATTTCTGTGATCTCCATCCCAGTCTCAGAACTGTGGATCATCTTTCCTTTTTTGAAGATACAGACACCAAGCTCAGCTTGTGATGTGTAGGTCTACACAGCTGCCCAGGGCCGGAGGCAGGATGCGGATCCAGGTCTCTTGTGTTCAAGGCTGGAGCTGCTGAGTTTGACTGTCCAGGTGGGGTCCTGGCAGCCATATTTTTAACTTACTGAGTAGCTGATACATTGGCTTTTAAAATTTGTGTTGAATTCTTTTGACTTGCCCTCCTTGTTTGTAATTAAGTAACTGACATTCCTGAATACCACGGTCAGGTTGAAGATGAAGCCAAACTGTGATGGTCATTTTCAGAATTGATGTTTAGGACTGGATGGGAGCGTGGGTTCTCTGCCATTCAGGAGGACACCACTTTTTTCACTAAAATCCAAGTTCTGATTGGAGCTGTCTTACTTGAAAATGTTCTGGGAATTCATGTCCTTGCTGGATTACCAAGGGGATTTGCATTTACTTTGGAAATTCAAGCACATTTTATCCAACCTACAGGCACTAATGAAAAGCTAATGAACTGCTGAGACACTGTTTCAAATAAATGATTACAATCGACAAGAGAAGTACAAACATGACCCTGATGAAGGATAATCAAGAGCCAGGGGAAAGGGGTGATTTTATTAATTATCCAACCTCTCAGTCTAGTTTCAGAATGGTGAATAAGAATAGAAGTTGGAGATGCAATATTATATGAAGTGTTCTGTTACTTTTAAAACAGGCCAATTAATAGAAGACAGTGTTTTTAGGATCATCTTGAGCATGGTTACTGATCTCCTCTTAGAATCTAAATATCAGCTTATTTTAGTAATTTAGACGTTTACTTTTTAAATTTTTACATTTTATAGCTAGTTGCAACAATATTGCAGTTATGTTTTTTTTCTTTAAATGTGAGCCTTTGGCTTATGTACTTGATAGGGAAAGCTTTATAGTCCATTGTAGACTTTAGGCTTTAAGAAATCATTGTTTACTGGAAAAAGCCATCATTTCTTTTCAATGACCTGATTCTTCCCTGGCCTTTTGCACTAGTGGGAGATGTTCGGAAGGGATAGGAAAAGTCAGGGACAGCTTCATGGACTTTGGTTTCGGATAACTAATGAAGTGGAATGTAACGTCTAAAAGACAATTTAAGATTGAAGCAGGAAGTTGTATTGTCATTTTTGTTTGGCCCCCACCTCCTGTCCATTTGATCTTTTTGGGCCTTCTGAGTTCTTGGACAGGAGGTTAGGGGTCAGCATGGAAAACAAAGTAAATATGACCGTTTGAAATTCTGTCTAAAGACTGGATTGATATTTCAAAATATAACATCGTTGGAAATTCCGTAATGTTACAGATACGTTTGAAAAACATTTTCTCCCAAGTAATTAATACTTAAACGAGTGGAGAAGTCATTTATTGGTTTCTCTTCATGATTCAGCATTGGCATCAGTGTTCCCTTGCATTTTGTTTTCAAGCTTCCGAATGCATTTCATTTGAGGGTATCCTAAAATTACAAAGTAAAACCTGTTTCCAGAATTTTCTTGATACTGGGCAGCCAAAATTAAATTTAGAAGTAGATGATTTTTGTAGGCTGTTATGACTTCAGCTGCCCTCTATAATGCCAGTTTCCAACCTTTTTGTTCTCGACTGAATATGTAATACATATTTTACATCTGAACTTATAAAAGAAATCTCTGCTCACAGAACACCACTTTTGTCTGTTTTATATATTAGATTCTGCATAGGAATGTCTTTGGGGAATAAAAAGTTCTCTTAAAGTTTAAAAACGATTGACCCCAGTGCCAGATGGGCAGTGCTGTTTTCCTTCAGGAAGTCCATGTCCTCTGGAGGGTGAGTAGAGGCGCTTCCTCAGCGATGGGACCCAGGGCTCTTTGCAGGTAGACGAGACCTAATGGAGTATTGCTAACATATAAGATAATCTGAGTATGTTACACATGAATTAAACAGCTACATTTTTCTTCTCCAGGTCAGTGTCAGGTGTTTTACAATATGATTCCTGACATTGTAGAGAAAATGACAAATGGCAAGATCTCCGACATCTGAACTGCCCGATGGAATGGCAGGAACTCTGCATGTTCTCACCCCAGGAGTGAAATCACCAGATAGGATCATTCCTTGTACACCTGAGTTCTACTTTGCCCAGATCCCAGATCTAGCTTTGTTGCCATTGGCTGCTCTAGTACATCGGTTGACTCATCAGTAGCAAAGGGCTTAATGGTTCCCTCAGTAGATGCCTGTGCTCTGCTGTCATGTTTCATAAAAATAGCATGAGCAACCAGGCCTGAGGGACTTCCCAGGATGGAGGTCTTCCATCTTCCAGCACTAAAACCGAAAACTCCAGGGCAAACTGGGATGAGTTGCTTACCCAGATGTGATACTTACTTTCAACCACAGTGAAAGAGCATCTTTAGAGTTCCATTTACATTTTGTGTGTGTATATATATACACACACACACACATATTGTATATATATACATATATATGTGTGTATATATATGTGTATATATATATGCAGCAACATTCTCTTGAAAGAATCCAAGGGCCTTATTTTTATGTCCACCTTTCCCTCCCACAGAGTTTGATTAGAACCAAATAACAATTTATAAAACTACACTATAAAGATGGTTTGAAGGCTTGGGTAAGTTTTATCATCCCCTAAAAAGGATATTAACAAACATAAAAATTAAACAAGCAGTGCTGAAAATTTGCCCCAAGCATCACCCAGGATGCACTATGCTGGTCAAACATGGTCCCCACTGCTCATTCCTGGGAGTGCCAGGCAGATGTACCAAAATGTGGGTCCAGCTGCTTCTTTAGGAGGGTGTCCTCATTTGAAATTTATATTACTTCCCCTTTGAGGGTTTGCAGACTGGGAAGACTGCTCCCACCCCGGAGCCAGTGGGGAGCACAGAGTGGATGCAGATCTCTGAGCTCACGTTTCTTGCTGTCTTAAAAACACAAATGCCAGACAAAGGCAGACTTTCCAAAAAAGAAAATGGGAGGGAAAAGTCACTGAAAGAAGCAAACACGTTTGTCAAGCAGGATGGAGTTAGTAGGGCGCAGCCTGGAGAGTGATAGGGAAGAGGGGAAAATGGGGAGGAAAGGAAAACAGGTGTACAGTACTCTCAAAACAGACCACAGTTAAATAGTTGCAGGAAACAAGTCTCACTGGGTTTAGAGCAGTTTCTCAACCTGGATCATAGCTGAGATTCCCTGGGAGCCACAAACTCCCATTTTGAGAAACTCGAGTCTTGGAGTCTGCCTAACACTCGGGCCATGGTCTGCCATGCTTTCTTCTTGATTGTTTTACCAAAATTCCATTTTGAAATGTTAGTTTTTAACACAAGACTTTTTTCACCGTCTAAGGCATTGTTTCTCAAGCTTCGTGAGACTCCATGTGCACTGCCACCGCCCTGCCCTGCCCCAGTGTCCTCTGATCTCTGCTTGAGGAGCATGGATGAGCTGTAAGGTTTAACTCCAGTGGAAGTAGTTTGGTTATTCATGTGTGCTCTATGTATGTATGTCATGTATGCTTCAGGTCAAACCTGCGAGAGTGAGATTCTTTTCTCCTTCATGGTTTATTTTGCACCATGTGGATGTGTCTGTGTGATCTGGGTATTCTGTAATTTGCAGCACATGACCCTTCCAGAGACTCTGAGTCTGATTTATGATACATTGCACAGCTGTGGATTAGTGTGGGACACTGAACAGGTGAAGGGATGCTGAGGAAAGGCAAGGATGTGGTTTTAATCACCCAAACATCCAGTAATCACATAGCTTCTTATGTGAGGCTTGTTTAGGAAGGCGAAGGAAACACTTTGCAATGTTGACCTATGCACCAGGGAACATCTTTTTGAAAGGCTTAATGAATACCAGACCTATTACAGAACAACAGTCTCTTCCAAAGCAGAGGCAATGAAATGCATAGATACTCGCTCATAGATTGCTGAATTCTGCAATCAGGGAAGCCCCATGATCCCTTTGAAAGATTGCAGGAATTCCTGAATTCCTAAAACTCAAGATATATCCTAAAGTGGCATGCCAGCTAGAGCCACGGTAACCACACAGTCGTTAGTTCATTCAGCAGATTTCCTTGGTCATCCGTTTCTAGGTACTGTTGTACACTCTAAGCTCACATTCTCTAGGATAGACAGAGGGTAGACAGACAAACAAATTGACAATGTAATGCTGGGTAGTAAGAAGTCTTACAGCAACAAATACATAGAAGCAGGGCATGGGAATAGAGTAACAGGGTTGGTGGTGTAGAGCCATCAGGTGAATGACGTGCTTTTTGGTTCTTTATGAGAGGATGAGGGTGGTTCGCTTTAGGAAAGGAGAATGCACAGATCCTAGGGCCAGAAGGTAGCTGTTTTTTTTTTTTTTTTTCCCATGGAGGAGTCTGTGTTTGGTGTCTGAGAGACCTTGAGACCCCTTGAGGGACAGCCAGTAGCAGAGAAGGGGTCTGGGGAGGCTTCCCCTACTGGGAATCCCTACCAGCTGCCAGTGGGGGCTGTGGGGCCAGCCTTTGAAGCCTATTATGGGGATTCTCTCTAGACTTGTCAAGAGCCAAATTTGACTAAAAGGGACATTCTGGGAATTATTTCATCTTGGCTTGAAAGAATGCATTTTTGACCAGCTGTGTTATGTGATGGGGAATAAGATTTGTACCATTAAGTAAATTGGTCTTTCTCTCATGGATATGTGAATTGCTATGAGCAGCCTTAAGAATAAAATGTAGCTAAATCACTGTTGGAGTTGAGTTTCTAAGGGTAAAGGGAATTTTCTACCATTAGTTCAAAAAGGAAAGGAGCAAACTGGGAAGGGGCACCTGTGGTCCATTTGAAACAGGACACAGCCCTTCATTGCATTATTCCATTCTGAGTATTCACTACAATGAAAATGCAACCTGAAGACACAGTGAACTGAGGTTGGCTGAGACCTACCCTCCTAGGCTAGACACTCACCCACCTGTGATGCTGTGGGGAGGAGACAGTCACAGCCACCAGTGCTGGGGCTGGGTCCAGTACACAGAGTGCCAGGACCGTCGGGGGCTGGCCCAGGCAGGTTCCTTGGCTCATGAGAGGGCAGTGGTGTGATTGAGACCTGTTTGTGCTGGGATTCAGTTGTAAAAAAGATGCCTCTTATGCTCATGGAGAACTTTACCCAGGGGAGCCTTACACCATGATAAAGACCTGCAGATGGAGGTGGGCGTGCGATGAGCAGGTAGAGAATAGGTGATTATACCCGGTGCCTGTTGGGGGTAGATGCCCAGGAGTGAGGCTGGAGGCAGGAGCCAGGGCTGGACCAGCAGTGGAGCCGGCCAACTCCAGGCCTGCAGGGAGAGCTGAGGGCTCCTCACAGCTGCGTGGATCTCAGGGTCTGGGGAGGCTGCAGCAGGGAGCTGGGGGAGGAGGGGAGGGGTGAAGCTATGCTGGGACAGAGGTGTCTGCCAGGCCCTGTAGGTGTGGGCTGCCATGCTGTTTCTAGCCACTGGTCAGGGGCACTGCCCTGGGCATGGGCTCCTGCAGCCTGAGTCACCAGCTGCAGCCGGATTCCCCCAGTGTGCACTGGGGACCCAGGGTCCTGATCCCAGCAAAGCTTACAGTGTTGGGGAGAGGGTCTGATGGGAACAGCACTAACCAGCCAGAGTAAGATGATCAAACATGGTGCAAATGTGGGGAAGAAGACATCAGAGCAGTTCTTCAGGCCAAGCCACTGGGAGGAGATGACGTTTAAGCCCAGGCCAGGATGGTGACGAGGCATCCGTGATGTGGAAACCTGGTGAAGAGCCTCCTAGGCAGTACAGACCCATGCTCAAGAGCTCAGACATGGCAGGCGTGCGGGGCAGACAGAGGGCCTGGGAGTCTGAGCCTGGTGTCTGGGGCAGAGGTGGGTGAGACCAAAGCCCAGGGCTGTAGGTGGGATTTATTTGAATTGCAGAAAATTGGAATTGAGGTTATAAACAAGAAGGAACAGGCATTGTCTGAAGTGAGCAGAAGTCTTTTGAATTAGAATTAGACTCCATGAGTTGAGAGAACATGTCACTAATTTTATATTTAACACAATCCACTTTGCCTGCCTATTTAAAGGTAAGTGCATTTTGCAGTGATATGGCCTATTACAGCCCGAGAGCCATTTTAGAGCAACAAAGGATGAAATCTCAGGCAATTTGTCCTGGTTTTGCTAACTATCAAAATAGCCTGTTCACATTGAAAGGGAATGCAAATGCCACGGCGTTTCCATTATTTCAGACTTCCTCATCAGAGTGGTCTTGTGTTCATTTCATTAATTTGAAGAATAGAAAATGAGGGTTCTCAGACCTGGAGTGAGAGGCAAATGGATTGATCTCTCTGCCTCCACCTCCCACTCCTTTCCCCTAGAAAAACTGTTATTTAAATTTTGAGTGTGTGAACATAGGCTAAGATTTATTTTACTTTTTAATTTGCTTACTGTTTTTCCTCAAGCTGAGTTCTCTATGTTCTGTGCTTGCAGATGCCAGGGAGTATAAAATCATATTATGAACAGACTAATGAGTTTACCATTGCTTAGATCTAAAAATAATTTTAAGAAAAATGGTTATATATGTTATATAAATTTTGGGAGAGGGTTTCACAAAGTAACTTTTATTTTGTGGGTTATATTTTTGCTAAAAGCATGTCTGTAAAATGTCTCCGGGGCAAGTTATAAAATTATATTTTTAATTAATTTAAATATAATTTAAAATAAAATTACAGTTTTAGGAGAATGACTCAAAGCAGTCTAACAGTTGTACAAGATTCAAAATGACACAGCTGGATCCTACTCCAAGCAGACCTGTTTCATCAAAATTTTAGATTCATAAAAACCATAAGTTATATAGGATTCTTTACTTATCACAATAAACCATACGTGCAGGGGCCAGCGTGGCATCGCAGGAGGGAAATTTATGGCCTGGGTATAAACCGAGGCTCCCCTGTTACTGCCAGCGTGATTTTACCCGGGGTTACGTAACCCGGCCACTGGTATCCTTAGAATACCAGATTATAATTGCATTTCCCTCTTTAGGTCCTTGTGAGGATTAAACAGGTAGAGTGCCCAGATGTAAAGCTTGAAAACAGTTTGGGCCCGCAGTGTGCCTCAGCCACCCTGAATACATGCTCCTGGAATGGGGTATATTTAGGGCAAGCAGCAGAAACCAGCTTTGGGTAGCTACGCACAAAGGAGTTACTAGAAAGACATCTGGGAGGGTGGGAGCTCACCGGAGCCGTGTCAGTAAGACCAGGAACCTGGGGACCATGAGGATCTCTAGCACAGTTTCATTGGACACTGCCTCTCTCTCCTTATGTCAATCCATCCGACTCAGAGTGGTCATTGGCCCTTTTTTGGGGAGTGGGTGGTCTCCAGGATAATTAAATCTAGGTCAGATTAGGCCTTGTTTTACCGAGTGATGGGTGTACCTCCATTCCTCCCTCCTTCCTCCCATCCTTCCCCCACCCATCTCTCAATGCATTCTTTTTGTTTGTTTGTTTGTTTGTTTTTGAGATGGAGTCTCACTCTGTTGCCCAGGCGGGAGTGCAGTGGCATGACCTTGGCTCACTGCAACCTCTGCTTGCCTCCCGGGTTCAAGTGATTCTCCTGCCTTAGCCTCCCGAGTAGCTGTGATTACAGGCATGTGCCACCATGCCTGGCTTCTCAATGCATTCATAATGATCATAGTCCCTGCTATGGGCCAGGCCTGTGCTGGGAGCTGGAGATACTGCTTTGGAGAAGACACACCAGGCCTCTGCCTGGCGAGTACACGTCCTAGAGCAGGAGAGACAGGCAAAAAATAAGGAAACCATTTCATACAGAGATACATGTTTAAGATAAAACTGCAAGGCCATCGAGAGGGGCCAGGGCTGTGCTGTGGACTCGGGGCTCAGCAGGGACCTCTCTGAGCCTGTGGCCTTTGAAATGAGGCTGGCAGGATGAGTGGAGCCAGCCATGGGAGGAGCCTTTTATCAATGGGGGAGACAGGTGGTATCTCTAACTCACCTTCTGAAAGAAAGCCTTCTTGCCTTTCCCCACTTCCCACTTTCTTGTTTCCGCTTCCTCCATTCCCAGGTTTTCCCCACGGAATTGATTTCTCCTTAGAGACAATGTGTATGTGGTGGTTGAGGTCTGTAACACAGGCTTCTGGGTTTCAGAGGAAGTAAAGGTTCAATAGGTATTTGAAAGTCTGCGCCCAGCCCTATTGTATAGATGGGGTATGTGGGTGGCTTTACATCAGGCGTGGATGAATGAAGCCACCTGGCTCGCTAGGAGTGCCTTTTGGTAACGGCTTCTTGAACTGGGACTCCTTCCCTCATCCTCACCCCATCATGGAGGTGCCCTCACGCCGGCCCGGATCGGGCATTGCACAGCCCTGTTGGCATTCCATACCTGCTTCTCTGTATTCCTTTGAGAACTACGGGGTCCGTAGTTTCAGCTCATGGCTGTCCGTAGATTTCAACCACAGACGAATTTGTCCCTTCTACCGGATCCTGTCAGAATTAGGACAGAGGGGAGGAAGGACTGCAACCAGCAAAGCAGGTGATGTTTTTAATGGGTTACATGTGCTAGAGAGTATACATGTAAGTACAAAATCCCAGCTCCAACGTGGGAGTCCCAAATTCAAAAATTAAATATTGGCTGGCCATGGTGGCTTATGCCCGTGATCCTAGCACTTTAGGAGGCCGAGGTGGGAGGATTGCTTGAGGCCAGAATTTCTAGACCAGCCCTGGGAACGTAGTGAGTCTCTGTCTCTACAAAATTTTTAAAATTACCCAGGTGTGGTAGCGTGTGCCTGTGGTCCCAGCTACTTGTGGGGCTAAGGCAGGAGGATTGCTGGAGCCTGAAAGGTTGAGGCTGCAGTGAGCCAAGATCGCACCAGTGCATTCCAGCTTGGGCCACAGAGCAACACCCCATCTCAAGATAGATGGATGGATGGATGGATGGATGGATGGATGGATGGATAGATAGACATCTCAAGATGGATGGATGGATGGATGGACAGATAGACATCTCAAGATAGATGAATGGACGGATGGATAGATAGACATCTCAAGATGGATGGATGGATGGATAGACAGATAGGCAGATAGATAATTAACAGTGCAGGCATAGGATGCAGGAGACCTATCATTTTGACAGCTAATGTAAAAACAGATCTGGGTATGTCAGTTGAGAGCAAGTTCAAAGTGGGCAGATCTCATCAGCCACCCAGCAAATCCTCAATGCTGCAAATTCTGCTGCCTCTCTGTGCAGTGAATGTTGTTGCTTGTGACACTGGTGATCCGTGACTATATTTAAAACCTTTTATTTGGCCAGCCTTAGGGATGACTGATAGCTGCATTTTTGTATTTCCTGGTTTCTAAATGGGATGCCGTTTCCTGACATTTTCATTACTCTCACTTTTGTGTGTGCTGGTGAATGGCAGCACAGGAAACCCTGCATTATGAAGTCTGTCAGTGCTGGCGCTATTTATTATAGAAATAGTGACACATTTGGAATTTGGGCATGTACTAAGAGGACTGGCCTTTTAAGTTCTGTTTCCTAATAATGTATTTAAACAATTCAGAAATTTTACTTTTTTTTTTTTGGGAAAAGAGCTTAAGACAGATGGAAAAGTGAAGCTTTAAAACATGGAAGTGGCTGGGCACGGTGGCTCACACCTGTAATCCCAGCACTTTGGGAGTGCAAGGAGGGTGGATCACCTGAGGTCAGGAGTTCAAGACCAGCCTGGTCAACATGGTGAAACCCCATCTCTGCTAAAAATCCAAAAAAATAGCCGTGTGTGGTGGCGAGCACCTGTAATAACAGCTACTCGGGAGGCTGAAGCAGGAGAATCGCTTGAACCCATGGGGCAGCGGTTGCAGTGAGCCAAGATCGAACCACTTCACTGCAGCCTGGGCGATAGAGTGAGACTCTGTCTCAAACAAACAAACATGGAAGTATGTTTTTTGAGTGTATCGGAGTCTCCACAGGGTGTCATCTTGATTCTGCTGTGGAAAGTGGACTTGGCTTTGGGTTTGACTTGTATTTTTCCCCAATGATTCTTAGACATTTCTGTTCTGTCATTTAACTTTCCACTTAAAAATGAATTCTGGGTAGGTCTAGGTACATACTGCAATATTTTATCTTAATAAATTGTCAAGGATGGTGTTTTGTTTATATTATGATATTTATCACTCTGTTGGTTTCGGACTTTTAAGGTGATGGGTCTGAAGAGTGTCCTAAAGGAAAAAGCTCCAGCCACCATGTAGTGGGTGTGATTTGGTGTTTCTCACCAGGCAGTCTGCTGGTTCTTGTTCAAAGTGCAGGTTTCTGGGTGTATAGGGAGACTCGTACCCCCAACCCCACTGATGTCCACGTCCTTCCTAATCGCTGGAACCTATGAATGTATTACTTTACATGGCAAAAGGGGCTTTGTAGATGTGGTGAAGTTATGGGTTTGGAGATGGGGAGGTTATGCCGGGTATCTGAATGGGTTCAAGGTAGTCACAAGGGCCCTCATAAGGGAAAGAGGGAGGCAGGAGAGTCAGAGAAGGAGAGGCGAGGATGGAAGCAGAACTCAGGAGTGCAGTGGGGCCACAAGCCAAGGGCTGAGGGCAGTCTCTGGAAGCTGGAGAAGGCAAGGAAAGGGACTCTCCCCTGGAGCTTCCAGAAGGAGCTCAGTCCTACCAACCCAACCCATTTTGGACTTTTGACCTCAAAAGCTGAAAGGTGATAATTTTGTATTGTTTTAAGCCACTGAGTTTTTGGTCATTGGTTGCAGCAGCAATAGGAAACTAACAGATAGGGCTATATCTCAGGTACCCCAAGTTGGACTCCGGGGGTTGGGGCTCAGGCAGTCTTCGTTTTCAACCCCGCTTCTCCATGATTCGTATGAACAGTGGAGGAGAGGAAATCATTGCTCTCACTTCTTTGAAAGTTGTTGCAGGATAACGATTAGGCCTGGAAAGCTTTGAGAATGGAAAAATAACAACAGCAATTAATAGTATATATACTCAGTGTTTATAAAGACATACACATACTTTTAATTATAGAGCAGAAATTGCTAGTTTGCTTTAAATATAACAAAATAAATCACCTAGGGTCAAAGAACAAAAAGAAACCAAGCACCCATAAGATAATAAGGTCCATCTGGAGGCCACATGGCTACAGTTTTCTTTGGCCTTCTCTCATCACTTATTTCCTGCAGACAGTAGGTCAAAGCCATCATGTTTAATTCTGATTGGACAATTCTCTTCTACTTCTGTATGTAATGCACTGCCCCAAGCTTTGGGCATCACACTGACCACTCGGCGCCCAGTGTGCATAGCATTTTGAAGTATTTGTGAATGTTTAGGATATATCACATACCAACTCCAAAAGCCAATGGAGTAAATGGCACACAGTGAAACAGAGAAATGGAATAAAACTTCAAAACAACTCTGGCTTATGACCTGTGAGATCTGAGAGGTGCCACATTGCAAAAGAAGAGACTGTCAAGTGCAGTGGAGGCAGACGGAGGACACGAAAATGTTACTGTGAGAAGGAAACCAGATGACCAACATTGGATTAGTGAATTAGGATATCACCTGGGGGATCTATTTTTCAACTGAGAGGAATGAGACAAGATGGGGAAATTAGGAGAGAAAAGCTAAAGGTCATGGAAGATACATGTAAGACGTCAGACAGGCATATAGGAGATGTTTTTGTTTTAGGTTTGATTCATGTAATAGAACATTTTCTGAATTTCAGTAATCAAAAAAAATCAAAGATAAGCGTTAAACAAGACAAAGCAGGCTACAGAAAATAATCACATTAATACTAGATTTTAATCCATAAAGTCAAATGCTAGAAGATAATGCAGCAACATTTGCATATTTTAGAAGGAACAGGTTGTTAAGCAAGATTCCTCTAGGCTTTCTGTATGCAAGATTTCTAAGCTCATGTATGTGAATGGGTACATGAAAGTGATTTTCAGAAATACAGTGGACTCCAAATTTCTGCATACCATTTCTGAATAAAGGAAATGACTTGTAGTGCACAAGCCAAATGAGGAAAATTATTATTAAATATTTAATACCTTTACTTGTTATTAAAATAAATCAATTATTTAATTATTAAAATAATCAATTATCTTTATGTAATAATTATATAAATTCAATAATTTATAGAATTATATAAATTTAATAATTATATTTAGTTATTAAAGATAAACAGGAAGCATTGGTATAAATACTGCAGAAGTAAGCAATTAAACCAATGAAACATAAAGTTAAGTTTGAATTGTTGACACTAATGTGGTTGTTTTGATAAAATCTGGGAGGCAGGTTGAGGTAGAAAATTTTGCCATGTTGCATAGAGACTATAGATATCTATGCTATTGATATATACTTATTAGATATATAATTTCAAACATAGATTTAAAATTTTGGTTAGAAAATTGATATATAATTTCCAAATCATTAGAAAAAGCAAACAACAAAAATTGAACAAAATAGCAAAAGACAGGAAAATTAGAGAAACAAAAATTAAGGAAATATAGTAAATAAGCTAGGAAATAATTCAGTTATGTTAGCTACCACGCTAAAGGTGTTACTTAATTTCCTCTATTAAAAGACAGCACTTTTAGATTGGGGTAAAAAGCAAAAATCAGATAGATACTATTGGCAAACAAACAAACACAAATAGCTTAAAATAACAGACCAGGGCATTGGCAAAGAGCTATCTGGCAGTGGCCAAGTAAAGGAAAGTAGGACTGTCCACGTATGATCAAATAGAATGCAATACAAAAATATAACTCCAAACAGGATAAAGAAGATTTAAAACTAGTCATAAAAAGCCAGGCGTGGTGGCTCAGCCTGTAATCCCAGCACTTTGGGAGGCTGAGGCAGGCAGATGATGAGGTCAGGAGATCGAGACCATCCTGGCTAACACAGTGAAACCCCATGTCTATTAAAAAATACAAAAAAAAAAACAAAAAACCTGGACGTGGTGGTGGGTGCCTGTAGTCCCAGCTACTTGGGAGGCTGAGGCAGGAGAATGGCGTGAACCCTGGAGGTGGAGCTTGCAGTGAGTGGAGATCATGCCACTGCACTCCAGCCTGGGCAACAGAGCGAGACTCCATCTCAAAAAACAAAAACAAAACAACAACAACAAAAACTAGTCATAAAAGTATAATCACCCCATTATGGTGTTTGCAGATCTGTCATCTGTCTGATGGGTTTTGATGATGGAAATAGAATGTACTGTGTCAGTAGAATTAGAAAACCATGACTTGGTCAGCAAGAACAAGATACTTGGAGACACAGACATGATAAGGCTTGCTGGTCTTGTGCCTGCAGTGGGAGAGACACTGGCGAGGATTTTGGTAGCAATTTGTGCAGAAGACAACTTTCAGAAAGACTCCAGTTGTAAAGAAAAGGAAATGTGTTGAAAAAGCTGTGAGCTTGAGGATTCCTGGGGCACTGCCTGGTGTGTCTCCTCTGCCTCATGGTTACCAACGGAATAAATAAACCAGGACTTTGCAGGGCCCCTCTCAGTACCTCTTCTCCCTGTTGTGGATGACCTGGTGTTGGGTCACTACAGGTCAAGACAGCCTTTACCTTCTCTTGTGCTCCTTTCACCTGAGAGGTTGGCGCCTACCCAGACTGGGCAGAATAGAGTCAATAGCAATATTAAAAGAGGAAGCCAAGTTGGGCTTCTGGGTCAGGTGGGGATTTGGAGAACTTTTGTGTCCAGCTAAAGGATTGTAAATGCACCAATCGGCACTCTATAAAAACACACCAATCAGCACTCTGTAAAAGGGACCAATCAGCACTCTGTAAAAGGGACCAATCAACGCTCTGTAAAATGGACCAATCAGCAGGATGTGGGCGGGGCCAAATAAGGGAACAAAAGCCACCCAGTCAGCGGTGGGAGCCCCATGGGGTCCACTTAGGTAGTGCAGAGGTTTTGTATTTTTGCTGCTCTTGGCAATAAAGCTTGCTGTTGCTCACTCTTTGGGTTTGCATTACCTTTATGAGCTATAACTCACATTGAGGGTTTGCAGCTTCCTTCCTGAAGTCAGTGAGAGCACAAACCCGTGGGAAGGAAAAAGTTCCAGACGCATCTGAAAGAACAAACTCTAGACACACCATCTTTAAGAGCTGTGACACTCACCGTGAGGGTCCACGCCTTCATTCCTGAAGTCAGCAAGACCAAGAACCCACGGGGAAGAATAAATTGCGGACACAATGTGAGCCTCATTTTTTTTCCCATTGAGATAGTCTGAATGTACATCATTGGAGGATGGGTGTCCACATACGTGTGTGATATATTTTTAAAGGAAAAACTGTGTACTGTGAACGGAGTCCTTAGAAAAAAATCAAATTTTTTTTTTGAGACGGAGTCTCGCTGTCGCCCAGGTTGGAGTGCAGTGGCGCGATATCTGCTTACTGCAGCCTCCGCCTCCCAGGTTCACGCCATTCTCCTGCCTCAGCCTCTGGCGTAGCTGGGACTACAGGCGCCCGCCACGTCGTCCGGCTAATTTTTTTTTTTTTTTTGTATTTTTAGTAGAGATGGGGTTTCACTGTGGTAGCCAGGATGGTCTCGATCTCCTGACCGCGTGATCCGCCCGCCTTGGCCTCCTGAAGTGCTGGGATTACAGACGTGAGCCACCGCGCCGGCCCAAATAAACTTTGTAAACCAAAAAATCTAGGTATGAATACATTTAAACATTGCCATTGGTTTATCTTTGTGTATGGTGGTGTGGGTGAATTTTACATTCTTCTCTAGAATTTTTCATGTTAACTAAATTTAGCAGCATTAGGGTGTACTATTTATATGTATAGTCAGAAGAAGGAATTTTCATTGTGAAGGAAAAAAACCCTAACTTATCTCTCTCTGAATTCCCACTATAATTTCCTATGCCAGCATTTTCACTAACATGTATAGTAAACAACTGTGTATACAAGATGTTAAATGTGTATTCTGAGTTAAAAAGATTCCAAGGTCACATTTGGGGCAGGCGGGGTTATTCAGGGTTGAAGCATTTTCTTTCCTGTGGTGTGCATTTTAGCTTGACTGTGTTATTCTCATGTGCACCGTGACTCTGCATGAAAAGGGTATACTATGTCATGTTTTCAGACCTCGTTGACGTGGAACCCATTTTTATATGTGTTCTTTGATAAACTAATATTTTGTAAAACATTAAAGACACACTCACCTATCCCGAAATTATACATTGGATTCTGCATCTCAGATTCCATCTTGATCCCCTAGCCTTCTTAGGTACACCGGTTCCATTGGCCACAATGTCCCAAACTCTCTCCATACTTACTTCTAATTCCATGGAGTACAAGTTCCATCCCCCTGGATCCATCATGCTCAGGGGCTGTCTCAGCACTGTTCTTTCTCTCTTACCTAAGTTTCACACTCAAAACCTTTGTGAGTCCTTGTCACCTTCACTCCACCCTGGTCTACTCTTACAAAGGTATCTTTGTCCAGATAAATTTACTGATGATTTTGTAGGTGAGATGGTAGAGGGTGGGGGTAGGGTTACCTTGCATAGCAGAGAGCCAGCAACTTCCGACATTACAGAGCCTCAGAGTTCTTTGGCCTTACAGCCACTGGGATAGTTGTCTTGTACTCTACCCTTATTTAACACGCAAACTTGCTGACTTTCCCCCTACAAACTCCTAGAGTTTACCCTGCCGTTCTCTTTATTCAAGTCCAAGAATTTAACCTTTCTTTCTGCTCTGTAATTCAAAGTCCACTGCCATAGTGTTGCTGAGCCCCCGGAGAGGCAGGAGAGCAGATAATGGTATGTGGGGTCCCCATCCTGGGTGAGAGATAACCTGCTCAGCACCAGTCAGTGGCCATGTCCTCATTCTTTTTTTTCTTTTTTTCTTTTTTCTTTTTTTTTGACACGGAGTTTCACTCTTGTTGCTCAGGCTGGAGTGCAATGGCGCGACCTCGGCTCACTGCAACCTCTGCTTCCTGGGTTCAAGCAATTCTCCTGCCTCAGCTTCCAGAGTAACAGGTATTACAGGTGCCCACCACCATGCATGGCTAAATTTTTTGTATTTTTAGTACAGACAGGGTTCCACCATGTTGGCCAGGCTGGTTTTGAACTCCTGACCTCAGGTGATCCACCTGCTTCGGCCTCCCAAAGTGCTGGGATTACAGGCGTGAGCCACCGTGCCCGGCCCCATGTCCTCATTCTGAGTTCTCTTTCAGGCCTCCACCATGCTGTCTTTAGCATCTGGCAGGATGTTGGCTGCTGTCCAGGACTTAGAGTCCGTTACTCATGAAGTCATAATTGAAGAAATTAGCTGATGTTAATCCTTTTGGTATTTTGAGGGTAGAAACATCAGATTTGCTTTTTCCCATGGCACCATGAAAAATTGAGAGATCTGGGAGTTTTGGCTTAATTTAGGAGAGTAAGCTCTCTTTATATTAAAAAAAGTTAAATGTAAAATGATCAGCTGTTTTCCTGTAGGTTTTATAGATGCTAGTGTTACGTAGTTTGAGCATTGTAAGTTTCATATTACTAAGGAAAAATATTCATGTCTATGTGTTTTTAAAGTTAATTTTTATGTCATCTAATGAAATGAAAACATAGTTTAAAAAGTCAAATAGCAAATAGGAAAACCCAGTAGTTCCCTGCTCTAACTTGTGCAGAGGCAACTACTTTTAATTCAGCTTTTTTCCCTGGGACTTACTACGTCTCCACATTTCTAAATAAGATACAAATTCTGCTATCTTTGATTAATTGGTTGTAGATATCATTGTAGGTTTCTAATTATGGCAGTGAGGATTTAGCTTTTCATTTTCTCTCTGGTTCCCCTTCCTCATCCTCCAGAGTGGGTATGTTACAAGTTTAATTTAGTCAGTATTTGGATTTATACCTATGCAGATATTATTCACTGCAGAGCTGTGTAGAGTGGTATGTTCACTTTCACTAACTTACTCTTGAAGTCAGTACTTGCCTCGCCTTAATCAATAGCTCCTCTTGCAATAGCCTCTCAGTAATACTGACTCAGCTCAGCTCTAGTAGGTTATCTTTCTGTTCCCATTTTCTTCTCCAGGACTCATTTTCTTCTCTTGGGTTGGTGGCTTTCTAGGCCTGTACACAGCTGTCAGCCCGGGTTCCCTCTTTCTGCCATCTCTGGAATTCCACTGGGTCATTTTCTGCATCTCAGGTCTTCCTCATTCTGACTTTGCTGCCTTGTTTTGTGGAGCACATTCTGCATTAGTTTCACCTAAAAAGATGCTGCAGGGGCAGAGGGCATGGTGGGACCAGCCTCAGAATGCCTTCTGTTGCCTCATGTTGCTGCATTGTGGTCTGGGGCTGGTCAGTCCACAGCACAGACCTGTTTTGATGTTTTTAGGGGAACAGTCCTTCAGAATTCTGCTAGGGTGCAGGGCTGGGAAATCTGTTTTCAAGTAGCTGTCCAAATTTCCATTCCTTATCTTAGCCCTCCTTCCCAAGTGTCATATAGAGGCCAAAGGTGGCCACTATATATTGGCCTCTAGGTTGTTTATTTCTTCATAGCAGACTGAGATCTGTTAGCTCAGAAGCCCACTGGTACCAAACTCAAATTTTTACACGTCTAATTTTTTTCAAATAGCCTGAATTAGCAGATTTTTAGCCATTAAGAGCCTGACTGCTTTGCATACCCGGTGAGCTGGCCTCTGGTAAGATAGAGCCTTGTGGTTATAAAGCTCCAAGCCACTGCTACCATCAAAGCTCTCTGACCCTGGGACCCCCTGCTGTGCTGCTACAGACTGTCACCTGGCTATGTCAGCCTCCTCTCTGACCCCCTTTCCCCAGGAGTTCCCTTGTCCTCTTCCCCTTCTGGATAGACCCCTTGCTTGAAGCCTGTGGATGTCATACTGTGAGGGACTTCCCCTCCCACATAACCTTTTAAGAAAGCTTGCATGTGTTACTGCTTCCTTTCAGCATATCTACTTCCTTGATTAGCCCCCAAATCCCTCAAGCCTTCTACACCAAATTAGCCCCACTTCCAGAGGTGCCCATTGAGACTCGTGCCTGAATCTTTTGAGGGTTCTGAGGTGCACAATGGGTTGTTCTCTCTTCTCTGCTGCTGCTGTTGCTGCTTTAGGATCCATCTTTCTTAATTTGGCTAAATCAGTACTGCCTGTCTGTCCTTTTCATAACTTCCAAAGTTTGGTCGCAGTCCATATTCATTCATCCCTTTCATCAATCTTCATTTCTTCGTCCTTATTTGGGTTTTTCTCTAGGTCATTTTTCTTTTCTTTAGTGTAAGTTTGCTGGTGACAAATTCTGCTGTGATTGTCTCAGAAACATTTTTATTTTAGCTTCCTTTTTTGAAGGATATTTTCTTGGTGATAGAATTCTAGGTTGGCAGCTACTTCCTTTCAGGACTTAAAAGGTGGTTTCCATCAATTTTGTTAGAAAATGACTACCAGTCTTTTTGTTACTTCTTTGAAGGTAATATGTGCGTCCAGATCTGCTCCTTTGCTGCTTTTAAGATTTTTCCTTTTATTTAGGTTTCTTTTTCTTTTGTGTAAATGGCCAGCTTAGCTTTGCAGCGCTTACTGAACGATTTGAGATTTGCTGTTTTGTTTGTTTTAGAAAATCCTTGGCCATCATTTCTTCTACCCTGTTCTCTTTTTCTCTGAATGGGACTTGAATCACATACACTAGGCCCATTCATTGTGTCCTGTGTCTCTCTAATCCTCTTAAATTTTTTTTTCCTCCTTAGGTTTTAGTTTGGGTATTTGTTTTAATTGACCTGTCTTGCTGTTTACTAGTCTTATCTTCTGTATCTAATTTGCTGTTAAACCCATCTGTTGAGTTACTCATTTTAGATGTTGTATTTTTTAGTTTTATATTTTCTCTTTGATTATTAATTTTTACCAATTATAGTTATCTGGTGAAATTCTTCTTTTCATTTATTTTATTCATCTTTTTCTCTGTTTTCTTGGGCGTAATAACTATAATTGTTTTGAAGTCAGCCAGCTAACTTTATTGTCCAGATTATCTGGTGTTCATCACCTTCATTGAAGCAAGGACTGTGCTGACTCAGAGCTGGTTTGCAGCCCTGGTAAGCTTCAGTCTTGCTGTTGTTTGTCCTTGCCTTTTAGGGTTTTCAAATGAGAGTCTTCTATATTTGTCACAGCCCCTCTCTCTTGTGTTTCCTAATTACAATTTTTATTTTGAGGCTGCCTTCCAGTGGCTTTTTGTTAAAATTTAAGTCTCTTACCCTCAGAATTGGAAAGCTATCCCAGGGGAAAACCCAACCATGTGCTTGGACCCCAAGTCTCCAACCATAGCCCTGCTGGGGTTTCCCCCAGAACTGGCTTTCAGCAGGTGCATAGCCAGAGTTCTCAGGCTGCTGCTTGTGCCCAGAATTGGAACACTTCTAGGATAAAAGAAGCTTCAGAGTTTAGCTCCCTTCTTGGAGGGAGGTTCATTCCTCTCTCAAGCCTGTTTGAATTTTGTCACTCTCAGCCATTTTCAGAGAGTTGATTTCCATATTTTATTGAGCTTTTCCTGTTGTTCTTACTGGGGACACTGATGAGCTGCTAACTACTCCATCCGACCTGGAAGCGAAAGACCTGTGCAACCACGAACTGCCTTTTAGAATTGTGAATAAGACATATAACTGTATTCCCCTAGCTGCCCTAGCCTATTTATATAGCACCTTCGGGTAGGTGGGATCTGGCATGCCAACACAAATTCTAAGTCATGGTGCCTGGAATACTGTGTTAGAAGGATTCTAAGATGGCTTCTGTACTCTGCACGGAGGGTGTGGTGATAGATGAGCCTTGTCCTTCTGGGTCGAGGAAGGGAGTTGCCACCTGTTTGCCACTCCTGTGTTAGTTAAATGCTACCACTTTACTACTTTCTAGATATCTGGATAAAGCCCTTAAAGAAAAGGAAAGCATATTGCATTAAATGCTAATGCATTTGTACATGGGGAGAGCTGGTAAGCAGGGGGTGCTGGATAAAAGGTTTGGTTTTTAATAGTGCTGATATTAATGTTTTGATAAAATACTGGGCTCCTTGTGCATTTGTAGTTTCTGATGTGCATAACTTAGACTTCACAGTGGACTCCATGATAGTGGGTCTTTAAAACACATTTGCTGTAAATTCTGAACAAATGACCTCAATCATTATTCTAAAATGTTCTAAATGGCTTCTATTCTTACAGTTGTTAATATGCAGCATATTATTCCATTCTGATATTTTGCTGAGCAAAACATAATTGCTTTGTGGAATGTAGCTCTACTGATGGTGTGATCAAATGTTAAAAATAGAACTGTAGAGTTTTCCAGAAAATGCAATTAAAGAAGCAGTGAATGCCCATGACTCCACTCCTGTTCATAACTATACTTTTCAGACCAGATCTGTTAGAGAAAATCAAATCTTGATTTGAGATGATTTATATGGAAAATAGCCATGAATTATATTTGCAAGATACATACATATATATTTCAGCCACATCAACATTTCTTTTTTTACGTAGATTATTATTATTATTATTTTAAATTTTATTATTATTATACTTTAAGTTTTAGGGTACCTGTGCACAACGTGCAGGTTTGTTACATATGTATACATGTGCCATGTTGGTGTGCTGCACCCATTAACTCGTCATTCAGCATTAGATATATCTCCTAATGCTATCTCTCTCCGCTCCCCTAACCCCACAGCAGTCCCCGGTGTGTGATGTTCCCCTTACTGTGTCCATGTGTTCTCATTGTTCAATTCCCACCTGAGTGAGAACATGCGGTGTTTGGTTTTTTGTCCTTGCGATAGTTTGCTGAGAATGATGGTTTCCAGCTTCATCCATGTCCCTACAAAGGACAAGAACTCATCATTTTTTATGGCTGCATAGTATTCCATGGTGTATATGTGCCACATTTTCTTAATCCAGTCTATCATTGTTGGATATTTGGGTTGGTTCCAAGTCTTTACTATTGTGAATAGTGCTGCAGTAAACATACGTGTGCATGTGTCTTTATAGCAGCATGATTTATAATCCTTTGGGTATATACCCAGTAATGGGATGGCTGGGTCAAATAGTATTTCTAGTTCTAGATCCCTGAGGAATAGCCACACTGACTTCCACAATGGTTGAACTGGTTTACAGTCCCACTAACAGTGAAAGAGTGTTCCTATTTCTCCACATCCTCTCCAGCACCTGTTGTTTCCTGACTTTTTAATGATCGCCATCCTAACTGGTGTGAGATGGTATCTCATTGTGGTTTTGATTTGCATTTCTCTGATGGCCAGTGATGATGAGCAATTTTTCATGTGTTTTCTGGCTGCATAAATGTCTTTTGAGAAGTGTCTGTTCATATCCTTTGCCCACTTGTTGATGGGGTTGTTTGTTTTCTTCTTGTAAATTTGTTGGAGTTCATTGTAGATTCTGGATATGAGCCCTTTGTCAGATGAGTAGATTGCAAAAATTTTCTCCCATTCTGTAGGTTGCCTGTTCACTCTGATGGTAGTTTCTTTTGCTGTGCAGAAGCTCTTTAGTTTAATTAGATCCCATTTGTCAATTTTGGCTTTTGTTGCCATTGCTTTTGGTGTTTTAGACATGAAGTCTTTGCCCATGCCTATGTCCTGAATGGTATTGCCTAGGTTTTCTTCTAGGGTTTTTATGGTTTTAGGTCTAACATGTAAGTCTTTAATCCACCTTGAATTAATTTTTGTATAAGGTGTAAGGAAGAGATCCAGTTTCAGCTTTCTGCATATGACTAGCCAGTTTTCCCAACACCATTTATTAAATAGGGAATCCTTTCCCCATTTCTCGTTTTTGTCAGGTTAGTCAAAGATCAGATGGTTGTAGATACGCGGCATTATTTCTGAGGGCTCTGTTGTATTCCATTGGTCTATATCTCTGTTTTGGTACCAGTACCATGCTGTTTTGGTTACTGTAGCCTTGTAGTATAGTTTGAAGTCAGGTAGCGTGATGCCTCCAGCTTTGTTCTTTTGGCTTAGGATTGACTTGGCAATGCAGGCTCTTTTTTGGTTCCATATGAACTTTAAAGTAGTTTTTTCCAATTCTGTGAAGAAAGCCATTGGTAGCTTGATGGGGATGGCATTGAATCTATAAATTACCTTGGGCATTATGGCCATTTTCACGATACTGATTCTTCCTACCCATGAGCATGGAATGTTCTTCCATTTGTTTGTATCCTCTTTTATTTCATTGAGCAGTGGCTTGTAGTTGTCCTTGAAGAGGTCCTTCACATCCCTTGTAAGTTGGATTTCTAGGTATTTTATTCTCTTTGAAGCAGTTGTGAATGGGAGTTCACTCATGATTTGGCTGTCTGTCTGTTATTGGTGTATAAGAATGCTTGTGATTTTTGCACATTGATTTTGTATCCTGAGACTTTGCTGAAGTTGCTTATCAGCTTAAGGAGATTGTGGGCTGAGACGACGGGGTTTTCTAGATATACAATCATGTCATCTGCAAACAGGGACAATTTGACTTCCTCTTTTCCTAATTGAATGCCGTTTATCTCCTTCTCCTGCCTGACTGCCCTGGCCAGAACTTCCAACACTATGTTGAATAGGAGTGGTGAGAGAGGGCATCCCTGTCTTGTGCCAGTTTTCAAAGGGAATGCTTCCAGTTTTTGCCCATTCAGTATGATATTGGCTGTGGGTTTGTCATAGATAGCTCTTATTATTTTGAGATACATCCCATCAATACCTAATTTATTGAGAGTTTTTAGCATGAAGGGTTGTTGAATTCTGTCAAAGGCCTTTTCTGCATCTATTGAGATAATCGTGGTTTTTGTCTTTGGTTCTGTTTATATGCTGGATTACGTTTATTGATTTTCACTTGTTGAACCAGCCTTGCATCCCAGGGATGAAGCCCACTTGATCATGGTGGATAAGCTTTTTGATGTGCTGCTGGATTCGGTTTGCCAGTATTTTATTGAGGATTTTTGCATCAATGTTCATCAGGGATATTGGTGTAAAATTCTCTTTTTTTGTTGTGTCTCTGCCAGGCTTTGTATCAGGATGATGCTGGCCTCATAAAATGAGTTAGGGGGGATTCACTGTTTTTCTGTTGATTGGAATAGTTTCAGAAGGAATGGTACCAGCTCCTCCTTGTACCTCTGGTAGAATTCGGCTGTGAATCCATCTGGTCCTGGACTTTTTTTGGTTGGTAAGCTATTAATTATTGCCTCAATTTCAGAGCCTGTTATTATTTGTCTATTCAGAGATTCAACTTCTTCCTGGTTTAGTCTTGGGAGGGTGTATGTGTCGAGGAATTTATCCATTTCTTCTAGATTTTCTAGTTTATTTGTGTAGAGGTGTTTATAGTATTCTCTGATGGTAGTTTGTATTTCTGTGGGATCGGTGGTGATATCCCCTTTATCATTTTTTATTGCATCTATTTGATTCTTCTCTATTTTCTTCTTTATTAGTCTTGCTAGCAGTCTGTCAATTTTGTTGATCTTTTCAGAAAACCAGCTCCTGGATTCATTGATTTTTTGAAGGGTTTTTGTGTCTCTATCTCCTTCAGTTCTGCTCTGATCTTAGTTATTTCTTGCCTTCTGCTAGCTTTTGAATGTGTTTGCTCTTGCTTCTCTAGTTCT
This sequence comes from Homo sapiens, assembly GCF_000001405.40. Taxonomy (NCBI): domain Eukaryota; kingdom Metazoa; phylum Chordata; class Mammalia; order Primates; family Hominidae; genus Homo; species Homo sapiens. The sequence continues at coordinate 1,690,084 of NT_187660.1, read as the reverse complement.
TTTAATTGTGATGTTAGGGTGTCAATTTTAGGTCTTTCCTGCTTTCTCTTGTGGGCATTTAGTGCTATAAATTTCCCTCTACACACTGCTTTGAATGTGTCCCAGAGATTCTGGTATGTTGTATCTTTGTTCTCATTGGTTTCAAAGAACATCTTTATTTCTGCCTTCATTTCGTGATGTACCCAGTAGTCATTCAGGAGCAGGTTGTTCAGTTTCCATGTAGTTGAGTGGTTTTGAGTGAGTTTCTTAATCCTGAGTTCTAGTTTGATTGCATTATGGTCTGAGAGACGGTTCCTTATAATTTCTGTTCTTTTACATTTGCTGAGGAGTGCTTTACTTCCAACTATGTGGTCAATTTTGGAATAGGTGTGGTATGGTGCTGAAAAGAATATATATTCTGTTGATTTGGGGTGGAGAGTTCTGTAGATGTCTATTAGGTCCGCTTGGTGCAGAGCTGAGTCCAATTCCTGGATATCCTTGTTAACTTTCTGTCTCGTTGATCTGTCTAATGTTGACAGTGGGGTGTTAAAGTCTCCCATTATTATTGTGTGGGAGTCTAAGTCTCTTTGTAGGTCACTAAGGACTTGCTTTATGAATCTGGGTGCTCCTGTATTGGGTGCATATATATTTAGGATAGTTAGCTCTTCTTGTTGCATTGATCCCTTTACCATTATGTAATGACCTTCTTTGTCTCTTTTGATCTTTGTTGGTTTAAAGTCTGTTTTATTAGAGACCAGGATTGCAACCCCTGCCTTTTTTTGTTTTCCATTTGCTTGGTAGATCTTCCTCCATCCCTTTATTTTGAGCCTATGTGTGTCTCTGCTTACCCAGATTATTGAACATTTCCCTGGGACATTGTCATTTTAGGAAGTCCAGGCAAATTTCAAAGCTGTAAGAAAATTTGGTAGGAAGAGGGGAAGAGAGTTCACAAGCAAAATACCGTACGTATGTAGGGGTTGTGATGAATGAACCCTGGTCACAATGTAGTTTGGAAATTGTAGATTTTTGTGTAGTTGTTTGGGTGGGCAGATGTCAACCAAAAGAATATTGGCAGAGCCATTTTAATATCAGACAAAATCGACTTTCAGTCAAAAAGCCTTGTTAGAGAGAGGCTCATTACATATAACAAATAGGTACAATTTTATGCTTATATACTTTTGATTAAACCACTGCAAAGCGTATAAAGAAAAAACACATAAAAATGGAGGTAGAAATCGATCAATCTGTCATGAAAAGGAAATTTCAATACATATTGATTGTTGATCTATCAGACAGAAAATTAAAAATTATGTAATAACTTAAAGAACACAACCAGGTATAATTTACATATACAGAATTCTGCAGCTTTCAGAGATGTTCTCATGTAAACAGGGACTATCTTTAAGAAATTGATCTTGCAGTTTTTTAGTTTGTAGAGTAAATATCAAAACATTTCAAAGAATGAATATCAAGGAGATCACATTCTCTGACCACAATTTAATTAAGTTAGAAATAAATAACAAAAGGATAAATGACCCTAATATATTTGGAAATTAAAAAAAGATTTTAATAACTCATTAATCAAAGAAGAAATTGTAATGCAAATGAATAGCCTTAGGTACCTAGAAAGATTGACAATTGAAAATGAATGAAGTGATCAGATTTACTTAGAAAAAGAAGAATGAATAAATTTAAAGAACACAATACATAAGAATAGGAATGAAGTGATCAGATTTACTTAGAAAAAGAAGAATGAATAAATTTAAAGAACATAATACATAAGAATAGAAATTAACGAAATAGAATATAAGGCTGCAATAAAGAGGATAAACATAGCCAAAAGGTAGCTCCTTGAAAATTCTAACAAAATAGACAAATATGGTAAGAATGTGTAAGAACAAAAAAGAAGGTACAAATAACCATTATTATGAATGAAAAGGAAGATGTAATTACAGATACAGAAGAGATCAAAAAGTTGATGAGAGACTACACATTTGATAACTCAGATGTAATGGACAGATTTATAGAAAAACGTAACAGAACTTAAGTTATAGAAAAAATACATATACAAACTTAATAGAACTGTTTTATTCTTAATGAGGAAACATTGAAAGTATTCCCTTTAAAATCAGGAATAAGCCATCTACAATCAATTAGAAATAATGAGTTTGGCAAGGTGGTTAGCTAGAAGGTTAATATACCAAAAATCAATTGTATCTTTATACTTCAGCCACAGAGAGAAAATGTAAATTGTTTAAGGACATTATTTACAATAGCACAAAAATAAGGAACTTAGAACTATATCTAAGAAAAAATATGTAATTTGAATATGCAGAAAAGTGTAAAACTTTATTGAAAGACATTAAATAAAACCTAAATAAATGGAGGGATATACCATATTGAGAGAGCTAGTCTAAGCTAACTCAATACTGTGAAGATGGCTGTTTTTTTTTTCCAAATCAGATTCAATTGATTTCATTAAAAATCCTGACAAATGTTTTTGTTGGGAGGGTAAGACTTAACAACCTAATTGTAAAATTATATGACAGAGCCATAGGCCAAGGAAAGTCAAGAGGCTCCTGAAGAATTTGGGGGGAATTTATGCTACCACGTATAAGACTCATTTTTAAGCTATAGACAGTAAGTGTAGGTGCAAAGGAAGACAATGCAATCAGCAAAACATAAGATAGAGCCTGAAGCATATATGAAACGATGCAGGGCAGGCCAGGAGCAGAATTCAGGGAGTCTACCATAAATGGTTCTGGGATCATTGGCTATCCATGCAAGAGAATCAGTGTCAGGTGGTTTAAACACTTAACTGTGAAAGCAAAACATTGGAACTTTACAGAATAAAATGTAAGATGTAAGAAATTTGGAAAGAATTTTTTAAACAAGACAGAGAAACGCCAAAGCTGAAAAATATGTTTGAAAGGTAAGTACATTTAAACATTCTTTTTATTGAAAGACATCACGAAGAAAGCAAAAACACAACTGGAAGGAGATGCTTGCAATACACATAACTGATTATGATTTCATGTAGTGAACTCCCACAAATCAATAGGATAAAGGCACAAAACTCAATAGAAAAGTGGACAAAATGCTTACATAGGCATTTCATGGAAGTGGGCATATGTAGGGTCAATAAACGTGTCAACACATGCCCCAGTCAGCATGGACATGTAAAATTCAACTGTGGAGAGAAATCGTTTACACCTACTAGATTGGCCTCAATTAAGAAGTTTGACAATGCCAATTTGGACAGAATGTGGATCAGGAGAATTCTTGGTGGGAGTGGAAATGGGTGGGACCACTCTGGAATACAGTGGAATACAACTTGGCATTCTTTTCTATAGCTGAATATGCACACATACCGTGACCTGCAGTTCTACTCATAAGCATATACCTTGCAGAAACTCCTGCCCACGTGCACCAGGATAGTCATCAACGAATAGTACATGATAGCAAAAACTGGAAACAGTGCAGATGTTCATCAGCAGAAGAATGGGATATTAATAAATTATATAGGCCAGGCGCAGTGGCTCATGCCTGTAATCTCAGCAGTTTGGGAGGCTGAGGCGGCGGATCACCAGGTCAGGAATTCGAGACCAGCCTGACCAACATGGTGAAACCACGTCTCTACTAAAAATAAAAAAATTAGCTGGGCGTGGTGGCGCACGCCTGTAATCCCAGCTACTCGGGAGGCTGAGGCAGGAGAATTGCTTGAACCTGGGAGGCGGAGGTTGCAGTGAGCTGAGATTGTGCCACTGCACTCCAGCCTGGGCAACAGAGCAAGACTCCATCTCAAAAACAAACAAAATAAGTTCTGTGGTCTAACGAAATGGACTGTTGTTATACCACAGTGAAAGTGAATAAACTATAGCTGTGTGCAACAACATGATAAAGGAATCTTAGGAACGTGAATGTTCTTAGCCTGGATGACCCTGAAAGCAGACTGAGAGCAGGACTAGCAGGAATCTCTCTTGTTTGCGCAGAGCACAGTCAGGAAGGCAGAGGGAGGCAGGGAGGAAGGATAGCTAGTCCAAGTGTGTTACCCAGTTGGCTACGGCGGGTGATCGTGCTGGCTCCTGAGGGGACTGGAGTGCAGTTACCGAGCACATTTCAGGCTTGCCTCCCCGAGACCCGTCGCCTCAAGTCTCTGTTGCCCCAGGGCTGCTCCTGGGGCAGCCCTGCTCTGGCTTCCACCAGAGCAGCCCCTGCAGGGGAGTGAGACCTGCAGTGCAGGAGCCAATTAGTTCTCTGCCTGTGAGACCACATGAAAAAATACTATGTTTTTTCTATGACACTGTTTTTGTAAAGTGCAAAAACAAGCAACACCAAACACACTGTCTTGCGGAGATGAACTAAGTATGCCAGAAAAGTTTCAGAGAGAAAGGAAAGGAAATTATCAATGCAAATTCAAGAATGGGATTCCACAAGCATCTAGGTAGGGGACCTTATTTTCAGCAAAGCAAACATACAAACAAAGAGACAGGCCTTAGAGTTCTCTGCTATGATAAAGCAGAGGGCAGGCACGCAGCATCTGCAGTGATTGAGGGGAAAGTCTGTGAATCCAGACCTGCGCTAGGGCGACCTGCTCTTCAGACGTGATGATAGCTGAGCAGGCGAGCAGTCCATATTGGTCCTGGGAGCCCTGAAGATATGCTCAGGTATCGGGGGCTTTGGGGACCCTCACAGGAGTCTCGTGAAGATGTCATTCAACGTTTGAGCTATTAAGTTAGCAGCTTGAGTTGGTGGAATCATGGCTAAGCAGAACTAATGCAGAACACTGAAACTAGTTATAACTGGAAAGTGGAAATTTAAAAAACATCGAAAGACACAGAATATAGCCAGGCGAGGTGGCTCATGCCTGAAGTCCCAGCTACTCGGAGGTTGTGGCAGGAGGATCACTTGAGCCAGGGTGTTCAAGACCAGCCTGGGTAACACGGTGAGACCCTGTCTTTAAAAAAAAAAAAGAAAAATAGGCCGGGCACGGTGGCTCATGCCTGTAATCCCAGCACTTTGTGAGGCCAAGGTGGGCAGATCACTTGAGGTCAGGAGTTCGAGACCAGCCTGGCCAACATGGTGAAACCTGTCTCTACTAAAAATACAAAAATTAGCCGGGTGTGGTGGCAGCTACTTGTAATCCCAGCTACTCAGGAGGCTGAGGCATGAGAATTGCTTGAACTCAGGAGGTGGAGGTTGCAGTGAGCCGAGATTGCCTGGGCAACAAAGCGAGACTCCATCTCCAAAAAAAAAAGAAAAATTAATTTTTATAAAGGAAAAAAGATACTGAGTATAATATGAAAACAATGTAATATGAGTTTGAATCTAAAATTCTAGATTATACTAGCAAAGAAAGAGATGTGGGATGTGTGAAGGGATGAAACCATAATTGTATTAAAACCCTTGCCTACCCTGAAAACCGGAGACATGTGGGTTAAAGAACAAGCTGAAAATTTAAAGCTACTTAACAAAATTACAACCATGTAGGCACATAACAAATTCCTAAGCATTGGAAGCTAGTTTGAACAAATTAACTGCAAGAAGTTATTCTGGGGACAATCTGGGAAATTTGAATAGGAATTGGGTATGAAATCATACAAAGATGATCTATTAATAATTAGTATATTTTAGATGTGTTAATGGCCTCACAGGTTATATAGAAAAATGTCCTTGTATTTTAGGTATGCATATTGAAAAACTTAAAATGTCATGGTTTGTAATTTATCTTGAAAAGCAAAGAAAAAGAGATGAAGCAAATATAGTAAAATTGTTAACGTGACAGGCTAAGTAGATGGATTGAACATTCTTATTTTTGTACTTTTCTATTTGAAAAATTTCAGAATATAAAGTTTAAAAATCATCAAAGGCTTGAAAGATGAAATTGGGGGAAATCTCTCAGAAAACTGAACAACAACAAAAAAAGACCAGGAAGTTGGAAATAGGGAAGACAGTAAATGAGAGGGTCAGCCAGAGAATATAAATAGGCTTTGCAGAGACCAAAGGAAGTAGAATCATCATTGCAAAATGATACAGGAGTTATTCTCAGAACTGAAAGGAGATTGCAGATTCAGATCAGTTTCTCATACTTCACCCAGTGAATAAAAACAAAGACCGTCTCACCATTGTAGAGTCCTGTATATCCCCATCAGGAACCGGCATCCATCCCACCAGGGCCGTTCCTCCTTTTGGGATCTGTTACCCCTACAAGCCCAGGATTTCCCAGCTCCTGAGCCCACACTTTCCCACCTTATTTTTCTTCATTCTGTGTAACATGCCATGTGGTTTCACTCTTATTTTTGTGTCTCCCTCCTCTGCTGCTCCCCAGGATGTCATGAGGGAGGCACTATGCATGTCTTTTTTTTAAACTGCTGGATCCCCTGTGCCTAGAACAGTGCCTGGTAAACAGCTGGTCCTTGCCAGTATCTGCTGATGAATCAGACCACTCTGGAGCCACCATGGAGATCAGCACATATTAGATCGTTGCCTAAAAAGTTCTGAGACAAAATAATCTGCAACCTAAAATTTCTGTCCTTACATGTTAAACGTGTAGGGTCCCTCAGATTTCACCTACTGTAAATCCTTTCTCTGAAAGTTAGTGGAGGATATGGTCTATCAAAAAATGTGGGCCAGGTGCAGTGGCTCAGGCCTGTAATCCCAGCACTTTGGGAGGCCGAGGTGGGTGGATCACCTGGAGGTCAGGAGTTCGAGACCAGCCTGGCCAACATGGTGAAACGCTATCTCCATTAAAAATGCAAAAAAAACCCCAAAAAATTAGTGGGGTGTGCTGGTGGGTGCCTGTAGTCCCAGCTACTCGGGAGGCTGCGGCAGGAGAATCGCTTGATTGGGAGGTGGATGTTGCAGTGAGCGGAGATCGAGCCACTGCACTCCAGCATGGGTGACAGAGAGACTCGGGCTCCCCCCAACCCAAAAAAATGGGGAGCAAACCACTCTGGTTTGCTGAGATATGTCCTTCTTGGACCCAGGTCACCTGCTCCCTCCTTACCTGGCTGTGCCCTGGCCTGGTGCACTATGGCTCCTAGGGACTTCCCTGGGTCTTCGACTCCCCTTCGCCTCTCTCCTGGGCTAGAGCCTCTGTTTTCTTGAGCCCATGTCTTCTCTTTTCTTGGTTTGCTCCCTCATTTTTTGATAGACTTCATGTGCTCATACATGGTGAGGGAGACCTCAGGGCTGTTGGAGAGCTAGGATGAATTTTTGATAGATATACAGTCGTACACCACACACCAACGCTTCCCTCAATGACGGACTGTGTATACAATGGTGGTCCCATGAGATTCTAATACCATGTTTTTACTGTACCGTTATTATGTTGAGATGTGTTAAATACAAAGTACTCACCATTGTATTACAGTTGCCTACAGTGTTCAGGACAGTAACATGCTGCCCAGTTTTGTAGCCTGGGAGCAGTAGGCCGTACCATACAGCCTAGGTATGTAGTGGGCTTCGCCATCTAGGTTTGTGTAAGTGCATTCTGTGAGGTTCACACAATGATGGACTCACCTAAGGGCGCACTTCTCAGAACATAGCTCCGTTGTTAAATCATGTGTGACTGTGTAGAAGATGTAAGTGAAAAATGAGGCAATTAACCCCAGTTACATATTGTGATGTGATTTTTTTTAAAGGCACTGTAATTGTAGTACTCCTTGTGGCTCAGTTATGGGTGACATTTTACGTAGTCATAATAATGCCAATACTGAATGCTGAAATATCAAAAGGTGGGTTGTTGCTATATTTGGATTGGGAAAGTGAGGAGGAGAGGGAGAGCGAGTGTGTGCATTTGGCTGTGTCTGCTGTGTGTTGGAGGGGAAAGTGAGAATCCTCAATTTTCATAGTCAGAAGTCAGTCAAAGCATCAAGTTTAGAAATGTGAAAGTAAACTGAAGAAACAAGCAAAACTATTTGTTGTAAGTGGCAGCTTCTCTACAGAACAATTTTGACTTCAGATTGTGTAAGAATGACTAGATCAGAAAAAATGAAATACTTTTAAAAATATATTCATATATTTAATATATTTTTTAATATTCTTTTTTTTAATTTTTGAAACAGAGTTTCGCTCTGTCGCCCAGGCTGGAGTGCAGTGGCATGATCTTGGCTCACTGCAACCTTTGCCTCCCAGGTTCAAGTGATTCTCTTACCTCAGCCATCCGAGTAGCTGAGATTACAGGCACCTGCTATGGTGCTTGACTAATTTTTTGTATTTTTAGTAGAGATGCGGTTTCGCCATGTTGGCCAAACTGGTCTTGAACTCCTGGCCTCAAGTGATCCACCCGCCTTGGCCTCCCAAAGTGCTGGGATTACAGGCTTATGTTTATCTTTTCATAAGCTTGTTAAAAAATATATTTTTCACATACGTTTGTGATTCCAAATGTTTATAGAATAATAGGTCATGAGTATTTTGTATTTTTATACAATGGAGTCCCATTCAGCCATTAAGGTGATGTCAGTGAATACCTACAGGGTGTGCCATCATGATCATGACACATTATATGGTAATGTGGAAAGGTTATTGACAACATGATGACCCAATTTTTATAAAAACCGATTTAAATAGAACCCAGCCACATGTTAACAGGAGTTAGAGGAGAAGCCGTGTGAATGTAGATGGTTTCATTATTTCCTTCAGCTTATCTGCCTTTCCTAACTTGTTCTATATTGAACTTGCATTGTTTTGGTTATAAAATAAAGGGGAAAAGTCAGCACACTGCCCCTCAGGACCGTGCTGCCTCCGTGGGGCTGTGAAGCTGGTCAGGAGCATGGGCACAAAGTCTCCCGCCCGGAGGTGGGCGCTGGCCAACCTTGTGCGTGCCGACAGCCTTCACTCTCATGTGTGCCATGGCACCAGGCCCTTGCTCCGGTGGGCACTGTGCAGATGAAACAAGCGTGCTCTGGGCCCCCAGGACCTGCTGAGCAGCCAAAGGCAGGTGCATGAGTGAGCGGCACTGTGGGGTGCTGGTGCCATAGCCCCGTGGTCCTGTAGCTGTTTGCTACCCAGTCTGGGTAATTAGCTGTTTGGGGGTTGAGGGGGAGGCAGAGGTGACCCCACCCATGGAGTGACCTGGATGAAGCAGGAAGGGTAGGCAGGGACCTTCTGAGCTGGAAGATGTGGGACTTACTCCAAGGGATAAAGAAAGCCCCTAAAGGGCACAGTGTCATTGAGTGGGGCGAGTGACATGGTCAGATTTTTTTTTTTTTTTTCTGGAGACGGAGTCTTGCTCTGTCACCCAGGCTGGAGTGCAATGGTGCAATCTTGGCTCACTGCAACCTCCACCTCCCAGGTTCAAACGATTCACCTGCCTCAGCCTCCTGAGTAGCTGGGATTACAGGCATATGCCACCATGCCTGGCTAATTTTTATAGTTTTAGTAGAGGCAGGGTTTCACCATGTTGGCCAGGCTGGTCTCGAACTCCTGACCTCAGGTGATCTGCCCGCCTCGGCCTCCCAAAGTGCTGGGATTACAGGTGTGAGCCACCACGCCCAGCCAGGTTTGCATTTTAAAAAGATGATTCTGCAGTGTGGAAAACAGGTTAGAAGTGACCAGGAGTCCAGGCAGGGAGGGCTTTGTAGGGCTCTTACAGTAGCTCTCCTGCCAGGTGGCAGCCAGGTACCAGGTGGAGGGAGGAACTGGGGGCCGGGGCCCAGGGTGAGCTGGTCAGTAGATGTCCCTGATTTGGATGGATTTGAGAGTGAGATTGGGTGGGGGAGGGACGTGGGGTATCTGGGACCCTGACAGGCACATCTGGGTGAGTGGGGCCTCCTGTGGAGGTAGGGCAGGCTCCAGGAGCACTGGCTGTATTGAGTTAGGCTGCTGGGGAGGCATCCGTCATGTTTCCATCAGGCCAGTGGGTGGACACAGGGATCTGGGAGGAAGAGAGGCTGAGAGAGGCTTAGGGTACCCTGGAGGATGGAGCCAGGGAGGGAACAGGCTCTCCCAGGATAGATACTGCGAGGAGGGGAGGGGAGGTATGGGGAGATGATGGGCCGAGGGAGCCCTTACTAACGAGCAGCTGGGGAGCGTGAGTGGGGGAGGAAGCAAGGGGGCGGCCAAGGCAGGAGGGTGTTCCTTCTGCAAAGCAGGAGTAAGATCAGTGTCAGCCTGCTGGGTGCTGAAGGGGGTTCCTGGGACTCAGCGACCCAGAACTGACCAGACAGGGGAGTTCTGCCTGTGCCAGTGAGGGGAAAGGGGAGCAGGACTGGGGAGTGGAGACGGCTATTACAAGGGTGCTGGGACCACTTAGTCAGATGGGGGGGTTCCCTTCATGTCACCAGCATGGCACGAGTTGTCCATATCCCTACTGTGTTTGGGGATCCTAGAAGTGTCTAAACCCAGGGATGGACATAGGTGATGAGTGAGGGGCATAGACTGAGTCCCTTTCCCAGGGTGTGTCTTTTTACCGGGGCTATCATCAGCGGGAGTGGGCGGCACTGGATGTACTCCTGTGCCCTTGCAGGAATCCAGCCTCCTGCCCCCTTCCTCCCCTGTCCTGGTGGCCCTCTGCCTCCTCTCAGAACCTCGTGGGGACAGGAGATGGGCTCTGCACTCCAGTCTCTGTGGGTGGCGCTGCCTGGTGTGAGCAGAGATGGCAGGAGGGCCACCTGGGTGCAGTACCTGCAGCAGGGAGGAGGGAGAGCAGCCTGCGGGCCCTGCAGCGGCCAGCCAGGGGCAGCAGAGCAGAGCACAGCTCCCAGGCTGGGGCAGAGGGCTGAGAGTGTGCGGATTCAGGCAACCCTTTGGGGGTGCAACCAGGCTCCCTTCAGGGTACAACTGGGCTCTCTGGGCAAGAATTCCGAGAAGGGAGCCTGCTTTGGGGCTAAGTCAGGAATGGGAGCACAGCCTCTGGGTCTGAGAACAGGTTGGTCCTGGGAAAAACCAGGCAGAGGCACCTCTAGGGAACAGTCCTGGATTTGAGAGTTTGCATAAATAGTGTGCGGTTTATGACATTAGTACAGTGGCCTTTATTCATAATGATTTGGAAAAGAAAGAGCAATTTGTCTACCAGACAGGTTCAGTTCCTATTGTATAGTTCCAGTGGATTTAAAAGTTGATGTGAGTCTGTGAATTTGCTTGCATAATTATACTCTGATAGCTTTTCATTACACATAATGCAATTTTAATGGAATTAATGTTCTGTATCAACAAATACATTGTTTTTATTATTGTGCCATGAGGAGATTTCTAAAAGAAGAGAATAAAAGTCATTTGCAAATGGTTTATGTAATACTCTTTTTCAAGCAGGGCAATCTACCTTCCCACTTCATACTTTTTTCTGACAATGGGTTGAGAAAGGGAGGGGGGCAGAGGCTCTTGAATACGTTTGGGTCCTGGTTGGAATTTATTCTTGTAGCTTGCATTTATGTCTGAAATTCTCATTATTCTCTGTCAAGGAGCAGCAGCCCACATAGAAGTGTACATGGCCACCTGGCTGACCACTTTCTGTGCAGATCAGGCCCCGTCCCTCCCCTACACACCTTGTTGGTCATCCTGCCACCTTGGACCCCGTCACTGTGCAGGGATTCTGGTTTGCTGCCTCTCACTCAGACTGGCCGCCATTGTTTCCAGAGCCTTTCCATACCTGTTCTGAAGCCATCGGCCCTCACATTGAAGTGGTGGAATTTGTCTGGCCCCGTCCACCTCTCCCGCCTGCTGATGGGAACATTAGAGGGAGTTAGTACCCACTGGCATGGGTTATGCCTCCTCACTTAGGAGGCAGAACCAGCTGTCGCTGGCTTGGGTTTTAATAGTGCGTTTTCTCTGTTGTGTATCAACCATGGGAAACAGAAAAATAAAGAGGAAGCCAAAATCTCACTGTCTGGAGATAACCATGGTAACTTTGAGATGCAGCTGCTGATTTTCTTTATGTATTTGTTTGCTTCTCAGAAGGGAAATTATGCACTTTCCACACCATTTTGCAACCTGCTTTTCCTTCTTCTTCTTTCACTTAGTGTGAACGTTTCTACATGGCATTAAATATTCTCCTGTGGCTGGGCACAGTGGTTCACACCTTTAATCTCAGCACTTTGGGAGGCCACAGCGAGGGGATCACTTGAGCCAGGAGTTCGAGACCAGCCTGGGCAACATAGTGAAACCCTCTCTCTACAAAAGATACAAAAATCAGCCGGGTGATGCATGCCTGTATTCCCTGCTATTCGGGAGGCCGAAATGGGAGGATCACTTGAGCATGGGAGGTGGAGGTCACAGTGAGCTGTGATCATGCCACTGCATTCTAGCCTGGGCTACAGAGGGAGACCTTGTCTCCAATATACATATATACACACACACACACACACACACACACAATACAATATACATATATATGTGTGTGTATATATATATATATTCTTCTATAATATGATTTAATGGCAGCAACTAGGAAGGACCCAATGAATATATGTAATTCCCTCTTGCTGCACACCTCGGTTGTTTCCAGTTTCCAAAATACATAATCCTTTGGTTAATACTGGGAATTCTTAGAAGTAGAATTCTAGGTTCAATGGTATGCAGAGTTTTAAATATGCTTAACATAATACATGCATGGATTAAAGGTTAATATTACAGAAAGTTACACATTTAAAAGCAAGTTCCCCCTCGCCTCCTCCTTAATCTAGTTTCCGATTGTTAGGTTTCTTGTGCGTCGTTCCAAGAGAGCAATGTTTATGTAGTAAATGCATTCATCCATTCCTTCTTGTTTACACAGAGATCCTTCAGTGCACACTGGGCTGTGTCTTGCTTGTCAGTTATTTATCTTCGAGATCATTCCACAGTGGCATAAATAGATCTACCTCAAACTTTATAATGCACATATTCATGTTCTATGTAAATACCGAAGTCTTTTTAACTAGCCCTTTATTGCTACTCACTGGTTCAGGTTTTTGTAGTAAACGTCCTTGTGTAAATAGGCTGGCCTGTTTCTGTTAGTATATCCACAGGTTAAATTCCCAGGATTGAAACCATTGAGTATGGGTATGTACAGTTTTTATTTTGAGAGATGCTATGAAATTGTTCCCAAGGAAGGCTACATCAAATTATGCCAACATAAGAAATGTTTAAGAGGAACTTTCTTTCCCCTCTGCCCTTTGCCATCACTGGGTTTTACCAAAACTTCACCAAAATGTTTCCAGTCTCGTTGAAAAAAATACTTATCTTATTGTTTTCACTTGCTTTAGAAAATTCAGTAGGTCTACGCATTCTGTTACATGTTTATTGTTCATTAAAAATCTAAACATCCTATTCATCGTATTCAGCCATTTTTTTCTGTTGTTTCTTTTATTAATTTATACGAGCTCTTTGTAAATTAAGAAAACCTTTTGTCTGTTTATGTATTATAAATATTTTTCCTATTTGAAACCAGCCTTTGGTTTTATGGGTTTTTTTTAACCATAAATGTGTTCATTGGCCCTTTTCAGAATAATGCTACATTAAAAACCACACCAAAATGCAGTGCTTGACAGTAGCGAGCCATTATTTTCTCCTCTGGGTTTGCAGGTCAGCTGGGGTGGCTCCACTTTGGGTTGCAAGCTTCTCATGGGGTTTGTGTCTGTGCCATCTGTCCATTCCGGGGCCCAGGCTTGAAGGGGCAGTGGCCACCTGGGCAAGGAGGAGGGCAAGAGGTAGCACGTAGTGCATCAGAAGGCCCGGGGCGATGGCATGTGCCACTTCCACTCACCACCAGGCATATCCCATGGCCAAGTTTATTCTGGGATGGGGACGGGACTCCACCCACTCTGCAGGAGCCTCCGACCTCACACGTCAAAGGCACAGACTTGTTCTTCTAATGCAGATGCAGAGAGGCCCTGGGATTGAGAACACAGATTCCTCCTACCACAAACAAATGTGGGTTTTTTTAGCCATAAACGTATACATTTTAAATTTATTAATTGTTTCTATTATGTCTTAAAATTGTGTGGTGCCTTAAAAGGCTTACTTCAAGATTCTTTTACAAATTTCTCAAATATTTATGTTTTAATTTATATTTTACTCTTTGATTTCTCTGGAATTTATTTTAATGTTGAAACGTAGAGATTAAGTTTCATTTCTTTCCAAGTGGCTAGCCAGTTGCCCTAGCACTTCTTATTGCGTAGATTTTCTTTTCCCCTTTTTGGTATTTTAATTAGAATTGCATGGAACTTATACATTATTTAGTCTTTTTGTTTAAAAAATGAATTTCCCTCCCATCTAGTCATGAAGTCTTTTAGGTTCCCCAGTAGATGTTTAAGGATTCCTTGATATTGCTCCTGCTCACCTCTTATTAAATCTGTGTATTCTAAGATATTCTGCCTTTTTGCTTACCATTATAAATGGAATTTTTAATTGTATTCTCTTTTCTAACCAGTCTTTGCTTGCACATATGTAGGAAAGCTGTTTGTCTATAGTTTAAGAGCTTGTGTCCTAACCCTGCCCATCATTGTAACGTTGGGCAAGTCACTTAATCTCTTTGTGCTTTAATTTTCACATATGTGCACGGGCACAAGAGTCACACATACTAATTAGGGTTGTCAGGATAAAGTATAAAAACTTAGTAAGTATATCTGGCATATATTCAGGGCACAATAAATATTGATCCTGTTGACCTTGAACAACATGCGTTTAAACAGCATAGGTCCACTTATATGTGGATTTTCTTCCACCTCTGCCACCCTGAAATGGCAAGACTAAGCCCTCCTCTTCCTCCTCCTCCTCCTGAGCCTACTCAACAAGAAGATGACAAGGATGAAGGCCTTTATGATGATCCACTTCCACTTAATGAATAGTAAAATATATTTTCTCTTCCTTATGACTTTCTTAATAGCATTTTCTTTTCTCTTTATTGTAAGAATACAGCATATAGTACATACGACATCCAAAATGTGAATGTGTGTTAATCAACTGTTTATCTGATTGGTAAGACTTCCAGTCAACAGCAGACTATTACCAGTTAAGTTTTGGAGGAGTGAAAATGTTATACATAGATTTTTGACTGCACAGGAGGTTGGTGCCCCTAACACCCCTCTTGTTCAAGGGACAACTATATATAGTATTATAATTTTCAACATATTGATTTTGTAACCAGGTAACATACTGAATTTTCTTATGGTTTCTTATTCTTCTGAATCAATTCCTTTGGGTTTTCTAATTAGGTGATCACTTTATTTTCAAATAGTAATGATTTTGCTTCTTCTTTCCAATGTTTATAACTTTCTTTTATTTTTCCTTTTTAGTGTTATTAGCTAGATATATTAGTTTTCTATTGTTATGTGGCAAATTGCCACAAGCATAGCAGGTTCAAACAGCTCAACCTTATTATTTCAGAGTTTCTAAGGGTTGGGACTCTGGAGTGTTTTAATTGGGTCCTGTCCTCAGGGTCTGCAGGCTGAAATCCTGGTGAGGCTGGAAGCATCTTCATCCAAAAGCTTTACGAGGGAAAGATCCACTTCCAAACTCCTTCAGGTTGTTGGCAGAATTCATTTTGGGGGTTGTGTGACTCAGCCCTGCTTCCTTGCAAGCTGTGGGTGGGGAAGCTCTCAGCTCTTAGAGGCATCTCACCACATGGCAGCCCACTTCTTCAAGGCCAGCAGCACAACTTCTTACACCTCAAATTGGGACTTCACCAAGGGCCCAGAACCAAAGGTCTTGCCTGATTAGGTCAGGCACACCCAAGAGAACTTCCCTTTTGATGAACTCAACAGCAAACTGATTTGGGACCTCCCATCCACCATTGTCAGGCAGCGTAACCTAATCACATACATATTCACAGTCCCACCCACGGCCCAAGGGAGAGGATTACACAGGGCAGGTACACCAGGGAGTGGGGACCTTGGGGGCCATCTCATAATTCTGCATACCACACGAGTACTTTCAGAATCATTTTGTTTTATTTTATTTTATTTTTGAGACGGAGTCTCGCTCTGTCACCCAGGCTGGAGTGCAGTGGCGTGATCTTGGCTCATTGCAACCTCCGTTTCCCGGGTTCCAGTGATTCTCCTGCCTCAGCCTCCCGAGTAGCTGAGACTATAGCCATGTGCCACCACACTCAGCTGATTTTTGTATTTTTAGTAGAGACAGGATTTTACCATGTTGGCCAGGCTGGTCTAGGACTCCTGACCTCAAGTGATCCGCTAGCCTCGGCCTCCCAAAGTGCTGGCATTACAGGTGTGAGCCACTGCCCCCAGCCCTAAGAGTTCTTTTTTAAAAGAGAGGATGGAGATCAAATTCTATTGGACGTCTTCCATGCATCTACTGAATGAAAGAATTTTTCATTTTCGTCACATTAATATGCAGAACCATCTTTTCATTCCTGACGTGAACCCCCATGTTCTTCATTCTTTTAAATGTACTGCTGAATTCTGTTTTCTAACCTTTTATTTAAAAATGATGTACCAGTAAAATTATCATTTTAATGCACTGTCCTATGAGTTTTTGGCATTTAAATTTGTGTGTTTATATCTAGTATGTGTAGTAGATGAGGAATGCTAAGTTTTTGAGTCTCTGTCTTTCATGTTTGGTTTTGTTTGGATGTTGGCCCTTGAAGTCAGGGAGAACCTGCTTTGTGAGGGGAGGGAATAACTTAATGTAACTTTTGCCAAATAAATAATGAGGGGGAAGGAGTTAAATATCTGAAAGAGTCCAACAATGCCTGATACATGGGGGAAATTCATTAAATATTGATCCAGCACAGGAAAAATAAAATAAAAACAATGTACTTCTGTTTAAAAGCCACTGGTCTGTTCCTTATTTTTGTGATATTTTACAGGTTTGTGATTGTTACACTGACCTTTATAAAGACAATTTGGAAGTTCCCCCTTTTTTCCCTCTGTGCTCAGAAAAAATTTAAACAGCTTTGGAAATCTTCATACGTAGAAGTTTTTGAAGACTTTGCCTACAGCTGTTTGAGCATATTTCCAATTTCTTGGTGTTTATGGGAACAGTTAGTGTTTTGGTCTTTTGGGGAATCAATTGTAGTAATTTAGCAAGTTATCTTTGTCATCCTGGGTTTTGAATTTATTTGCATAGAGCCCATGCTTTGTTTATTATACTTTTTGCCAGTTGACAGCATCGCACCTCTTAATGATGTACATTCTCTACAGCCCTGTAAGTGAGGACCACTGTTCTTTCTAACCACTGCTAGCTTGACAGGCAGCAAGGGACCTCTTATTCCACTTTGCATTTTATTGATTACTTACTTATAAGGTGTTTTTCTGAGTAAATTTTTTTTTCCTTTTTTTAAGATGGAGTCTCACTCTGTCGCCCAGGCTGGAGTGCAGTGGCACAATCTCGGCTCACGGCAACCTCTGCCTCCTGGGTTCAAGAGATTCTCCTACCTCAGCCTCCTGAGTAGCTGGGACTACAGGCACATACCACCATGTCTGGCTAATTTTTTGTATTTTTAGTGGAGACAGGTTTCACCATGTTGGCCAGGCTGTCCTCGAGCTCCTGACCTCAAGTGATCTGCCCACCTCGGCCTCCCAAAGTGTTGAGATTACAGGTGTGAGCCACCCACTGTGCCTGGCCTCTCAGTAAATTTTTTTGAGGAGCAGTTGCCTTTTTGTGAGTTTTAGCCAGTAACCTGGGTGGTTAATTATTTACATTTAATATTTTAATCATCTTGTAATGTATTTTGGTTTGTGGGAGGGAACTAATTTTAATTTCTCTATCTGCTTATTTATTTACATTTAACAATTATCCCAGAACGATTTATTGAATAGCCTTTTCCCCCATCAGTTACTATGTCACTCCTTGTATAACTGAATTATATAAATTAAATTGTAAAAACTAATTTAATGTGTTCACATGCAAAAAAAATGAAGTTGGACCCTTAACTAACATCCTATACAAAAATTAACTCAAAATGGATTAAAGACCTAAACATAAGAGCTAAAGTTATAAAACTCTTAGAAGGAAGCTTAGGGGAAAAGCTTTACAACCCTGGGCTTGGCAGTGATTTCTTGGATATGATGCCAAAGGCATAAGCAACAAAAGAAAAGTGGCAAACTGGACTTCATCAAAATTAAAAACTTGTGCATCAAAGGACACTATTAAGAGAGTAAACAGGCAACCCACAGAATGGGAAAAAGTACTGGAAAATCACATATTTCATCAGAAATTATTATCCAGAACATATAGAAAACTCCTAAAACTCAATAACAAAAAAGTAAAGAACACAATTCAAAAATGGGCAAAGGATTTTTGGCAACATGGATGAACCCAGAGGACATTATGCTAAGTGAAATTAGCCAGACACAGAAAGATGAATACTGAATAATCTCACTTGTCCGTAGACTCTAAAAAAAAAAAGTCAAACTCATGGTAACAGAGAGGAGAGGCGTAGTTGCCCGGGGCTGGGGGAGAGAGGGGAAAGGGGAGATGTTGGTCAAAGGGTATAAACTTTCAGTTATAAAAGAAATACATTCTGGAGACGTAATGTACAGCATAGTGACTATACTTAATAATAATGTGCTGTATATTTGAAATTTTCTGAAAGAGGCTTCATATGTTCTTATCAAACACTCAGAAGAAATGGTAACTAGTGAGGTGATGGATATGGTTAGCTTGATTGTGGTAATCATTTCACAGTATATGTATACCAGAATCATGTTGTACATTTTATATACAGTTTTTATTTGTCAGTCATACCTCAATAAAGCTGGGAGGAAAGCTTCAAAGATAGGCAAAAGGCTTGACTAGGCCTTTCTCCACAGAAGAGATACAGATGGCTAATAAGCACATGAAAACATGCTCAACATCACTAATCCTTAAGGAGATGCAAATCAAAATCACAACAATGGCTGGCGTGGTGGCTCACACCTGTAATCCCAGCACTTTTCGAGGCCCAGGCAGGAGGATCGTTGGCGCCCAAGAGTTCAAGACCAGCCTGGGCAACGTGGCGAAACCCCCATCTCTTGAAAAAAAAAAATACGAAAACTAGCTGGGTGTGGTGGCATGCACCTGTAGTCCCAACTACTCGGGAGGCTGAGCAGGGAGGATTGCTTGAGCCCAGGAGGTTGAAAGTGCAGTGAGCTGTGATCACGTCACTGCACTCCAGCCTAGGTGAGAGTGAGACCCTGTCTCAAAAAAAAAAAAGAAAGAAAAAAGAGAAAAAATCAAAATGACTACCACTTCCTACCCATCAGAATGGCTATTATAAAAATAATAGCCATATGGTAATTCTATTTGTAATTATTGAGGAGGTTTATACTGTTTTCCACTCTGTATTATTACAAATAGAATTACCATATTTCACTTCTGGGTACATACCCAAAAGAATTGAAAGAAGGGTCTCAAAGACATATTTGCACACCTGTGTTCATAGAAGCATTATCCTCATAGCTAAAGGGTGGAAGCAACCCAAGCATCCATCTGTAGACGGGTGGCTCAACAGAATGAGGTCTATACGTACAGAATACTATTAGACTTAAAAAGGAAGGAGGGGCCAGGCGCGGTGGCTCAGGCCCGTAATCCCAGCACTTTGGGAGGCCGAGGCGGGCGGATCATGAGATCAGGAGATTGAGACCATCCTGGCTAACATGGTGAAACCCGTCTTTACTAAAAATACAAAAAAAAGTAGCCGGGCATGGTGGTGGGCGCCTGTAGCCCAGCTACTCAGGAGGCTGAGGCAGGAGAATGGCATGAACCCAGGAGGCAGAGCTTGCAGTGAGCTGAGATCACACCACTGCACTCCAGCGTGGGCGACAGAACAAAACTGTCTCAAAAAAAAAAAAAAAAAAAAAAGAGATGATTCTGACACATGCTACATATGGATGAACCTTGAAAACATTATCCTAAGTGATAGAAGCCTGTCACAAAAGGATAAAACTATGATTCCACTCATATAGAGACAGAAAGAAGAATGGTGGTTGTCAGGGGCTAGAGTGGGGGAGGGAATGGGGAATCGGTGTAAATTAATGGATACAAAGTTTTAATTTTGCAAGATGAAAGGTTTTCTGGAGATGGATGAGGAGAATGTTTGCACAAGGTGAATGGACTTAATGCTACTGAGTGTACACTTAAAAATGGTTAAATGGTAAATTTTATGTATGTACATTTTACCACAATCTAAAAAACAAATAATTTTTTAAAACCCTAATATATGCCTAAGTCTCTTTCTGGACATTATATTCTGTTCTTTACAGGTCTGTTTGTTCTTGAGCCACTTATAACTATTGTGGCTTTCTAAACTGTTTTTGTTCCTGGGAATTTTTAACTTAAAATAATGAAGGGATGAAAATTGTGTCCAGTAATACATAAACCTCTTTCCCTCCACATAGTTCAATGACATTGTTTCTTCTCTACTATCTGAAGGAAAAATTTTTCCTTCAGATAAATTTTTGAATCATTTTGTCAACCTTCAAAGAATCCCATTGGGATTTTGATAGAGATTTCACTAAATTAATTTATGAATATAGAGAAATTAACATTTTTATTATCTTTAGGTTTCCTCATTTGGGAACATGGTATATACGTCCATTTACTAAAAATCTTCCTTCCTATGTCTCAGTAGAGTCTTGTAGTTGCCTTTTAAAAAACCTTATACATTCATCATGAAGTTAATTCTTGGATAGTTTTTAATTTTTTTGCTTTTGTGAATGGAATCCTTGTCTTACAGTTTCTTACCAGCATGTAGGAAAGCTACTGAATTAGAAAGGCTTTGGATGGGAGTAATATTTTTTTCCAGGGGAAAATGGAGGGAAAGAATAATTTGGGATAACATTTTGTTTTTTTGAAAGTAAAGTGATTTGAGAAATATAGTTGCTGGGGCTAAAAGAGTAAATAAATAATAGGATATGTGGAATACTTTGGAATTTATAAAGAATTTTATTAGCTAAATAAAGTTTCATATTTTGATAACTTATAACATTTGTTAATTAAAAAAAAATAAAAGTAGCCTCTATTCATTGCTTTATTGGTGTATTTATGGGACCAATAAAAACACCAGGAATGGGGGATTTCCTTCTGATTCTGGCATTTTGGCTGAGTAGGCACTTTGAAGGATGCTTCTCCTATAGAACAACTATACACTGCAAAAGACATGCTCCTTGATGCATTGCAGATCATCAAGGTCCACTGCCCTACTCCCAAACAAATAAATAATGAACTGAGGCCAGAGTGGCAGGTGGCTGGAGTCACAATGACAGGGAGCAGCGTCAGGCGGTATGTGGCTGGAGAAGGGACTTGCCCTGAGCATGAGTGTCCACCATAGCACTGTGGCTGAGCCTGGTGCCCACTGCAAGGTAGGGGCTTGGCCTGGGATTTCTACTGTGCTGTGAGCTGAGGCCCTTGAGCATCACAGTGTTTCCAAATCCTGGGTGCATTCCTGTTACTGGCAGAACTATACTTCTCTAGGGAAAAGTTTTCCAACTTGGCTCCACAGAAGTTCACTGATGAACAGCAAGCAATGCATGCACAGTCAAACACTTCCAAGCGCTCAAGCATCAAAGAAAGCAAATCACAATGAGACAACAAAGGGCAAACTTTGATACCCTCCTGGGACAACATGTCTTGGAATCTAGAACATTAGTGTATGAAACATTTAAAGAAATTATCAACACAGTCATATAGATGAGCACACAACAAGGAACTATTTGAAATAAATAGTTACATTTGGAAATAAAAGAATTTCTAGATATTGAGATATAATCACTGAACTTTTCTAAACAAGTGCAGTTATATAGTTCAACAGCTGATTAGACACAGTGCAGAGACAATTGATGATCTGGAAGACACAGCTAAAGAAAGTAACCAGAATGAAGTCATGAATGACATGTGTGGGGAATATGTGGAAGAAAAACTAAGACATTTGGAGGATGGAATGTGAAGGACAAACATACAGCTACTGGAGTCCCTGGCAAAGAGAATAGCGAAGATACAGTATCTGAAGAGATATTAGCTACAAAATTTCCAGAACGAATGAAAAATATAAATTCACAGATTCAGTAGCACAGTATCTCTCAAAGAAGATTAAAAAGAAATCCACACCTAACATACCAGGCAAAAAGTTCAGAATACTAAAGGCAAGGAGATGATCTCAAAAGTCTTTAGAGAATGAGGACAGCTGACTTGGCTGCAACAATGGCAGTCAGAAAACAGTGGAATAATAGTTTCAAACTGTTGAGAGATGCAACTGTCAACCTAGGGTGTTTCCAGCGTAACTATTTTTCAAGCATCAAGGCGAACGAAGTAAGCTATTTACAGATAAACCAAAAACGGGAGTTTATCACCAAAAAATCTGCTCTAAAGGAACTTTAATCGGGGTCGGGGGTGGGGGGGGTCATAACTTTTGTCATGACAATCTAGTGAAGCCTGTGGATCCCTTCTCAGAATAAGGTTTTTAAAAGCATGAAATAAAACTATTACAGGCCGGGCACAGTGGCTCACGCCTGTAATCCCTGCACTTTGGGAGGCCGAGGCGGGTGGATCACAAGGTCAGGAGATCGAGACCATCCTGGCTAACATGGTGAAACCCCTTCTCCACTAAAAAATACAAAAAAAGGCCGGGCACAGTGGCTCACGCCTGTAATTCCAACACTTTGGGAGGCTGAGGCGGGCAGATCACGAGGTCAGGAGATCGAGACCATCCTGGCTAACACAGTGAAACCCTGTCTCTACTAAAAAATAGGAAAAAAAATTAGCCAGGCATGGTGGCAGGCACCTGTAGTCCCAGCTACTTGGGAGGCTGAGGCAGGAGAATGGCGTGAACCCGGGAGGCGGAGCTTGCGGTGAGCCGAGCTCGTGCCACTGCACTCCAGCCTGGGCGATAGAGCCAGACTCCGTCTCAAAACAACAACAGCAACAAAAAACAAAACCAAAAAAACTATTACAAAGGAAACAAATTATTTTGAAATTTTTAAACTAAAAATATTTTTAAATGTATTATAATAATATATGTGCTACCTAATAACCCACTAAGTAACAAAATCCAGCAGCTACCCTAATGTCAGAGTAGATACCCGTAAGAGGAGGCAGCATCTTACAGGGCAGGCCCTGGACAAATGAGTTTGTTACCAAGCACTTAAGAGAGAATGTGCATCAAAGAAGCATGCATTGCATCAGAACAGACCATGGTGTATTTCACCTTTCAGTATCTTTTGACTCATGAGTTATTTAGAATATTTTAAAACACTTCAACACTAAGGAGTTTTTTCTCTTTCATGAGGTGATCTTTGTCATCAATTTATAGTTTTGCTTCTGCTTGAGAAGATAATGAAAGCTGCAGAGTTCTTTTTCTATCAGTAGGTTGAGAAGAAAGGTAACTTTTCTCAGGGACATTATGAGTGTGATGTGTTGGTGCAGCCCCTGAAGGGAAATGGTGTGGAGGATGTTTGGACCACAGCCTGGGATGAAAGGCTGGGAGAGGGAATGGTGAGTTGGAAGTTGCCCTAAGGAGAGGGGGCAGAAAGCATGGACAGGGTGGGGGTAGCAATGAGTGTGTCCTCAAAGGTAGAGACAGATGGTAGAGGCCTGCATGCCTCGTGAGCCTTCTGTGGCCCCAGCAAGACTCAGAGAAAGAAAGCCACACCCAAAGCAAGGAGAATTGACGGAGGGTGAAGTAGGAAGATCAGCTGCTCCAGGAGGCTGTAGGAGGAATATTGCACAGAGCTGCAGTCCAGGAGGTTTGGAAGATGGGGGGTTGGTGGACTCAGAATATTATTTGCTCTGTTTTTGCAACAATTCTTTCCACACACAGTGAATGCTGGCTTCTTAGTGGTAAATTGATATCTCTGTAGCTATTGGGCACCCATCTGCCATATGTTTCATGAAAGTAATTTACTTGGCTTTCAAGACTGCGTTCTAGAAGGACTTGCTTCACTATCAGTTGCCTTTGGACCAGACTTTATGATCTGAAGAACATTCTTGATTTTAGGAAGTAAAAGAACTTTTCAGTGTTAGAGGACAAGATTTAAAGAGCTAATTTATTCCAGACCTCTGTGTCCAGGCAGGGTACCAATCAAATGGGCAGGTCTTTGACTCTAAGGATGCCATTATTTCCCGGCAGCCTGTTATCCCTTGTCATCAGCCTCAACAGCAGGAAGTTCTGTCTCTGTTCTGATTTTATCTCTTGCCTCTATTAGGCTGGGTGGGGAAGTGGAGAAAAGAGCGAGTTGGCGTCCTTGTGACAACTCATGGTGCTCGCAAGGTTCGGCCTCCTCTCCTTGAGCAATATCATGCCTTTTCCAATCTATTTGGCTTTTTTTCCACAGCTATTTAATTCTATGTTACTCTTCCCCAACCCTCTTCGTTTTCTCCATATTCTTTGTGAACTGTGGACTCTGAATAATGATACCTGTAAATTAAACGGGATGAAGGTTTCATGATGTGGTAATTTCATGGCTAACTAGATTCATGACCCTTTTTCTCATGAGAGTGGTGCAAAATCAACCTACAGGATTACTGACATGTCAGAATGTGCAACATAATCCTTGCTGGTAGCTGGAATTGAGCAAAAACAGTTCAAGATCCGATGGTTTCAGAGCAGAGGCTCTGAGCTGCTTTTACATCAACCGCCCTTGGTCTCCAGTGGGCCAGAGCTGGCCTCTCCAGGGAGGAGGCACACCAGCACCTGGGCCGTGAAAAGCCTCCCTCAAGCCATTCTGCAGGCCCTCCGTCATTAGGGTTAAGCCTCCTCTCCCTGAGCAATATCATGCCTTTCCCAATCTATTTGGCCTTCGTATTTGGACCTGTGTCAGTGTTTCCGGTATCAGGGAGGGGTGGGGGGAGTGAAGTCTGTGCTGCCCCTCCTGGAGAGGTCTGGGGAGAAAGCAGATGTTTTGAAAAAATGATCCAGTGTCCCACTCCCGAAGAAACAAATAAACAAATAATGAATTGAGGCCAGAGTGGCAGGTGGCTGGAGTCACAATGACAGGGAGCAGCGTCAGGCGGCATGTGGCTGGAGAAGGGACTTGCCCTGAGCATGAGTGTCCACCATAGCACTGTGGCTGAGCCTGATGCCCACGGCAAGGTAGGGGCTTGGCCTGGGATTTCTACTGTGCTGTGAGCTGAGGCCCTCGAGCATCACAGTGTTTCCAAATCCTGGGTGCATTCCTGTTACTGGCAGAACTATACCTTTCTAGGGAAAAGTTTTCCAACTTGGCTCCACAGAAGCTCACTGATGAACAGCAAGCAATGCATGCACAGTCAGTTCCAAGCGCTCAAGCATTGGTGTTGGGAGCTGTGTCAGTGTTTCCAGGATTGGGGAGGGGTGTGGGGAGGGAAGCCTGTGCTGCCCCTCCTGGAGAGGTCTGGGGAGAAAGCAGATGTTTTGGAACAACAATCCAGTGTCCCACTTGGGATGTCGTAGTGTCTTAGTCTACTTAGGCTGCCATAACGAAATAGCATAGACTAGGTGACCTAACAGAAATTTATTTTCTCGCAGTTTGTGAAGCTGGAAAGTCTGAAATCAGGGTGTCAGCAAGCTTGGTTTCTGGTGAGGGCTCCTTCCTGACTTGCATTCTTTTTTTTTTTTTCATAGTTCCTGAATATTTTAATTATTATTATTGTTTTTTTAAATTATACTTTAAGTTCTAGGGTACATGTGCACAACGTGCAGGTTTGTTACATATGTATACATGTGCCATGTTGGTGTGCTGCATCCATTAACTCGTCATTTACATTAGGTATATCTCCTAATGTTTTCCCTCCCCCCTCCCCCCACCCCACAACAGGCCCCGGTGTGTGATGTTCCCCTTCCTGTGTCCAAGTGTTCTCATTGTTCAATTCCCACCTATGAGTGAGAACATGCAGTGTTTGGTTTTTTGTCCTTGCGATAGTTTGCTGAGAATGATGGTTTCCAGCTTCATCCATGTCTCTACAAAGGACATGAACTCATCCTTTTTTATGGCTACATAGTATTCCATGTTGTATATGTGGCATATTTTCTTAATCCAGTCTATCATTGATGGACATTTGGGTTAGTTCCAAGTCTTTGCTATTGTGAATAGTGCTGCAATAAACGTGTGTGCATGTGTCTTTATAGCAGCATGATTTATAATCCTTTGGGTATATACCCAGTAATGGGATGTCTGGGTCAAATGGTATTTCTAGTTCTAGATCCCTGAGGAATTGCCACACTGTCTTCCACAATGGTTGAACTAGTTTACAGTCCCACAACAGTGTAAAAGTGTTCCTATTTCTCTACGTCCTCTCCGGCACCTGTTGTTTCCTGACTTTTTAATTATGGCCATTCTAACTGGTGTGAGATGGCATCTCATTGTGGTTTTGATTTGCATTTCTCTGATGGCCAGTGATGATGAGCATTTTTTCATGTGTCTGTTGGCTGCATAAATGTCTTTTGAGAAGTGTCTGTTCATACCCTTCACCCACTTGTTGATAGGGTTGTTTGTTTTTTTCTTGTAAATTTGTTTGAGTTCTTTGTAGATTCTGGATATGAGCCCTTTGGCAGATGAGTAGATTGCAAAAATTTTCTCCCATTCTGTAGGTTGCCTGTTCACTCTGATGGTAGTTTCTTTTGCTGTGCAGAAGCTCTTTAGTTTAATTAGATCCCATTTGTCAATTTTGGCTTTTGTTGCCATTGCTTTTGGTGTTTTAGACATGAAGTCCTTGCCGATGCCTATGTCCTGAATGGTATTGCCTAGGTTTTCTTCTAGGGTTTTTATGGTTTTAGGTCTAACATATAAGTCTTTAATCCATCTTGAATTAATTTTTGTATAAGGTATAAGGAAGGGATCCAGTTTCAGCTTTCTACGTATGGCTAGCCAGTTTTCCCAGCACCATTTTTAAATAGGGAATCCTTTCCCCATTTCTTGTTTTTGTCAGGTTTGTCAAAGATCAGATGGTTGTAGATGTGTGGTATTATTTCTGAGGGCTCTGTTCTGTTCCATTGGTCTGTATCTCTGTTTTGGTACCAGTACCATGCTGTTTTGGTTACTGTAGCCTTGTAGTATAGTTTGAAGTCAGGTAGTGTGATGCCTCCAGCTTTGTTCTTTTGGCTTAGGATTGACTTGGCAATGCAGGCTCTTTTTTGGTTCCATATGAACTTTAAAGTAGTTTTTTCCAATTCTGTGAAGAAAGTCATTGGTAGCTTGATGGGGATGGCATTGAATCTATAAATTACCTTCGGCATTATGTCCATTTTCACGATATTGATTCTTCCTATCCATGAGCATGGAATGTTCTTCCATTTGTTTGTATCCTCTTTTATTTCGTTGAGCAGTGGTTTGTAGTTGTCCTTGAAGAGGTCCTTCACATCCCTTGTAAGTTGGATTCCTAGGTATTTTATTCTCTTTGAATCAATTGTGAATGGGAGTTCACTCATGATTTGGCTCTCTTTTTGTCTGTTATTCAACATATGCAAATCAATAAATGTAATCCAGCATATAAACAGAACCAAAGACAAAAACCACATGATTATCTCAATAGATGCAGAAAAGGCCTTTGACAAAATTCAACAGCCCTTCATGCTAAAAACTCTCAATAAATTAGGTATTGATGTGATGTATCTCAAAATAATAAGAGCCATCTATGACAAACCCACAGCCAATATCATACTGAATGGGCAAAAACTGGAAGCATTCCCTTTGAAAACTGGCACAAGACAGGGATGCCCTCTCTCACCACTCCTATTCAACATAGTGTTGGAAGTTCTGGCCAGGGCAGTCAGGCAGGAGAAAGAAATAAAGGGTATTCAATTAGGAAAAGAGGAAGTCAAATTGTCCCTGTTTGCAAATGACATGATTGTATATTTAGAAAACCCCATGGTCTCAGCCCAAAATCTCCTTAAGCTGATAAGCAACTTCAGCAAAGTCTCAGGATACAAAATCAATGTGCAAAATTCACAAGCATTTTTATACACCAATAACTGACTTGCACTCTGAATGGTCTGCCTCATTGTGTGTGTGCGGAGAGCGTGAGAGCTCGCTTTCTCCTCGTGTAGAGCTACCAGTCCCATTGTGAAGGCGTCATCCTCATGACCCAGTCTAATCCTAATCACCTCCCAGAGGCCCCATCTCCAAATACCATTACATTGCGGGTTAGGGATTCAACATCTCCAATTGGGGGGTCACATACATTTAGTCCCTAACAATTGTTTTCTGTTGCTGTGTAGCAAATGACCATAAACTTTGCAGCTTGACACAACACTCACTTAATACCTCATAGTTTTCTTGGGTTAGGAGTCTGGACCTTGCTTAGTAGAGTTGAAACCGGAGGAGTTCCCTTATCCGCCTCACCGGGCGTGTGACAAGGGTGTGGTTCGCTTCTTCGGTGCCCCGCTGTTCAAACTCCAAGGGGGAACATGAAGATGGGTAGGTTTTGGGGAGTGTTTTGGGGCTCCATCTCCACGGCATCGTCTAGGGTTGAGTGTTTGCAGGTCCCAAAGCCTCAGTGGGTGTGTGTTACAGAGTGCTCTTTCAGTTTTGCCATCTGCAGGCAGCTTGTGTTAATCAGCTCAGTTAGACCCTCTGCCTTATCACAAGGACAGAGGGCTTTCTGTATCCTGGTTCTTGCCCTAGTGTACAGGAAAAATCAGATCACACATGGGCTTGGAGGATGGGTGCGAGGTTTAATTGAGTGGTGGAGGTAGCTCTCAGCGAAGTGGATGGGGAGCAAAACGGGGATGGAGTGGGAAGGTGTCTTCCCCTGGAGTCAGGCCGGCCAGTGGCTGGACTCTCCTCCGACTGCCCTCGACCAAATTCTGTGTCATCCCGCCGTCAGTGGCCTGCCAGTGTCTGCTGGTGTCTGTTGGTGTGCCCTTCTCCTCCTTTCAACATCCAGCTGCTTGTGTCCATGCCCACTATGGTCTCAGATTTTTATGGGCACAGGATGGGGGGCATGGGAGGCCAGAGTGGTCTTGGAAGATGCAACATTTGGGCATGAAAACAGGACTGCCCGTTCTCACTTAGGTCCATGGGCACAGGCCTGAGGGTGGAGCCCTCGCCAGGCACCCCACCCTTCTCTACCCAGCATTTCCTTGCCCCCCTCCCATAGAAGAGTCACCTGGCCAGGTTTCACAAGGCTGCAACCAGAGTGTTGCTGGGGCCATGTTATTTGAACATGTCCCTGGGGGAAGACCACAAGAGTGACAGCCCATCATATTCTTACTCAGGGGAGAGCATTCTGTAAGGCCAGGGGTCACCAGGGGTCATTTTAGAATTCTGCCTGCCACGCCAAGTTTAATGGCTTTATTCTTTTGCTTTGTGTAGGAGAATTTGATCCATTCCTAGTTGTAGTTATTAATGATACTTGGAAATGCACATTGTCTTCAGTGAGCAAGTCACCCGTGTTTGTTGAAAGTCAAATTCTGTGAGGGGATTTGTGGAATGATAGCTTTGCTTATGGGAATGGGGAAGGTCAAGAACTCTCCCTGTAGCTTAATAAGATAAAAGCAATATTAACTTCCTTCAGGCTTAGAAGTAGGTGGAGTAGTGGCTACGATTTGGAAGTTTTATGTACTTCCAGTGAAATTCCTGCTACAAGCGACTTAGTCACTGTAGAATTTTGATAGTTTAATACACTTCAGCTGAGAAGAGGTCAAGGCGTTCAATCTGAGTTTATTAAAGATGCCTGCAGGACTCTGGTGGTAGTTTGGGGATCTGATGGGCCCCCTGGGCTCTTGAATTCCTAGGCTCTTCGTGAGTGAGGAGGGTGGGGCCATGGTTGAAGAACGGGTAAGATTTCATCTGCTAGACATGGGAAGTAGAAGACGCCATTTTCTAGGGGATGTTTCTTCTCACCATCTGTCCAGGCTTAGTCTGCGTGAGGCCAGTGTTGGGGCGTGTGGAAAAATGGAAGACACTTTTTGGAAGTTTCATCCTAGGCAGATGGCAGAGTCAGAGCCAGAGCCCCGGAATGTGGCCCTCAACTTGAGGGATAAGAAGAGTCGGGGGCTGAGGCTGGGGCCGGGAGGGCTGGGGACAGGAAGGGAGTGCTGGAAGATGGGGGCTGTCTCGGAGGTTGGGTGTGGAGGGAAGACAGCCCACAGAGCTCTGTGGCTTGTAGGTGAGTCACACAGTGGCTGCTGTGCAGTTTCCTCCCTTGCCAGCCTCCCTGGAGGTGCCCAGAGTGGCCTGGACAGGAGTGGGGCCACCAAGGGAGGTGCCTCCAGTGCTGGAAAATCAGGGACCTAGCTTTGTGGTCTAAATTGTCAGGCCAGGGAGATGCGGTTTGTTTGGTGGAGGCATCCAGGATGGCTTCAGTGGGGAGGGAGGAGGTGGAGACAAGAGCGAGTGGACAAGGCTGTCATCGGGCAGGTGAAACAGGAGCGTGCCGGCAGAGGGCAGAGAGATGAACCGGGAAATGGAGGGTGCTGAGCAGAAGAATGGATCCTGCTTAGTGACGGAGTGGCCCCTGAACTATATACCATGAGCTCAAAACATGATGGCATTATGGTCAGAAATTTTGAATTCACAAAAAGAAGAAAGTGGGTGTGGAGGAGTGAAGTCAGGGTCTGAAATGTCAAACATGAAATGATGGTGAGAGCTCCGGCGGGAATGGTCATCTCCTTCCAAGAAAGGCCGGTGTCCTCTGACTGTGAAATGACATGGGAACATGGTGTGCCCACTGGGTTCAAATGTTGGGTACAGAAGGCAAGAGAGAGGTTTCAGGGGCATTTGGAAGGAGAGTTAGTGAGACACAGCCCCTGAGAGACACGAGAGACATTGGTCAAGGATTTCCCTAGGGCTGGAACTGGACTGCGAGGCAAGGAGCCTGGGTGGCATGGCCATGGGAGGGGACCCGGGCGGTGGGAAATGGCTGTAAATAATGTCTGTCGCCGGTAACTGTGTTTGGAGGACTTGTGAGCGTTGCAGAAAAAATACACGTGTGAGAGGCTTGGGAGCAGAGCCCTGGTGTGCGTGCTTTGGTTCATGTTTTTGTTGTTGTTTTGTTGTTTTGTGGCCAGATGTTTTTGATACTAGACTAGCATGGTGCAGGATGTGATAGTGGCTGCTGTGTCTGAGACCTGGTTCTGCCCCCTGTGGAGGTGGTTGAGGGTGAACTGCAGTCTGTGACCAAGGGTACCTTGTGAGTTTGTCAGCATCATGCCCTCCTCCCGGGTCTGGCCAGTGCTTTTGGAGTCTCAGGGGACATGCAGCCAAGCCCTTCCAGCCAGTGCCCGGATGCCTGGCTTGTGCCCACAGTGGCAAGCGTGAGCAATTTGTCTTCACAGGAGACCTGGTCTGCAAACACCTTCCTTTTAATTCGGCCTTCTCACATGCTGCCCTGTTGAGTGAGCCTTAGCCTCCTGTTCCTCCCTGGTTGGACATGGGGGTAAGGGAGAGGGAAAGATCTCCAGGATTTCGGCTTGAGTGACGGGGAAGAAGAGGTACTCTTGTGGAGAGCAGAGGTTGCAAGAGGAAGTGTGGGCTTCTGAGGTGGAGGCTGCAGCTGCATTTTTGGACATGTTGGGTTGGACAGATGCCAGGAGCAGAGCCTGTGGACGGTGTGATGCCGTGGCCATGGCAAAGCCCTGGGCTGAGAATCACCTGTGCAGATACCAGTGGATGGTACTCGAGGAGCCTCAGGACAGCCACCACAGAGCCCTGGGGAGAGGAGACAAAGGGCTCAGGAGACAGGTGTTGGGAAACCAGGAAGAGGTTGGGGAGAGGGAGGAGGCCAGGAGGGAGGCTGTGGAGGAGAGCGGCCCCTGGGAAGTGGGAAGAACCGCAGGGGAGTGAGAAGCCACAGGAGCCCAGATGGGAGGGAGCCTCAGCCCTCAGCCGGGTGATGGGGACCGAGCTTTGTCTGTCGCACTTGGTGACTGCTGGGGAACCTTGGGAGAAGTTTCCTTGGAGTTGTGGGGCTGAAGCCAGATAGATGGTAGTGGGTGGGAAGTGACTGTGTCTTCATGATCCATTGGCCCTTCCTGGACACCAGGAAATCAGGAATGTGGGGATCAGAGCCAGTGTCATCCTCAGGTTGCCTGGCCTCAGGAGGCCGCCTAGGAGACAGGCAGGCCAGGAGCTGGACACAGGGCTAAGCAGTGGTTCTTCTAAGGGACAGAAGTCACAGTGTATTCATGTGATCAGGACAGTAGGGAGGAGGCAGGAGAGAGGGGATGACTTCTGGTGAGACCCCAGGCAAGGTCAAGGGCAGGACTTGGCCTGGGAAAGGAGTGGGCTGCTTGGAGTCAGGGCCTAGAAAGTTCTGGAGCCTCATCAGAAGACACTGCCTATGTACGGGTGAGGTGGGAAGCTGTGATGAGTGAAGGGGAGGGGCTCGCAGGGGCTGGAGGGGAGAGAAGGGTGTGCATCAGGGGAGCCAAGTGTGTATAGGGCAGAAGGAGCCTGCAGGGTCTGCCATGCCCAGGGTCCATGCAACCATGGCAGGTGGCCAGGTGGCCCGTGGGTGGGGTTGCATTTGCCTTTTCCCCAAATAGTGTTCTCTGTGATTTTTTTTTTTTTTTTGAGATGGAGTCTCGCTCTGCCTCCCAGGCTGGAGTGCAGTGGTGTGATCTTGGCTCACTGCAACCTCTGCCTCCCAGGTTCAAGTGATTCTCGTGCCTCAGCCTCCCGAGTAGCTAGGAATACAAGCGTGTGCCTAGCACAGCCAAATCACATCGAGGACCAGGGTGGGGTGTTTCAGAAAGCCTGTCACTCTCGGGCCACCTAGTGCAGTGCACAAAGTGACCCCTCCATAGCACCCTGGTGCCCTGAGAGACCAATGTGCCTCTCAGAGTGGGTGCAAGCTGTGAAAATGCAGCTCATGGTAGCCCCGCCACTGTGTGTGTGCTGTGTTCCACACGTCCTTCTCCGGGTTGAAACGGTTCACAGTGTTTTGATTGCCCATGCAAGGTTTCGGAAGCATCTCACCTTCCTGTATCTTTTGTCCTTCCAGGTGCTGCTGTCGGGACTCATAGGTGTCGTCTCCTGGAAGAGGCCTCTCTCCCTTGTGGTAAGTGGCACCTGCGTCTCCAGGTGGCCTTGGAGCAGGGTTCCACCTTCAGATGCGTGAGCAGGTTGGAGGCAGTGGCGAAGAGAATTCCAACTTCTTTTCAGGCAGCGGGAAGCAGAGCTTGATAAAATCTCACTGCTGAATGCTGATGGGCTTGTGAGAAGCACTGTGTTTCTCATGGGAGGTGCTTCTGAGAGCGCTCCTCAGTGTCTTGCTGAGATGCTCCGAGGGCATCCTCTTTGTGTTTGTTTTGTTTTGCTGTCCTCCTGTAAGGACCGAGCGTGAACCAAGGGCTTTTTTTTTTTTTTTTTTTTTTTTTGAGACAGAGTCTCGCTCTGTCACCTAGCCTGGAGTGCAATGGCATGATCTCGGCTCACTGCAACCTCTGCCTCCCAGGTTCAAATGATTCTCTGCCTCAGCCTCCTGAATAGCTGGAATTACAGGTGCCTGCCACCATGCCCGGCTAATTTTTTTGTGTTTTTAGTAGAGATGGGGTTTCACCATCTTGGCCAGGCTGGTCTGGAACTCCTGAACTCGTGATCCACCCACCTTGGCCTCCCAAAGTGCTGGGATTACAGGCATGAGCCACTGCGCCTGGCCAACAAGGGCATTTTAAAAGTGTGGATGCGGCTTGGCGCAGGTTCACGCCTGTAATCCCAGCACTTTGGGGTGCCGAGGCGGGCAGATAATGAGTCAGGAGCTCGAGACCAGCCTGGCCAACATGGTGAAACCCCATCTCTACTAAAATTAGAAAAATTAGCCGGGGAATGTTGGCGGGTGTCTGTAATCCCAGCTACTGGGGAGACTGAGGCAGGAGAATTGCTTGAACCCGGGAGGTAGAGGTTGCAGTGAGCCGAGATCGCGCCACACCACTGCACTCCAGCCTGGTGCAGAGAGAGAATCCATCTCAAAAAAAAAAAAAAAAAAGTGTGGATGCATGCATTTCATCTAGACATTAAAGCCTGTTTATGCACTATACATGCATATGTATGATCGCACAAGCAAAATATATGTTATCAGAGTTCAAGAAATGTTAGATTTTTGTGTTTTTGGGGGAACCCTAAAATTCTGTGAGTAAAATAAAAAGAGTTACTTGAATTGCCGTGGCATTGTGCTGAGGAGCAGGCCACGCGGGAGATGGAGAGAGGTTAATGGTTTTTCCCTCGGAAAAATGCCCTGAGCAGATTTGTGTCTATTGATTTGTATGCCTGTTCTTCTCAGTGTATGCATTAATATATGTATGTGTCTGTGTCAGGACTAGAGGAAGAGGTTTTCTGGGTTTTGATAGATAATGAAAAAGACAGCGTGGCATTTTTCTTCTTTTATATTAATCAATTATTTAAAATCTCCTCTTTAAGTGATTAGACTTGGAGATAATGACATGTAGTAAATATTAATGGGAATAGAAAAATAACCCACATTTGTCTATTAAAAACACCTCTTCCTTCATGAGAGTAACCATGACGCCCTGAAATGGTATCAGGGAAGACAGGAGTGGCCTTAGAGTCAGGTGAGGCTCCTCTTCTGCTGTATCTCGGCTCATATAAGGAATTTCCTTTTAGAAAAATATTTTTATTTAGAACTTTTCAAACATACGTAAAAGTAAACAGACTGCTGTCATGAACCCCTGTGTACTCCTCTTCTGGCTTCAACAGATGCCAACATCTGGCCCATCTTGTTTTGTCACTATCTCCCCACCCCCCACCTCCCCCCAGCCCCTTGCTGGATTATTTTGAAGCTGGCTCTTGGTGCCAAGGGGAAATGCAGTGAATAGGCTGACTGTGGGGTTGACATCCTCGGGGTATGCAGTGTGGTGACTGCGCTGCCTTCAGTGACATGGGGACAGCTGCCTCCTCACTCCACACCCACCTTCATGGTGCAGACAGATTAAGCTCTCTAAACAAAGGAAAAGCCGCCTTCCGCAGAGTGGGTGTGTGAATGAAAAGACAAGAGAGAAATGACGTCCATCACCCAATCACCCCCGCGCGCCACCCCCAGCCCTGGCCTCAGCATCAGGAATCTCACAGGGCTGGGCATTTTACCATGCAGGATGCATAAGCTTATAGCTGACGAGGAGTTAGGACCCCTTATGGTGGTGGCTGAGGAGTGTCCCAGGGAAGCCAGGGAAGCAGGCTGGGGTCTCAGGACTCATCCCAGTGGGGGGATGTAGCAGCAGCTGGACCTACAGGAGTAGAATGTTCAGAGTGCTCGCTCCCCAGCCCTGCCGCATAGTTGGAGCAGGGCCAGTCTGCTCTCTGGGAGGTGGTCAGCACTGACCTTCCATGGACTAATTTCTTCCCAAGCCCCAGGCAGAGGAGAAGGGGTTCATGTGGCTTGACTGACTTCCTTGCCTTATGTAGGGAGGTTAGGGTATCATTAGGGTGACACTAATTGCTGGAGCAACCTCCTGACTATCAGTGGCTCAGTTCAGGGCAAGGCTACCCTGGCCCCTGTCCAGGTCAGGCGTGGCCTGTGGCAGGCTTCACAGAGGGGCTCAGGGACCTGGCAAGTCAGTGAAAGGGAATAGAGAACAGAAAAGGAACCCTAGCAGTTTAATTTTCTTGGCCTGAAACTGACATTCATTGCTTGCCTTTCAAGCCATTCAGGAGAGCCTGTCATGAGGCCCATCTAGGAACCTGTGGCAGGCACTGCCTCTCTGGACAGGCACTTCCCAGAGGCAGTTCTGCACTGCAGACGGAAGTGTATGGATTTTGCTGGGTAGTTTTTTATCTGTACCATGAGAATGTTCTTCTGCTGTGTTGACCACAACAGTGCAATCTTTTGGTTCATTAGCAAAAACTCACTCTCTGAATCATGACCATTGAGATAGCCTCGGCTTTGGCTTTATGAGGAGTAAAGGCATTCACAATAGATGCAAGGAAAATCTACAATATAAAGTTCTATTAGGGTGCTTTAGAAAAACATAACCAATGGGAGATATACAGATATAGAGGCAGATATAGATAGATATACACACGCATACACAGATGTATATATATATCTAGGTTATAAATTTTATATATGTATGTATATGTATATAGACAGATTTATTTATTTTAAAGAATTGGCTCACGCAGTTGTGGGAACGGGCAATTCGAAAGTCTGCAGTGCTGGCCCGCAGGCTGGAGATGGAGGGAAGAGCTGAGGCTGCAGCTTTAGCCTGAAGGGAGGCAGCAGGTGGAATTCCCTCCTCCCTGTAGCAGGTCCGTCATTTTCTCTTCTTTCCACTGACTGGTTGCAGCCCACTACATTATGGAGGGTAATCTGCTTTGTTCAAGGTCTACTTAAAACTTAATCTCATCTACAAAAATACTTTCACAGCAACATCCAAACTAGTGTTTGACCACATATCTGGGTACTGTGGTCTAGCCGAGTTGACTAAGGAACCATCAGGAACCATCACCGCAGAGTTTTGGAAATGTGACCAAAGATGTTCTATCCAGAATAATACCAAAGAAAATACTGTAAACAATGATGGTAACCATTCATCGAGTGGGACCTGTATGTCCTTATCCTCACAACAGTCCTGGCAAGAGTAGGTTTTCCTACTCTTTTTTTTTTTTAAGAGTTTTTAAAGTTCAAAAGAGTTTTTTTAAAAAAGGTTTTTAAAGCGAGGCCAAGGCTTCCACACCTTAAGTAATGAGCTAGGACTTGAACCCAAACCTCTCTGACTCCCAAATCCTCCTTTGTTCCAGCCAACTGTAGTCTGTGTGGACATTATCTTTCTTCTCTAATTAGGTATCACATGACTTACATTCCTTCAACCTCATCTTCTTGTCCCTTTGTATTTTCTGTCTCAGTTGATGACACCACCGCCTACCCATTCTAGAAACTGGGGAGACACTCAGACATCCTTCTCCTTCCTCACCCATCATACTTATTCACAAGCTCTCTCCTTGTGGCTCATTTTTTTATTATTATTATTATTATTATTATTATTATTATTATTATTATTATTATTATTTTTGAGACAGAGTCTCACTCTGTTGCCCAGGCTGGAGGGCAATGGTACGATCTTGGCTCACTGCAACCTCTGCCACCCGGGTTCAAGCGATTCTCTTGCCTCAGCTGCCTGAGTAGCTGGGATTAAAGGTGTGCGCACCACGCCCAGCTAATTTTTGTATTTTCAGTAGAGACAGGGTTTCTCCATGTTGGTCAGGCTGGTCTCAAACTCCTGATCTCGTGATCCGCCCACCTTGGCCTCCCAAAGTGCTGGAATTACAGGTGTAAGCCACTGCGCCTGGCCGTGACTCATTTTATTTGTATGCAGCTGCCCCTGTCTTCTCTCTGCCTTGAGCCACCATTCTAGGGCAGGTCCTTGCCTGGCATCTCATATAGTAGCCTCCTAACAGATCTGTGTGCCAAA
Source organism: Homo sapiens (assembly GCF_000001405.40). Taxonomy (NCBI): domain Eukaryota; kingdom Metazoa; phylum Chordata; class Mammalia; order Primates; family Hominidae; genus Homo; species Homo sapiens. Next base: position 1,652,910 of record NT_187660.1, on the reverse strand, counting down.
AAGCTGGCTCTTCTCCAATCCGTTCTCCACACACACACAGATGCCGTGGGTGGTATGTAAAGTGTCTGCCAGCCTGTGTCACTCCCCTTCGTTAAGCCCTTCATGGTTTCCCAGGGACCACAAAATGGAACTGAGGTTTTCCAGATGACGTGTGAGACCTTATGCAAGGAAAGGAAGACCTAGAAAGCAAAGTACCCTGCCCTGGGACTTAGCACTAGCATGACTTGAAGTCTTGATTTCAATGATTTTTAAAATAAAAGCTCCTGCTTTTATTGTCTGTGCTAATGATTTGTTTTTTTTTCTTCCTGGAGGTGTCAACTAAAGATGCAGCAGTGAGTTTTCTAGTTCATTCCCAGGGGGGCACACTGGCCTGCCCTCCCCCCAACTCCTTCCATAAACACCACACAGTCAGTTGCCCTCTCTGAAAGGGGCGTATCCCTCAGGATAGTGAGAAGAAGCAGTTTTGGGCCCACAGCTCCAAGGTCTTTGCAGCCACTCCATTCGCCCTGCAGGCCTGGCTGGCTGAGTACAGGCATGAGTGGCCCCTGCTGCTGGAGCGTTTTGGTGCTGCCATTGCTCTCCTGGCAGCAGCTTTCCTCTGCAGGGCTCCCAAGCACAAGGCCATCCGGAGCCCTGCTGCAGCTCCTTCTTTTCATCATTCTGCGCTTACAGACACACAGAGCGAGATGAAGGAGAGCTGTACAGTCCCTGCCGGAGTGACTGATGTGCGGGAGGGCAAAGAGAGGGGAGCAGCAGCTCACTGTGAGCACTCAGTGAGGGAGGCCTCCCTTTGTAGGCTGGCGAATGCAATGTCGGAGGGGAAGAAGGGAAATGCTGTGTGTGTGTGTGTGTGTGTGTGTGTGTGTGTGTTTACCATAGTGTTTTATAAGTGCCTTTCTAAATGCTGAAAACTAGCGACATGAATAAAGAATATGTATTTTCACATTACTGGGATAGTTTTTTTTTTAAATCTGTTCTTAGTGTCTTCTATGATTGAGATCATTGTCTTCCTTACATTAAACTATAACGGGTTCTATATTATGCTGGATGCCAATTAGAAATCAGATTATATAGCTCTGATTAGATGATTTTTTGAAAGATTCAGTGAACCATCTTGTGATGGCTTATGTATGAATAATGGAAACAGTCTCCCACAATCACAGGCGGTATAAGTTTTAAAACCTTGAGTACAGTAGCACTGAACTGGATATTAGATTATTCATAATAACTAATACTGTTGAGAAACTAATAACCATGGAGTTGAAAACATTTTTTAGAATTTATTTTTACCAATAACAAATTAGTTACAGTTTAGGACAGTTTTTTTTTTTAAAGCAAAGTAAATCTACTTTAAGAAGCACTAATCTATGGGAATATGAGTACCATATAGATCCAATAATGTGTTTAGTATTGTTTGCATTTTATATTACATTGTTTGAGGGATCTGGCTTTTTGCCTTACTCAGATGGTGGTTTATTTTTATTGCTAAGCTTTATCAACCCAGACAGAAACGTGTATCCATCACGGCTCAATCAGAGAAACAGGGCTTTTCAGAGCCAACACCAAAGATCTCGGTGAGCCAGTCTACTCTGATGGCTGCTTTGGCTCTCTGTGCTTCACAGTAACCACATCCACCATGCCTTTGGCAATTAAGAGCTGCCACCTGGCCCCTGCAACCCTGGGGTCTCATCATCTTCATTGCATTTAGGGACCCTAGTTAGATGGCAGCACAGAAATTCCAACTGTAATTTGTGGCCTCCAGGAAGAGTTCAGGGATGCTGAGGTTCCTCTCGCGTATTTATTTCTCATAACTGTAGAGAAAGGTGTGCCTCTGGATCCTCTGGGGATGGATTGCTGCAGCCTCCTGTTGTGAGAAGGTTTCTAGGCCACAGCACAGGAACCTGGGAAGAGCCTGGCAGTCCTGCTGAGTTAAGGAGGCTATACTGAGCCTGGGAGTCCAAGGTGGCTAGAATTTGCAGAACAAAGTGCCAGAGAGGAAAGACTTACTCAAGTAGAGGGTTCTGGAGATTTGGAGAGGAAGCCCTGTGAATATTCAGCTGCTACTGATCAGCTCTTGCATGTAGGTAGAGAAACTGAGGCCATGAAAGAACTATCTGAGAGGACTAGAGACAAAAGTGCCAGTCACAAAATTAGGGTTTTCCCACCATCCAGATTGGAAACCTCATGATTCACCTGGGCATTGTATACAGCATGCAGAAGAGTTTTACCTCAGTAGTGGAGAATAACTAGCCTTGAGCTAAATGCTGTTCCAGTTCTGCCTAACAGATATTAAAAGCAAGATCCAAAGGAATCAGATAGTTTCCAAGTAATTTACCTGTGTCCCAGAGCAAAGTTTGAGAACGTTCATAGGAATACAAAAGTATCCAGCACCAACTAGATAACATTCCTAATGTCTATCATCTAATCAAAGATTACAGTTATTAAAATTGTATGTTCCAAAAGTTAAGTAGACACATGGAGGTATAAAAAAAACCCAGTTGAACTTCTACTGATGAAAACTACAATGTAAGAGAGAAAAAAATTCACTGGATGAGATTAATGGCAGATTTGAGACAAGAAAAAAGATTAGTGGACTTACAGGCATTGCAATGCAATATACATTCTCCAAAATGAAGAACACAGAGAAAAAACATTTTTTCAACAAAAATATGGAAAAAAATCACAGAGCTTTGTGGAATAATTTCCAGAAACACTAATATATGTGGAATAAGGAGTGAGGGCAAACAGAAAAAATACTTGAAGAAATAGTAGTAATTTTTTTTCAAAATGGAATAAAAACTAGAAACCCACAGATTCAAGAAGCTGAATGCATGCAAAGAACCAAAAATAGGAAAAAAAAATGCACCAATGTATTGTGGGGTTTATAACATTTGAATAAGTAATTGTGTGAAAATACTGTAAAGGAGGGCGGATGGAACTATACAATGTAAGATTCTTAGACTATACTTGATGAAGTCTAATGTCACCTGAAGGTAAACTATGATAAATTAAAGTTGTATACTGTAAAGCTTAAAGCAACCACAAAATAAAACCAAAAACCCCAAAGAGTTGGCTAAGAAACCAACAAAGGAAATGGAATGGAATAATAAAAAATATCCAATTAATGCAAAAGAAGGCAGAAAACAGGAAAAAGGAAACAAAGAATAGATGGGACCGAAACGAAACAAAGAATAAGATTCCATTACCTATTTGAATTTCTTCCATGAATTGCTTGTACATATTTTTTCTGTGAGACTGTGTTACATTGATGTGTGAGATTTCTTTTTTTTAATTTTTAAACTCTAGTATATTAAATATTCATTGTTTTGAATTTAGCAAATGCATAAAAACACAAGACAATTTTTAAAAATCATCCCAGATCCCAACACTTAGAGATAGACAATTATATTTTGCTGTTTTGCCTTCCATTTTTCCCCATGCATACACAGATGCGTACATATTTTTATGAAAATTAGATTCATAGTGCACCTATTTTGTAACCTGCCTTTTTTTTTCTGCTTAGGAGTATTTCATGACTGTTGCTCCATTCACTAATATTTCTTAGTACAAACTGTTTTAAACAGTTGCATATTATTTTGTTGTGTGACTGTATTAACATGTAAGCAATTAGAAAGGGACATTTTAAAAATTGCAAGGAAAGAAGTTGTTTTCGAATACCCTTAAGCAATTTGAAAATAACCATTTAAATCCAAACAATTATATGATTCTTATTTGTCTACAAAAGAAGATTCAATAAAGCAACTCAAGTAGGAGACAATAAAAATAAAAATAAAAGAAAGCAAAATAAAAAAATAATAAAGAGAATGAAAAGAAAGCAAAACAGAAACACAACACAATCTTATAATTTTTCACATGAGGTCTATAGTTTAGTTTTTTGTTAACTCAAATGAATCTGCCTAGTGAGACTAAACTGGAGGAGCCTCCATGTTAGCATTTATCCTACAAGGACCCCAACTCAATCTACTCCAAACCCAAACTAATTTCTTTTTGCTCCCCTATCTCATTAGGAATGTTTCTCCCTTTCCTTCAGTTGCCTTATTCTAAAACCTAAACTCAGGTTCCCTTGGTTCCTTCCTCACCCCGACCTGATTCAATATATTGAACCAAATTATTAATATGTCATTTTCTTACCTTCTAGTCTTTCAAATCACTCCTCTCCTTCACTGTCACTGTCCCTCCTTGGAGGGGACCTCTCCTCATTTCCTTATTTTTATTTTTATTTTTTCTTTTTATTTTTCTTAAGATCATAATACTTTTCTGTTTTAAGTGACTAATATTTTATCCCAGTTTGTCTTGTCAGTTTGTTTGTCTTTTAATTTTTAACAAAGTGTCTTTTTAAAATATACACTGTAAAAGATCTCTCTTGGACCATAATTCTGAAATTATTCACCTGTTTATTTCTAAAATGTTTAATTTTTCTTTTTATGTTTAATTGAATCAAAGCTTATTTTTACATATGGTATGAAGACTCTAACTTTATCTTTTCCTAACGGATGACCATTTTCCCAATATTATTTTTTTTGAACGATTCAGTATTTCTCCTGCCATTTGAAATGTTTTCCACCACCTCACTGCTAGATATGGGTCTGTTTGTTAATCTTTATTTTGTGTAATGAATCTATCAGTTCATTTCTAAGACAACACTACATTGTTTTAACTAGTCCAGCTTTATAATAAGTCAAATGACTTATTTTCACATATTATTTGCTCTTCTGTGCATTCTTCAATAAATTTAGAATGAGTTTGTAAAGTTACACAGTGGCCATGATTTGATTTTGTGATTGCATTGATTTTATAGATTAATTCCTGGAAAATAATATCTATAATATTTAGAGATGGGGATATAGAGTTAACCCTTGAACAACATGGCAGTTAGGGGCACTGACCCCTCATGTAGTTGAAAATTTGCATATAATGTGTGACTCCTCAAAAACTTAACTACAAGTAAGCAACTGCCGACTGGAAGCCTTACTGATCACATAGTCAACTAACACATATTTTGTATGTTAGATGTATTATATGCTGTATTCTTACAATAAAGTAAGCTAGAGAAAAGAAAATATCATTTCAAAAAGTCCTAAGAAATAGAAAATGTATTTACTATTAATTAAGTGGAAGTGGACCATCATAAAGGCCTTCGTCCTCATCGTCATCAGTTGAGTAGGCTGAGGAGGAGGAGGAAGAGGAGGGGTTGGTCTTGCTGTCTCAGGGGTGGCAGAGGTAGAAGAAGATCCATGTGTAAGTGGACCTATGCAGTCCAAACCTGTGTTGTTCAAGAACCAACTGTATTTTCTGCCATAATTTCTGGAAAAATTATGTGTATTGATCTCATACTTGTTTATCACAGACCATAGTGAATTATTAAACTAGTTCTAGTTATTCGTCTATTGGATAGTTCAAGAAAAATTGTTGGGGAAATTTCTTCCATTAATTCTTTGATTGTATCTCTTTATCTATCTATCTATCTATCTATCTATCTATCTATCTATCTATTTATTTATTTTTGCCTTCTCTTACTTGAATTCCTAGTGGATAGATGCTCTACCTTCTAAATTGATCCTATGGGATTCTTAACATTTTCTAATGTTTTCTTTCTCTTTTTCTTTACTTTCTGGGGCACTTCTATTTTATTTTCTAGATAACTACTTTGGATTTCAGCTGTATCCATTCTACTGTTTGATCATTCTGTTGAATTTTTTATTTTGACAGACAGTTATGTTATTTTCTAAGAACTGTGTTTTTCTCTAATTGCTTTTTTTCATAGCAATATGTTCACATTTTATGAAACACTCATTTAATGGGTGCAATCTCCTTCAAGTATATTAATTAGAATTCTGTTTATCAGATATTCTCACCTCCCCCCACAGGTTAACTGGTCTCTTTAATCATCTAGGTCATTATTTATGCTATTTTTTTCCCACTCAATATCAGGCCATCTTTCATTGTCCTATTTATATTTACAAAAGAAGGACTATGTTAATGAAGGTAGAAAGTTGGTGTTGTTGGATTAGTTGGTTTCGTGTGTGTGTGTGTGTGTGTGTGTGTGTGTGTGTGTTTGCGGGGGTGTGGTGGTATGGGAGGGTGGCACAGTTTACCTTTCCTAAACTCCACCCTAGTATGCGTGGTCCAGAATGTGAAGGCCATCTTTGAAAGTGGGAGCTCTGTTGTGCTGACTGGCAAGATCCACTTTAGTCTTCCTGGGGGATGAAGCAGGCTCAAGAGGGAAGAGCTGAGCTTATTTTCCACCAGGTAAAGCTGCCATTTGTCTCTTTCTTCCCCAACTTCAGTGTCCATTGTGAGGGTTCAGAGGTACCTCAAGTTGTGCCTGTCCTGGGCAAATGATGATGATGACAGATGATGATGATGATGATGATGACAACGACAGTAATGGCTAACATTTATAAGTGCCTTTCTAAATGCTGAAAACTAGCGACATGAATAAAGAATATGTATTTTCACATTACTGGGATAGTTTTTTTTTTAAATCTGTTCTTAGTGTCTTCTATGATGTGTTCCAGACACTCTTCCATGATGTGGGTACAGCAAGGTTCAGTCATGTTCAAGGTTTTTTGGAGCGAGTAAGAGGCAGAGCTCAGGTTGAAACCCAGGCTGTATGTTTCAGAGCCCATGCTCTCACACTCTAGGCCCGTGTCTCCTTATCCTGCCTGCACTTCAGAACACCTGGGGCACTTTAAGAAATGTTACTTCAGACTCACTATATCAGGATTTCTTGGCATAGGGCCGGGGTATCTATAGTTTTAGACTCTGTGGATCATTTCAATATGCAGCCAGGATAGAAAACCTGTGGCTTTCTAGGGTGCACTTGATCTCGGTTGCAGTCTTCCGGTTGTCAATAATTTAGGCAAATGACATTTCTCATTTTTCAGTATAGAGCTACCAGCTCAGCTGTTCAGAATGTTGTTCTTTGCTAATTCTTTGCTACTCTGGCACAATTGTTATGTACAAATATGTCTATAATTGTTCTGTATTCTTGAATGATTAAGCCTTTATCATTATAAAATGTCCTTATTTGTTTCTAGTAACAATTTTTGTCTTAAAGATGATTTTGTCTAATACTAGGATAGTTACTCAAACTTCTTTTGGTTAGCATTTGCACAGTATATTATTTTCTACTTTTTACTGACAAACTCTAGTGAATCTCTTATAGACAGTGTGTAATTGGATCATGTTTTTAAAATCCATTCTGAAATTTCTGCCTTTTAATTGGAGAGTTTAATTTTTTAATGTAATTGCTGATGAGGAATTATTATGTCTCCCAGTATGCTATTTGTTTTCTGTATGTCTTACCTTTTGTTGTATGTTGCCATAACAGAATATCTGAGATTGGGTAATTTATTTAAAAAAATAGGTTTATTTAGCTCATGGTTCTGCAGGCTGGGATGTTCAAGATTGGACAATCGCATCTCCTGCTTCTGGTGAGGGCCTTGTGCTTCCTCCAAACATGGCAGATAAAGGGAAAGGCAAAAAGGGAAAAACGTGAGAGGCAACCTCATTTTATAACAATTAACTCTTATCAAAACTAATCCTTTCTGCAGAGAACTAACCCAGTCTTGTGAGAAAGACATTAATCCAACTTAAGTTAATCATTTCTTAAAGACACCACCTCCAAACACTGTTGCATTGGCAATTAAATTTCAACCTGAGTTTTGACTGGGACAAACCACATCCAAACCATAGCATCCATGTAGTTATCTTTAATCATGCTTTTTATGTCTATGTGAGTTTAATTTACTGTCTATCTAGTTTTGCACACGCTCGTGCACCTGGGTGTGTGTGTGTGTGTGTGTGTGTTTAATTTCAGCCTAAAAGACTTCCTTTACTATTTGTTTTAGGGCAGATTCCATAGAGACAAATTATCTCAGCATTGGCTTATCTGGTAATGTCTTGATTTTTTCTTCATTTTCGAGGGATAGTTTTGCTGGATATGAAATTCTTGGTTTACACTTTTTTTTTTCTTGCCATTTGCTCTGCCTCCTGTCCTGCATGTTTTCTAATGAGAAACTAGCTGTTAATCTTATTTGGACCCCTTGTATGTGGTAAGTCACTGATCTTTTGCCTTCAAGCTTCTCTCTTTGGCCTTGGCTTTTGACAGTTTGTTTATGATATGTCTAGGCATGGATCTCTTTGAGTTTATTCTACTCAGATTTCATTCAGCTTGGATGTGTAGATTGTTGTCTTTCATCAAATTTGGGAAGTCTTTGGCCATAGTTTCTTCAAAGGTATTTTCTGCCCTTTTCACTTTCTCTCCTCTCCTGTTGATATACTCCATTGCATGCACTTTGGTACACTTTATGATGGCTCACACACTTCTTAGGATCTGTTCATTTTTCTTCATTGTTTATTCTGCTGCTCAGGCTGGATAACCTCAATTAACCTATCTTTAGGTTAACTGATGACTCTTTCTTTGGTCTACTCAAATCTGCTCTTTAACCCCTATAGAGAGTTTTTTATTTGAGTTATCGTACTTTTCAATCTATAATTTCTATTTGGTTATTTTTTTTTTCAGACAGAGTCTTGTTCTGTCTCTCAGGCTAGAGTGCAGTGGTATGATCATAGCTCACTGCAGCTTTGAACTTTTGGGCCCAGGGGATTCTCCCTCCTGCCTCAGCCTCCTGAGTAGCTGAGATTACAGGTGAGTGCTACCACACCTGGCTAATTTTTGTGTATTTTTTTTGTTAATGATAGTATCTTGCTATGTTGCCCAGGCTGGTCTCAAACTCCTGGCCTCAAGCAGTCCTCCTGCCTCAGTCTCCCAAATTGCTGGGATTACAGGTATGAGCAACCATGCCCAGCCCTATTTGGTTCTTATAATTTCTATCTCTTCATTAATATTTTCTGTTTGGTGAGATATCATTGTCATCTTTTTCTTTAGTTCTTTAGACAGTTTGCTTTAGTTCTTTTAATACGTTTAAATAACTGATTTAAAGTCTTTGTCTTCTAAGTCCACCATGCCTTTCTCAGGGGTCATATATGTGTGTGTGTGTATGTGTGTATATATATGTGTGTGTATGAGATGTATATGTGAGCTAGATATATATATATATTTTTTTTTTTTTGAGATGGAGTCTTAATCTGCTGCCCAGGCTGGAGTGCAGTGCCATGATCTCAGCTCACTGCAGCCTTGCCTCCTGGCAGAGTTCAAACAGTTCTCGTGCCTCAGCCTCCTGAGTAGCTGGAATTACAGGCATGTGCCACCATGCCCAGCTAATTTTTGTATTTTTGGTAGAGACGGAGTTTCACCATGTCAGCCAGACAGGTCTCAAACTCCTGACCTCAAGAGTGATCTCCCCACTTCAGCCTCCCAAAGTGCTGGGATTATAGGCATGAGCCACTGTGCCAGGCCAGGGATCACTTACATTGATTGCTTTTTTTTTTTTTTTTGCCTGAATATGGGCCATGCTTTCTTGTATCTTCATATTTCTCTTTTTTTTTTTTTGTTGAAAACTGGGCATTTTCACTAATATAATGTGGTGCCTCTAGAAAGCAAATTCTTCTTGTCCACTATAGTTTATTGTTGATGACTTTTCTGAATGAATTCTGTAAAGCCTATTCTTTGTCATGTGTGGCTACTGAATTGTCTACCAAGTTAGTTTAGGAGTTACCTAGTTATTGGACAGAGATTTCTTTAAATGCCTGGAGCCAGTACATCTCCCAGTCTTTGACAAGGGGGTCTGTGTGACTCTTGGGGCACACCTTCCACATTCTGCAAGGCAGTTGTCATCTGAGAGCTTAGAGCCTTCTCAGGGCTTTCCTGGGCATATGCACAGCGCTATGCATGCATGTGGCACTCTGTATTCCCAGAGATATATTGGGGCGTTTCAAAAGTGCTATGGGCATCTTATTCCCCAGGATTTTTTTTAAGTGTTTAGATTAATATATTGTTTGCCCCAACTATTATCTACTGATTAGGCAGCTGCAAAGTGAAAACACTTGCCTACAAATGTATTTGACAGTCACCCCCAGGGAAAAGACTGTTCACACTGGGTGAGCTCAGGGTCAGGTCAAATATAACTAGGTTTGTAAGTATGGTCTTCTAGGGAATCACCAGAATGGTCACATCATGAGAATTATTTGGGAATGGGACTTTGGAAAAGATCCAGCTTTGTTCCCTTCCCTCAAGTGGCTTCCAGGCTGCACCAGGCATGTGAGCTTTTATTTTTCAAGGGTACTGTAGAGATGAGGAATGGAGGATGGGACTAGGGCAAGCCAAAATGCCCCAAATCCTACTGTTCTTACCGAGATTCAGCTCTTCATCTTGAAGAAATGCTTCCAAGGTTGCTGCAGGCCTTTGGTTAATTTCCAGAGTTATGAGCAACTTGATTCTAACCATTTCATTCAGTTATTTTTTCCTCTTATGGAGGAGTGAATTTTTAGGTCTTTGCCACTTTTTCTGATGTCATCTCTCTCCAAATATCTTTAAAGGTCTTTAGCTAGCAAGATATTTAAAAAATAAATTCATTGTATCCATCACTTGGCAATCTCCTTGCTGTCCTAAAATAGGAATCACTTGTTGTTCAAGGGTCTTATTTGAGAGGGGTGGAATACAGTTCTTAATCATCTTGGAGTGTTTTTCTACAGTAGCTTTTGCTGAATAGTTTTCTACTTTCCAGCCAGAGTATTTCTGGGGTTAAAAAGATTCTCCTTGTTGATACATGTAATGTGGGTGAATCTCAGAAGCAAATGGCTAAATAGAAGAAGCCAGACACAAAAGACTGCATACTGTATGATTCCATTTTTCTGAAATTCTAGTGATGGAGGAGAGATGAGTGGTCACCTGGCGCTGGGGTGTGGGAAGAGAATGGCTACAGGGAAGCACAAGGGAAACTCTGGGGACATGGAATGTTCTGTAGTTTAATTGCGGTGGTGCTTCCATGGCCATATGAGTTTATCAGGCTGTACTTTGTCAGGAACCGTGCATTTTAAATGGTTGGGTTTTCTTTTATGTAAATTATACTTCAATAAAGCTGATAAAAAAATCCTAGTTTAAATAATACATTAAATTTAATGAAGGTCGGATGCAGTGGCTCACGCCTGTAATCCCAGCAGTTTGGGAGGCCGAGGCGGGTGGATCACCTGAGACCAGGAGTTTGAGACCAGCCTGGCCAATATGGTGAAACCCTGTCTCTACTAAAAATACAAAAAATTAGCCAGGCCTGGTGGCATGAACCTGTAGTCCCAGCTACTCAGGAGGCTGAGGCAGGAGAATCGCTTGAACCTGGGAGGCGGAGGTTGCAGTGAATCAAGATCATGCTACTGCACTCCAGACTAGGTGACAGAGCAAGACTTCATCTCGAAAATAATAATAATAGTAATGACATAGAACAGTATTTATTAGCCAAAACAAAATAGGTTTTATCCCAGTAGGTGATAACGGAAGTCATCTAACAGTCCATGTCAATGGCTGTTAGATTTGGGTCTACATCAGAGCACAGGACACGTGTTTCAGCGTGAATGCTGGGTTCTGCTGCACCTTGATTCGGGGGGTTGCTGGGTGGTGCTGGGGCCCTGGCTTCTGAGTCTTTAACAAACAGAACCAACAAAGGTGTCGTCTTCTGGTGTGAGGGTACGGAAGATACCAAGTAAAGCGTGTTTAGGTTGCAGAAATGTCAGAAGCACCTTTATTAGATTCAGTTTTGTTTTTTTTTTCTGCAGACTTTTAAAGGACAAAGACAAATCAGAGCAGCCTTCAGAAATACTAAAAGCGGCTCTGTATTTTTTTTTATAATTTTTGGAAACTATATTCCCAGAGCAGTGGGGTAAAAAAAGCGCAACCTTGTTCTTTACTAGGTGAATGGATATGTAACTGTGGTACATTAGACAATAGAATATTAGTCAGTGCTAAAAAGAAATGAGCTTGTAATCCCAGCACTTTGGGAGCCGAGGCAGGTGGATCACTTGAGGTCAGGAGTTTGAGACTAGCCTGGCCAATGTGGTGAAATCCCATCTCTACTAAAAATACAAAAATTAGCTGGGCATGGTGGCGGGCACCTGTAATCCCAGCTATTTGGGAGGCTGAGATGGAAGGATCTCTTGAAATCAGGAGGTGGAGGTTGCAGTGAGCCGATTTCACACAACTGCACTCCAGCCTGGGCAACAGAGCAAGACTCTGTCCCAAAAAGAAAAAAAAAAAAAAGAAATGAGCTATTTAGCCATGAAAAGACATGGAAGAAACTTTGCATAATACAGTGTGAAAGAAGTCAATCTGAAAAGGCTATAGACTGTATAGTTCCAACCATATGACATTCTGGAAAAGGCAAAACTGTGGAGGCAGTAATAAGATAAGTGGTTGTCACAGGTTGGGAAAGAGGGATGAAGAGGTGGAACACAGAGGATTTTCAGGGCAGTGAAACTATTCTGTATAATATAATGGTGGATACAGGTCATTATGCATTTCTCCAAACCCATAGAATGTACAACACCAAGAGTGGACCCTAATGTAAACCATGGACTCTGAGTGATAATGGTGTGGCAATGTAGGTTCACCAGTTGTTAACAAATGCACCACTCTGCTGGCGGCTGGTGGTAGTGGCGGAGGCTGTGCCTCTGGGGAGGGAGGGAGTGTATGGGACTCTCTGTACCTTTTGCTAACTTTTGCTGTGAACCTAAAACTGTTCTAAAAATAAAGTCAACTAAAAAAATTTTAAATTAAAAAAAATTTTTAAAGGCATCACCCCCAAACCAGGATACATTCAGTTTATTTGAAATGACTAACAATAGGGAAAGGCATGATCTATCTCTGTCTCCCACACCAGTTATGACTCACAGCTTGCACTGTTATCCAAAACGGGAGTAAGTGTTCTGCCTTTCAGCTGGGTGAAGGAAGGCACTTAGACTGAAGCGTTTTACCGCAAGAGAGCTGAATGGAAGGACGTCACAGCAGAGAAATCCGACCATTTCTGTGTACCTTCCACAATAACAAGCGTGGTGGGAAACTGCTATATGCTGGGCCCTGTTCAGATAGATGCCTGCTGCACTTACTTCTTATGACACCCCAGTGAGACAACTCTGTTATCATCCTAGCCAAAAGAGAAGCTGAGGCACAGGGCAGGTGTGTGGCAGGCAAGTGGTGGGCAGGTTTCCAGCCCAGGCCAACTGGCTCTTAATCAGTGCCTTACCTGAGACCTTAAAATATAACCAAAAAAACCTCTTTCCATGCCTTAGTAAGGCATAATCCATTCCCCTCTGCAGCTCATCTTAAGACTTACTGCAGTACAACGTAAGACGTAGTAAAATACGTTTAGGTGCAATTAATTCTTTCATGGATTCCTTTTAATTAGAAGCTACAAAATAGAGGAAAGTTTTTTTCCTTCCATATTTCTTCTCTCAAAAAAAAGAGGGTTCCCAGGGTTTTGCATTTATCCTGCGGATGTTTGGGTGGTTCTTAGGTTATGGAGAGCAATTCTGGCCCTAATAAACCCAGGTGTGTGGCACCAAAAGCCCTGGTAGCTCTCCTGTTATCCTGGACACTAGTCAGAATATTTCTAGTCCTGTGGAGTTTGATTCATTGATGCTGTCCCCGGAGTGGTGGTAATAGGTGTCCGATAATTAGCCCTATTAGAGAAACCAGCCCTTACTTTATGCATAAGTATAAATGCTCGATTCTTGTCATAGCCCCAATTTTATTGGAAACTTATAGACAACTGTTGAAGAAAAATAGCTTTGATTGTCTTTCCATTCTAGTTGGATTCTCTTATTTTTGTTTTTCTCCACTGCAGTATTTAATGTAACATGCAGATATCAAGGAATTGGAAGTGTGTGATGAATGAACTTCAGCCTGGATTAGTGGTTTTTTTATTTCTCTCTCTTCATTGCTATGCTGATCATTTTTCAATGTAAGAAAGCTTAAAATCTTACGCTGCATATATTAACTTCTTTTCAAAAGTGTCTTTGAATTTTTGCACTTACAGAAATGTTTCCTGCTGTGCCCATCAGAAATTCAGTCCCAGTCACACTACAAAGTCATCTGTTTGCCATATTCTGTGGAAAAAAATTTATGAATCATCTTAACCTTTAATATGAGTTATAGAAAGCCTGCAAGGCTTTCTTTCGAAGCCATGAATTGAGCTCAAATATCACTTTATATGCTATTAAAAATATAGGTGAGTTAAAGGTTAATATTTTTAATGTAAATGTATTTGGAGTCATTATTTATTCGGAAAATTCATTATAAATCCACTTTGGGGATTTCTTACAGTCAAGGTCGTGACCTTTTTTTTTAAGAGAATGTATTTTGCTTGGTCACATTAAAGATGAAGCTTTCATTTATTAAGTGCAGAAGAAAAGAAGGAAGTAGGGTGAAAACATATTTGTACAGATCCTTAAAACAATGCAGAATTTTGCTGTGCTCATAAAGCAGCTTAAGTATCCCAACCTCCCACCTCGTTTATGAAAATGGACTAATACGCTTCTTTTAAATTTACTAACAGTATTAAATATCAGCAGGGAAAGATAGTCTAACCAGAAAAACGAGACTGAAACAGACTAAAGTATAACATAAGGAAACCACTCAAGACCAAGTGAAATTAAAAATAGTTGTTGATAAAATACTAATTTTTATTGAAACATGACAATTATTTTTATTTGCTTAAGTCACTTCACTTGGAAGTATAAACTCTTTTAATCCATCAGGCACATTTTTTATTGAAAATATATAAAAACTTAACTTTTTGCAAGTGACAGCGAGCTAGAATAGAAAGATGAAAAACAAGGGGCCGGACGCGGTGGCTCATGCCTGTAATCCTAGCACTTTGGGAGGCCGAGGCGGGCGTATTGCCTGAGCTCAGGAGTTCAAGACTAGCCTGGGTAACATGGTAAAACCCTTTCTCTACTAAAATACAAAAAATTAGCTGGGTGTGGCGGCGTGTGCCTCTAGTCCCAGCTACTCTGGAGGCTGAGGCAGGAGAATCTCTTGAACCCGGGAGGCGGAAGTTGCAGTGAGCCGAGATCGCGCCACTGCATTCTAGCCTGGGTGACAGAGCAAGACTCTGTCTCAAAAAAAAAAAAAAAAAAAAAAAAAGATTAAAAACAAGGTAGACAAAGATACCCAATAAGGTAATTATGTGCTCAAAAATCATAATTAAATGCATCATCTTGAATTCACCTGGAAACAATTGTAATCAACTTTTCCCTGATTGCTGCTTCTGACTGGCTGAGAAGCTTCTGAGAAAGAGTGAGTTATTCTCATAGCCCTGTCTGGGTAATGTTACTCTCTTCCTGTGAAGGTAGAGACTGAGTGGGTGGTAAGGTCTGTGGAACAGCACTGAGTGGGGGCCGTCTCTGGGAGCTCAGAAGCCCTGGGATGTGCCTCTGGATGGAGTCCCAGAGTCTGTGTGTTTCTTTATGGCTGGAGTGATTTTCCTGTGATCCGTGTCTGTTGGTTAATGTGCTGTGAAGTGAGTTGCATGTAGCTGGACCCCAAGACCATGATACATTTCTTGATTACAATAAACCACTTAGTATCCCCAGGTGTGGGCATCAGCAAAGCTTAAGGATGTTTCCAGAAGAGGGGAAGAATTTGTCCAGCTGCTGCTAATGGAGGCTTTGTTACATGTTTCCTGGGGTGCTTCCCCATTGGACCTGTAAGTGTCTAACCCTGGGCTGATTCTGTAACCTGCCTGGTCAGCAGTTCCTTGTTCTATCTGTCCTGGATACATAAAGGACACCATCAGCACACCGTGAGCACAGAGTGGTCGTCAGAATTGCCATGAGATGAGGCTCAGAGCCTGTTGTGCCGCAGTAATGAAATGCATTGCACAGGGCCCTGAGCCGTGCAATGACTTGGAAACTAAGAAGGTTAAGATATGGTATTTAGGTTTAGGTTCTAGGTGAGGTTATGATATGAGTTGGGGAAATAAAAATATCAATAAAATGTTAAAGATACATAAAGTTGTATAAGATAATGGGAGGAAATTGCTGCAAGTTAGAAATCGAGAAATGAATTTTGTATATAATTTTTATTTAGAAAGATAAGAGGAAACTGGTGCCTACCTGGTGCTTTTTATACATTGGCCCAAGACAAGTATTCACAGCTGCATTTGAAGAGCATGTCCTTTTCAAAGGGATTATGTACTTGGGTAGCATAATACAAGGGTAATTGCTAAAGCTTGGATGGAGGAGTCTAGGTGTGTCTGATTTCAGAGGGCATGCTCTTTTCATTGTGTCATGCTGCTTCCACTAAGGTTGAAGTAGGAGAAGACTGATTCAGACTGAATCTTACAGTGAGAATGGGATTCAGCCCAAATATTATTGGATGGGTGGAGTTTGGGCGGGTAGATCAGAGAGTAGACTCCTTGCAGGCCAGCAGAACAACCAAGACAAAATCCAGGAAGCAGGAAAAGCACCAGGTGCAGGGGTCCAGGAGTAAATCGAGCTGTAGAAAGTTTTGGGAGAAAGGGACAGCCGTGGTGGAGCCACCAACAGGTTGTTGAGTCTTCTCTCCAGCCTCAGAGTCATTCTCAGCCTGTGCTCCAGCACTCCTGGCTTCAGGAGATGGGTGACTGCCCCAAGGCGGCTCAGCCTGTCCAGGGAATAGCTTCTCGGAAGTGCTTCCTGGACATACTCTAGCATCTGGCTCTCAGACCAGAGGAGTGATAGGGACTCTTTTTGCCCCCACACTGAATAATCACCTGCTGCTATGTTCCAGGAGAGAGCAAGGCAGCTGTCAGGGTGAGAGGATCCTCGGTCTCCTGTTCCACGTGGTATAAGCAGGTACTCTGGTCAGCTGGAGTTGTCCAGGGAGGAGCTGTGCAGGGTGATGTGTCAACTGAGAGTGGGAGGTGCAGTGAGCAGTGACATACTTGATGTATGTTTTGCTATGTGAGGAATTTAATTCACTGTATTAATGATGAATATTGCAAATTTCATAATCTTGTTTGTACAGATATCAAAATTAATCTATAGTTCACAGGAAATGGAGGATCTCGTGTTCAGTCTGTTCTTGACAAGAATTGTCTGATGTCTACCTTAGAAATTCCTGCCTCCTCTAAAATGCCCCCCTTTCCTAATGGACTTCCTTTGCCCTGGGGTCTTCATGGTCTCCTAATAGAAAAAAGTCATTAAGAAAAAATCTAATATGCTGAGGTAGCTCTAATATAAGAAAAGTAATAAATGAAGTGTCACTAGATTCAAAATGCGTATTCTTTCAGAAAGAAGGCAATTACCGTTATAAAGATATAGCGTTAGAAAAAATTATTATAACTGTGAAGTATGTGATATGTCTGTCTGTGGCACAGTTAATTTAAAAAGTATTACCAAGCATACAAATAAATCATCAGAATAAAATGCTGAACCATACTAATTGAAAGTGAATTTAATATGCAATTCTGAGGAACTCTCTCTACGTACCCAGGTTTTAAAAAATTCTACCTTATAGGCTATTAGTTACCAGATTTTCTTTCAAACATCCACCCTCTTTTAATGAAGAATATTATTCATGAACCTTATCTTTGATTCCTGAATAATTTTATGATATACAATAAATAGTGGGATGAAGTTGAAACAATTTTATTTTACCCTGATTTTCATGTGTATTTAATCAAATTGCTGTAGATCTATGTTTCCTTGTCAAAATATAAAAATTCTGATTAGTAAGGGAAGGAAGACTCAAAGGTTTCAAATTTGTTTTGCTCTTTAGTTTGTGTGGTTCAACAATAGATAGAATAATTGATTGAAACTGGCTGAGCACAGTGGCTCACGCCTGTAATCCCAGCACCTTGGGAGGCTGAGGTGGGCAGATCACGAGGTCAGGAGATCAAGACCATCCTGGCCAACAGGGTGAAACCCCGCCTCTACTAAAAATACAAAAATTAGCTGGGTGTGGTGGTGCATGCCCCTATTCCCAGCTACTTGGGAGGCTGAGGCAGGAGAATTGCTTGAACCCGGGAGGCGGAGCTTGCAGTGAGCTGAAATCATGCCACTGTGCTCCAGCCTGGGGGACAGAGCAAGACTCCGTCTTGGGGTTCAGAAAAAAAGAAGTTTTAAAAATCATGACTTTCAGCAGTGACTTTTGGAGGAAGAAAGGAGTCTGCCTTTCTTAAACGTGTGATATCCTCACCAAAACACAGATCTTTACAGTTATGGTTTTCCTGATAAGTGAGTATAGATGTGTATTACAGAAAACCTGGAAAATGCAGGGAAACAGCTTAGAAAACACTCCTTCGTGTTCTGCCCTGGCCCACAGCTACTGTTAGCTTTTGCAGTTTTTTTCCATAACAGCTTTTTCCTACATGATCCATATTCATGTTCATATTCACTGCGGCTCTTTCTGTCACATTTTGCTCTGTTTGGATGTTGGGATATTACTGTTCATTCCCTGTAGATTATATCTTTTAATAATATAAAGTGGTCTTGTCTCAATTTAGTGTTTTATTGTCTTGAATTTGGCTTTGTTTAAATTAGAGCACTGGGCTTGCTTTCCTTTAGTTTGAATGTGCCTGATATCTTTGCCCATCAGTTTTTCTTTAATTTCTCTCTGACATTTTCTTTCAGGTACATATCTTATAGAAATCAAATTGTTTAAAATAAGGGATTGAGTTATTATGAAATCTCTTTACTTATTTAGGGATTGTTTCAGTCACTCTTTTTATCTTCTTGTTTTTACACGTTTCTTCGGCACTTCTGTCTTTTATTCTGGTTTTTTTTTCTGATAAATACCACGTTGAGAGTGCTTTACTTTATGTAAATATTTAGACTGTAGGAATCTAGCTTTTTTTTCTACTGACAGTTATGTTTAAAATGTATTTCATCTTTTCTGTTTTAAATTAGGAAATATTTATTAATAAAATATTATTAAACATGAAATATATGACACGTACAATGAAATTCATGTATTGCTATGAAGCAGGCAATTGAAGGCCCCACCAACCAGCACCAGAAGTGTAAGCTGCCCACTCCAGGACCCTCCTGTGGGCTCCTTCCCATCTGGTCTCCTGCCTGTCTTCAGAGCAGAGATTCAAGGTTCATCATTCTTTTACACATATGTACACATCCCTAAATAATGTACTGCTTACTTTTGCTTTTGAACTTTGTGTAAATGGAATTGCACTTTATGTTCTTTGATTACTTGCTTTTTTTCATTCACCATGATATTTGTTGATTCATACGTGTTCATGTGTAGCTCTACATCAATTATTTTGATTGTTGTTGCAGTCTTCCATGGTGTGAATAGATCACAATATGTTTGTCTGTTCTCCTTCAGTGGCTGCATGGGCCATGTATATAATATTTTGTTCCTGTGACCTGTGTTGCTGTGAATGTTTAAATGCCCGTCTCCTCAGGTACATAGGCATGGGTTCCTCCAGGGCACTCACTTGGACATGAAATTGCTGGGTCATGGGCAGTGTGATTGATGAAATGATGTCGCATGGTTTTCCCAAAGCAACTGTACTCATGTAGGTGCCCCAAGTGTTCCGCATTCTTCATGGCATGCCTTGAGAGGTTTGCCAGTCTGGTGAGTGTGCCACGGCATCTCCAGTCCCAGTTGGTGCTCTCCTTGTTCCTAATGAGATCAACCAGTTTTTTTTTTTTTTCTTTTCTTTTCTTTTCAGAGTCTCGCTCTCTTGCTCTGTCGCCCAGGCTGGAGTGCAGTGGCACGATCTCGGCTCACTGCAAGCTCCGCCTCCCGGGTTCATGCCATTCTCCTGCCTCAGCCTCCCGAGTAGCTGGGACTACAGGCGCCCGCCACCACGCCCGGCTAATTTTTTTGTATTTTTTAGTAGAGACGAGGTTTCACCATGTTAGGCAGGATGGTCTCGATCTCCCGACCTTGTGATCTGCCCGCCTCGGCCTCCCAAAGTGCTGGGATTACAGGCGTGAGCCACCACGCCTGGCTGAGATCAACCAGTTTTATGTTGTGTTTCTTCTTCTGTAATATGTGAGTTTGTGTGTTTTACCCATTTGTGTCATTTCTCTTTTTCTTACTAATTTATAAAAGTTATTTATACTATATCTTCTGGTGCTGATTTCTTGGTGGAATATGTGAAAATACCCCCTCCGAGGCTTTGACTTACCATGTCATTTTTCTTATGGTTATCTTTATTAATTTATTAATTCCTTCACTGGGGATACTTTCTGTGCATGTATGTGATTATCTTTTATTAAGAAATCCTTCCCTACCTCGAAGTTGTAAAAACATTTGCTTCTTTTTTTTTCTCCCCTACAGAATCAGAAGTGTTGCTTTTCACATTTAATCCTTTAATCTACTTGGAATTAAATTTTGTATATGCTGTGAGACAGGAATTCTCTTTTCTTCTTTTATGCGTGACCAATTGTAGTGGCACTAGAATCTGTTTTTTACCATGACCTGCAGTGCCCACTTTGTTGTAAATACACTTTCTGTATCTCTGTGTGTCTGTTTCTAGGCACTCAGTTCTGCCCCTTTGGTCTGCTTTGGTAGTTCCTGTACAACAAGATACCTGTGAGGAGGAAGGGCCCCCAGCTTTCTCTTCCCTCCAAAGGCATCTGGGCTTTTCTTGGCCCTTTGCTCTACCATGGAGACTTGAGAATCAGCTTGTTGGATTTTATGAAAGACTCCCTTATTGGGATGTTTATTGGAGTTGTGTTTTATCTGTGTATCATTTTAGGGAGAATTAACATCTGTGTGATCCTAAATGGCCTTGACCATGGAATACTATATCCCTCCATTTGTTTTGGTCTTTTCCAGAGTATTTCATTGGAGTTTTAAGATTTTTTCTGCAGAGGACTTGCATATCTTCTCATGCACTTATCCTTGGTACCTTATTTTTAACTTCTATATCAATATGTTTTTAAAAAATACATTTCAGGCCAGGCGCGGTGGCTCACTCCTGTAATCTCAGCACTTTGGGAGGCCGAGGCGGGCGGATCACGAGGTCAGGAGATCAAGACCATCCTGGCTAACACAGTGAAACCCCGTCTCTACTAAAAATATAAAAAATTAGCTGGGTGTGGTAGTGGTCGCCTGTGGTCCCAGCTACTCGGGAGGCGAGGTGGGAGAATGGCGTGAACCCAGGAGGCAGAGCCTGCAGTGAGCTGAGATCACGCCACTGCACTCCAGCCTGGGCGACAGAGCGAGACTCCGTCTCAAAAAAAAAAAAAAAAAAAAAAAAAAAAAAATATATATATATATATATATATATATACACACACACACATATATATACATTTCATATCTTCTTCACTTCTAGACCATCTTGTTGATTTTTCAAAAGTATCCTCAACCCTACATTTATCAAATTACCAAAACCAAAGATAAAAATCTTCTCATCCTCACATCCTCACATAGAACAAGATGCACTTGTTTTAAGAATAGAGTTCAATGAGCTTCAGCAAATGTAAGCCCCTGGGTGACCACCATCGCTATTGGAACAGAGAACATTGCCTCGTAGGTAAGTGATACTCCCAAAAAAAGTCAATTTTAACATCTTTTCCTTATGGAAAAATGAGTAAATTAGCATTTTTTATTCTGTGCATCTAAAACCCCCTTCACATTTTAATTTTACATAGGGAACTCAGGTTATAAAGCCTCCTCTTCGTGGGACCCCTTATTTAGCTCAGCCATTCCACTCTCCATCATTTGCTTACTATCTGACTTCAGCTCTCTTACGTTCTGAATTTTCATTCATCTCTTCACCATGGGGACATGGGTGATATATATTTCCCACAGTG
The DNA here is from genome assembly GCF_000001405.40 of Homo sapiens. NCBI lineage: Eukaryota > Metazoa > Chordata > Mammalia > Primates > Hominidae > Homo > Homo sapiens. Next base: position 1,631,226 of record NT_187660.1, on the reverse strand, counting down.
TATAAATGAAAGTAGCCATCTGTTACTTTCAATGTAAGAGTAATTTGGTTAGATTCAGAATTCTTGAGCAATCAGTTTTTCTGGCATTAGCAATTTGAGGAAAGGTCTGAAGCCAGTGTAAGTTTCACTACATAATGAGAACAGAATGATTTGTTCTGGGCTCTTCTCTGGAAGCATGCATTATTAATCATTTAAATCTCAGCTTCTGATCCTCCAAGTGTGAGGTTTTTTTTTTTTATTTGTATCACTCTGTCCCTTTTTTGGCATTCTCATGAATGCTTCTCAAATTTAAACTTCATCTTTGGTTTTTAAGCTTAAAAAAAAAAAAGCCAATGGGACCTTTAAAAACTCAAATTACTGTCCAGAACCACGGTTTATAAAACAGATCATGATACAGGGGCTCTGTCCTGGGGGATGCCTGGAGCACTTCATACTCAGTATCCCAGCAGGAAGCAGATGACATATTTAAATTGGGTAATGGGGAGTTTAATGGGGTGACTATTTACAAAGGTAGGGGCAGAAATGGTGAGGCTGTCAGGGCTAGCCATAGCTGAGAGCTGCCCTGGCTCCTGGACCTTAACAGCACAGGGAGGGAGTGGCTCTGGGGCCTGGAGTGAGACCTGAATTCGTAGGATTCACCCTGAGACAGGGGTGGCCTTTGGTGAGAGAATGCAGGCACTGGTCCTTTCCAGCAGAGAGGAAACAAATACCCCAGTTGCCATGCCTTGCCCACTCCAGTCTCCCCTCAGTGCTGCCCAAGTCTGAACCCAGTGGAAAACAGGGAAGCCTCATCAAGATCAGCCTCCAGGCAGCAGTAAAGGTGTATGGTGGATCTGGAGGGCAAACAGAAAAATCTAGCAAAATGAGGGGAAATGTAAAATACTGCTCTACAGAAAATATTTTTACCAGTTTTTTCTTTTTTTGCAGTATCTGGCCTGGTCTTAACTATTTCCAGTGCAGAGTTTTAACTGGTCCAGTCTCTCTTTCTGTTTTGGGGCAGTCTCCTTTTCTCTTGGTGTGTTTCCTTCTGGTCGCTAGCTATTCTCATCTCTTCCTTTTCTATCATTGAAACTTGTGCGTGTTTCATAGAGACAGTGTCTGTTTATCACCGTGAGACTCAGAAAATTTCTAAGAATTTACTCTGGTTTCATCAAAATATCTATTTTGGAGCCAGGCCCTCTCCCACCCCCGATCCCCTAGTGTCTTAGAACGTGTCTCCATTCTCTCATGATAGAAGGGTCTTAATTGAGCTGTGAATGTGTGTACACATATGTATGTCTTTTTATACATTCTTAAAAGGAAAGTGTATTAGGAGGACTCTCCAGAGAAACAGAACCAATGGGGTATACAGGACATTGATCATGGGAATAGGTTCATGCACTTGTGAAGGCCAAGAAGTCCCACAATCTGCCATCTCCAGGCTGGAGACCCTGGAAGGCTGGTGGTGTGCTTCAGCCAGAGCCCGAAGGCCTGAGAACAGGAGGAGGGGTGGAGCTGCTGGTGTTAAGTCCTGGAGTCTGAAGGTGGGAGAAGCAGAAGCTCTGATGGCCAAGGACAGAAGATGGATGTTCCAGCTCAAGGGGAGAGAGACGGCGCCCTTCCTCTGCCTTTTTGTTCTATGTGGGCCCTCAGTGGACTGGATGAGGTGCACCCACATTGGTGAGGGTGATCTTCTCTACTCCAGTCTACAGATTCAAATCCTAGCCTCTTCTGGAGACACCCTGACACACATACCCAGAAATGATGCTCAACCAGCTCTCTGGGTACCTCTTAGCCCTGTCAAGTTGGCTCGTAAAATTAAGCATCACAGAAGGTGATCTTTCTCTACTGGGAAGTAGTGTGATGTGCTTAAGGGTACAGACTCTATTTCTTACTGTATGGCCTCAAGTGACTTTCTGAACTTCTCTGTGCCTCAGTCTCCCCACTGGTAACATGGGGATCATAAGAGCTCCTCCATTGGGTGAGTAACTCTATCCCCGTGAGGCTCAGTTCATTCATTTATTTCATGGGGGAAAATGATAGAACCTACCTCCCAGGTGGTGGCAAGGCTTAGAACACAGCCAGGCAAATGAGAACCAGTGAATATGGGTGGCCATTGGTATTTCTATTGCAAAGGTTGTTGTAATGACTAAATGAGCTACTGTGTCTTGGGAGCATATTGCAGAGACTTGCACACAGTAAATGCAGTCAGTGTTAGCCTGCTGCATACATGTGTACTTCCATGCAACATACACACACCCATAGACATAGATTCATACGCTTATGTGTATACATGCATAGACACATTTACCTACCTACCTACCTACCTAAGTGCATACATTCATAAGCAAACAGCCCGTCCAGGTGGGACCTTCAGGAATGAGCTCCTCTCCTTCCCAGGCAGACACACAGGGCTCTTGTCTGGCGGGTGGGTCCTCTTCATGGCCAGTTCTCTTTTGCGTGCAGCACTTAGTCCCATCTTTTTTTCTGGATCCCCATCAAATGCACCAGTCCATAAGAGACTAAAGACAAAAACCTTTTCAATCACCTAGGAGAGAACATATTGCCATTCTGTGCAATGGGGAGAATAAATTATTTATATATTTTTAAACATTAAAAAAAAATGCCGCTGTGTGTTACCTTTTAAAAGGCTGCTGCTATCCCACATTTTCTGACCTGTGAAAGGGAATGTGAGTTTTATAACTGATATTCATGTGCCATAGTGAATATGCTCTAATGTAAGTGTCATCCCCATGCAAATTCTAAGTCACTTGGCACAGAGCAAGATTTGTATGGGTTTAACCTAATAGAAACAAGAGATAGAACTCACATTATGTATGTTGACTAATAGAATCTGAAAAGCTGTCGAATGATGAGGGGTGAATAATATCAGGTGATAAGCAAATGAGCCAAGTGGTTGGCAGAGGAGAACAAGAAGAAAAAATTCTAAAAGATGTCTGAAGGGAAGTTGATAAGCAAAAAGGAATAAAATAATCTGACAAATGAGCTAATAGCAGCTCCTAAGAAAAGTATCGGTTTGGCTGGCAAACAGTGACAGGCGGCGGTATGTCAGAGTGAGCGGCAGCCAGGGTGTGGGGATGAATGCGGAAGGACAGGCTCATCAGTGTCTGCATGATGAGTGAGTTAGTAAATCTGCCAGGTGATGAATGAGCTGGTGATGCACATCAGACAGGTGACAGGCGAGCGGTTACAAGAAAGAGTGGAGGCAGCCGGGGAATGAGACCGAAGGGCTTCAGAATGTAATTTCATAAGCAGGAAGAAACCGTGTACCTAATCACAGTATCTGATCTGCTTTGGCAACTGTCAAAAACAATAAAACTTCCATTGAAGTTAAAACTAAGACTCTGTGTAATGTGCTTGTGGCTATTAATAATGATTTGCCTTATACACCACCCACTTGCTAGCTCTCACCGCCTTCATTCCTGGGGATTTCATCTGTAAAGTGGGGAGAACAGTGTTAACCTCCATCATTCTATATGGGATCTTTTGAGGATTAAATTTCCTATGAAGCCAGGTGCAGTGGCTCACACCTGTAATCCCAGTGCTTTGGGAGGCCAAGGCAGGAGGATTGCTTGAAGCCAGGAGTTAGAGTCCAGCCCGAGCAACATAGTGAGACCACATCACTACAAAAAATTTAAAAATTAGCCCGGTATGGTTGCACACACCTGTAGTCACAGCTACTCAGGAGGCTGAGGTGGGAGGATCGCTTGAGTCCAGGAGTTCAAGGTTATAGTTAGTTATGATTGTGCCACTACATTGTTGCCTGGGCAACATAGCAAGACCCTGTCTACAGAAAGTAAAATTAGTTGGACGTGGTGGCTCGTGCATGTAATCCCAGTGCTTTGGGAGGTGGAGGTAGGAGGATAGCTTGAGACCAAGAGTTGGCAACAAAGTGAAACCCCCTACCCCATCTCTACCAAAAAAAAAATAAAAAAGCTGTGTGTGGTGGCATGTGCCTGTAGTGCCAGCAACTTGGGAGGCTGAGATGGGAGGATTGCTTGAGCCCAGGAGTTTGAGGCTGCAGTGAGCTATGATTGCAATGACTGCACTCCAGCCTGGATGACAGAGTGAGACCCTGTCTCAAAATAAAATAAAATAAATAAATTTCATATGAAATAGTTAGAACATTACCTAGCATGTGATAAGTAACCAAGAAACTACTGTTAGTTGCTATTGATATTGTTAATCATCTTATTGTTATTACTTTTAATTTTTCGTTTCTGTTTCATTCTTGGAGTATAAACATTTATCTTGCACATCCTTAGTTCCTAATTAGCATATCACTCCTCCTGTTATTATTGATCACACACCTGTTATTATTGATTACAAAAATAAGAAGACTCCCATGTCATCTGTGGAATGAATAAAATACAGTTTTGTGCTGCATAATGATGTCTATAATGGTCCATCGATGACAGACCACATATAGGACAGTGGTATTGTATCACATTTTATGCACTTTGTCTATGTTTAGATATGCTTAGATACACAAATACTTACCATTGCATTACAGTTGCCTACAGTGTTTAGTACAGTACATGCTGTGCAGGTTTGTAGCCCAGGAGCAATAGGCTACACCATATAGCCTAGGCATGTATAGTAGGCTATGCCATCTAGGTTAGTGCGAGTGCACTCTCTGAGGTTTGCACAATGATGAAGTTACCATTTGCATTGCTCAGAATGACACATTTCTCAGATTGTATCTTTGTCATTAAGTGACTTGTGACTGCATTGATGTGTTCTCTTATCTCTTATGAAATGTATAAATGTATGTGTATTATATATATATTTATTTATTTATTTTAGACGGAGTCTCACTCTTGCTCAGGCTGGAGTGCAGTGGCGTGATCTTGGCTCACTGCAGCCTCTGCCTCCTGGGTCAAGCGATTGCCCTGCCTCAGCCTCCCAAGTAGCTGGCATTACAGGCGCACGCCACCATGCCCAGCTAATTTTTGTATTTTTAGTATAGACAGGGTTTCACCATGTTGGCTAGGCTGGTCTCAAACTCCTGACCTCAGGTAATCCACCCAACTCGGCCTCCCAAAGTGCTGAGATTACAGGCGTGAGCCACCATACCCACCCTCTCTTATGAAATATTAATAATTATTGCAAAACTTTTGGTGGGAGCTTTAGGAGTTTTTGTTTGTTTTTGCAGTTTTCAGTTACTTTTCACATTTCACAAACACCAGAGATAAACTTAAATTTCTGTTTGAAATTCTTAATCAAAGTAAATGCATACATTCACAAAAAGAATAAGTAAGATTAAAGGAAAAGTAACGAAATGGATATCCAAGAAGCAATAGAGGCAATCAAAAATTCTTTGAAAAGAGTTATAAGTACATACACCTGTTATTGATTACAATAAAAGAGAAGAAACATGAATAATGGAGAAATATGAAAGGAAAATAATATAAACAAGAGATTTCAGACATGATAATCAGCAACCTTATGCCAATATATTTGAAGATTTAGATGAGATGGCTTAATTTATAAATAATATAGCCAAACTTAAGAAGAAATAGAAAACCCAAACAGAAATAGTTATTAAAGAACTCAAATTAGAGTTGAAAAATCCCCCTATTTCTTAATAGACACCAAGTTTAGATAGTTTTGTAGGCAGATTTTAGCAAATTTTAAAGAAATAGCTAGTAGAAACAGGAGTAGAAAGCAATATAATTTATAGCTTGGTTGGTAGTGTTTGTATTTCAGGGTGTGGGAAGCCCTTAAATGGAGATGCCTATAGGCAGGCATAAGATGGTTTTCAGTACCTGCAGAAAAGGGAAAACAGCTCCAATTAATTAATTAATCAATTAATTATTATTTTTATTTATTTAATTTATTTTGAGACAGAGTCTCGCTCTGTCACCCACGCTGGAGTGCAGAGTGGTGCTATCTCAGCTCACTGCAACCTCTGCCTCCTGGGTTCAAGCAATTCTCCTGCCTCAGCCTCCCAAGTAGCTGGGACTACAGGTACGCGCCTCCACGCCAGGCTAATTTTTTGTATTTTAGTGGAGACGGGGTTTCACTGTGTTGCCCAGGCTGGTCTCGAACTCCTGAGCTCAGGTAATCCACCTGCCTTAGCCTCCCAATCCTATTAATTTATTAAAGGTTAGTGTGCTGTCTTCTCCCCCTTGCTATGAATTAGTTGGGTTATCACTATAAGTTTTCCATACTGTAGGAAACCAAAACACTGCCTTCTTCCTATTTCTGGCAGCTTGGGGATGCTCCTAAATTGCAATATCATTTATATTGTTAGTTTACATTCCAGTTTGCCAGTATGCCATGTAAATAAGTCCCATACATGAGATGCAAAAAGCCAAAATTCATTTATTCATGATTGATGCCAATTTGTATGCAATATAGCTTGTACACATTCCTGATTAAACTGTTCTGTTTGTTTCAGCAGATATGTTAACAATCTGGAGTTCACATCTCTGACTTTTGTTTTGTTTTTGCAGTTGTGTAGACATAAAACTGAGTCTTCTCATTTTATTTTTTTTAATGCGAGTAAGTACGTTAGGATTTTGCTTTTCACTGTACCATGCAGGAAGGAGCCCACATGTTTCCTGATGGGAGCTGGTTTTGCAGGGCCACGGGAGTTGTGTGCATGTGTGACAGTCTGTGAACTTTCGGGGGGTCTGGAAAGAAGACACCGCCGTAGAGGCGGCAGCCCCAGATCAGCTGTGAATCGTTCATCATCCAGGCCCTGCTCTGCCAACTGGACTTTTTGTTAATTGCAACTTCAGTTGATGAGATATTTGAGTTATGGTTATCAAATTAGGTCTCAGATGCTGAGTGATCTTGTTGGCCAATGTTAAGTTATTTTATCAGAATTCAGAAGTTAGGCCACAATTCTATGAAAGGGAAAATCATGATTAAATTTTCATTTATACCGCTTAACTTATAGGAGACAGGTTCCCACCTGGTGCTGAAATGGAACTGTGTGGTTTTACTCATATGACACCATGGGGCTGAAAATATTCTTCTGTGAATTCTTGTGTGACTTCTTTATGGCCTTTGGCCATTTTCCTACTGGGGCTGGAGTTCTCAAGGTTGTGCCAAATCGCGGGTCACATTGCAGAAGCCACATAACCCCACTTCTTCAGAGCTACTTTTGCGAACCTTTCAAAGCTCATTCCAAATCCTGTCACTCCTGTAATGGAAATGCTCCGAAGACTCCACATTCTCTCAGGCTAAAAGCCAACTCCTCCATCTGCAACCACCCCTCCCACTCCCGAGCCGGTCTTCCTGGATTCTCCTCTCCAGCTCAGCTCCAGCCACACGCCTCCACACTGCTCCCTGAGTCGGGAACATTGTTCCTCACGTAGCTGCAGCCCTGCGGCCCTCTTCTCGTTCTGTTGACATTTCAGTGAGGCCAGACCCGTTCAACATTGCTGCTCCCTGTCCTAGACCTCCCCCTGTTTCCATTTCCCCCACTTACCACCTTCTAATACCCTATATGATGTATCAAGCCTCTTGCCCTCTCACTGTGTGAAATTTACTTGACAGTTTTATTCACTGCCGCATGCCCAAACTGAGAACAGTGCCTGACACATTGAAGACATACACAGATATTTTTGGACTCAATAAATGCATTCAGGATTCAGCACTTAAAAGTTGATGTTTTTTCAAACTCTAGTGCAAGGTTGGACATGTATTCCTTATAGATTTCCCCTCACTCTGGTAAGCTCGCCCACCCCTTGCACCCTGACGCAGAATCTGACAATACTCCCCACCCATCCCAGATGGTGCCCCTCTATATTTGTTACACCTGACTCTCTGTGCCCTCCAGAATGCCATGACAGTGAATGGAAGTTTGGTCTCCCAATACAAGGCTCTGGGCTGCAGGAGAGAAATTAAAAATCTGAATTGACCTCTGCCTCGCAGATACCGTGTCTACATGCCTTGATCCTGTCAGTAAAAGAGCAGTGAGTGTTGCAGTTGCTGCTGTGTTGGCGAGCCTGCGTAGACTCCTGATGAGCCCTTCTAGGTGCTGACGGACTTCATGTGAATGCTTTGTTCCAGTTGCCCCTTATCTTCTTTTCAATCACAATCACTTTGGTCCATCGTTTCCTAGCACTTTCCTTTCTCCATGGTTTTTAAGGTAAAAACTATTTTCTTGTAGTAGGACATTGTATTTTTTTGATTTGTTTTCTGATTCTGAAGTCCTAAGTCTCTTTGTGACTATGGGTATCTATATTAAATGAAATAATGATCTCCTGTAGAAAAAATAGTGAAAAGAGATGAAAAATTTAAAAATTAAGATGCCATAGGCTCAGCGTGGTGGCTGACACCTGTAATTCCAAGCTTTTTGGGAGTCTGCGGTGGGAGGATTGCTCGAGGCCAGGAGTTGGAGACCAGCCTGGGCAACACAGCGAGACCTTGTCTCTATAAAAAATAAAATAAAATAAAATTAGCCAGGCACAATGGCATGGGCCTATAGTCCCAGCTATTCAGGAGGCTGAGGCAGAAGGACTGCATGAGTCAAGACAGTGAGCTATAATGGTGAAGCTGCACTCTAGCCTGGGTGACAAAGCAAGATCTTGTCTCAAAAAAGAAAGAAAGAAAGGAAAAGAAACCATACACGAGACAGGAAATGGTTCCTTCTTTTAGAAGAAACATGGCAGGATCAGTTTGGATTGCATTTAAACAGGGCTTCTCTGGGACTTTTCAGATGGCTGTGTGTATGAGGCGGTTCTGACATGAATCCAAACTTTTCTTTGGACCATGAATAACTAGTTACAGATCGCATTGGAAGCAAATCAGAAGCTATAGTTTTAACTCTTGGCCTATGGCTTAAAATTCCAATTTATGCCCAGAGAAGCTGGGGAGGACTAGATTTGATCAGAGCTTTCATTTAAGATGTGACTTGCGCCTTTTGGAGGTTAGCTTTAGCTTTAGTGTGTGGCCAAAAATCTTGAAAACAAATAACTGTGAAATTGGAGCATTTTCTGAAGTTTACTGTTATTTATAATTTAAAAAAAGAAAACTCACTAAATAATGTCATAAATCTTCTTGGTTTACACAGAGGATAATAAGCTTTAATTAAAGATGAGAGGGAAGTGAAATACGAATTTGGATGTCAGCAGAAAGGGCTGTTTAAAGCTAAATGAAAGTACTCTTTTTGTGGAACCATTCTGTGAAATATCAAAAATTTAGTTAATGTGGATATTTGACTTTAATGGGAGTAATTTATGGAGAAAATGGGAACCAGCAGGCTTGACTTCCCTAGTAAACCAGAGGCTCTACACTGACCACAGCCCCTGCCTGGGTCCCTTCTCTTCTACTGTCTTGGGGTGGGGCTGAGATCCCAGGCCCTGCGGACAGAAAGAGCAAAGATCCGTGTTTTTGTGCCAGGACTCCTGGCTTGGAGCACAGGCCCAGCTGGATTTCAGCCTGAGGCACCTTTAGAACAAGCAGTCCCCGGCCGGTGAGTGGCAGTTCTCAAACCCTCTCTCTCAGAGCATGTCCCCAGTAATTGGTGACATGCTCTGCTTCCCTGGCTTCTGCCTCGGCGTTTGTCTGACTTTGTTCTTAGCTTTTGGCTTCCTCCTTGCCCTTGCCCTCCCTGATTTCTGCCAGCCTGGACCCTCCAGGTTCTCTTCTTGGCGTCGTTGTGCAGCGCAGCTTCTGCCTTTGAGTGCATGGGCTCTGGAGCTCGTTCGCCGAGCGGGATGCTTGGCTCTGCTGCTCACCAGCTGGGCAGCCTCAGAAAGTTAGCTTCTCTGTGCCCCAGTTTCCTCTTTTGGAAAACAAACTCATAGTAATTTGTGGAATTGGTGTGAGAATTAAAATAGTTAATAATAAGGTGCTTAGGTTGGTGTCTGGCAGGTAATAAATGTCCGCTGCGATCATCATCATCTTGCCTCACGGGGACGTGCTTTTGATGGGCAGTGTGGCCTGCACTCCTGGGGATGTAAATGAGGTGATAGGAGGGGCCTCAAGTCCTTGGTCTCCTCTTTGCATTCCTAACAGCTCTCCCCGCTGGGGTTGTTTTTAGCCCAGAAGCAGAGCCCAGGACAAGGAAGCAGGTGTGAGGAGCTGGGGGGGATGTGGGGCAGGAGAAGGAATCCCTGGGGGGTGTTATCAGGGCTGCCACTGTGAGCCTGGGGGGTGCCTGGAGCCGTACAGAATGTCCCAGAACTGTCCCCCTGAAGAGGGCATGCGGGGCCTTGTTCCCATTCCCCCTAATTGTTTCCTCTGGGGGCATCAACTCTCCTGTGTGCAGGGGGCCAGGTGGGCTTGCAGGGGTAGAAGGGGCCTTGGTGCAGAAAGCAGACAGCCTTGGCGGGGAGCGGAGGTGGGGTGTGCTTGCCCAGCATCCCTGTCTACCCCACCCCAGGGCTGTGCTTGTGCTCTGTCCCAGCCCCATCTCTGCTCCCCGCTAGCCCCACTCGGCTGAGCTGCTCACAGGAAGGACCCTGGCATTACTCCTGAAAGGCCTAAGGGTCACGAGGAACTTCATTCAAGAGATGATCCATGTGATATGTTTCCAAATACAGCCTCTAGAGACAGCTTTCAAGAACTATCCAAAGACCTATATGTCTCCTAATATTCCCATCAGTTACGGAGGAGGAGCCAGCATTTAGTAAGCACTTACTACCTACGGTACGGGCACTTGTAGCCTTAGTGGTCATCATTGCGTTCGGATTTCATGACAGTTCTTTATGGTGGGATTATATTGTTCCCACTTAATGTAGGGAAAGGCAGCCTTGGCAAAGGGAAACAACCTCCAGAAAGTTATGTAATAGAGCTGGGATTAAACACAGACGTGTGTGTGTGTGTGTGTGTGTGTGTGTGTGTGTGTGTGTCTGCGCGCGTGCGTGTTTAATCCAAAACACAGACTCCTCACCATGAGTTTACCTGGCTCTATAATGCTATGCATGCAGTTTCTTTTAGCAGGGCACTCCTCATTTCAATAAATAGCTCTGTCCTCTGCCTCTGTCAGCCCCTGGGAGTCAGGCCTCTCTGTGGACGCTGCACTGTGGATGCTTGGGGACACGCTGTCTGTCCCAGGACCGAATGCAGTCTGAGTGCCCAGTGTTTCTCTGTGGCACTGACCTTCCACCAGAGGACACCCCTCCCCACTCCACCTCTGGTGTGGAGCAGTAGCTGGGTCAACTAAGGCAACTTACTTGAAGAAATGTCATCAGGTGCCAGCTCAGCAGTCACTGGAGTGGCCCAGAAAGCCCCATGTGTTATGAACATCAGCAGGTGCATAGCAGGGTGCTGCTAATAAAAGTAAAGACCCTTCTATAAAGCCCCTTCTTAGGGTGAGAGGAATGTGTCCCAGATGGTAATACTTTTCTTCAATCTAGCAGGGAGGAAGTTCCCTGCTACAAACAAGATTACATATGTTTAGGGTTTGAGTTTCCTGTAAAATGGTGTGTACTTCCAGGATGAAGCTCTTGTTATGCATCATTCTTAGTTTTTATTAAACATTTAGATTTGGCTTAAAAAGTGCTGGTTTACCCTGGACATCTCTGAATCCTTGCACGCAGCGTGAAGCGTTTTGGGGAGGTGGCACCTGTTCCCTGGAAAGTCTCCCCAGCCACAGGCTGGCCACTCCAGCCCAGGTCGTGGCCTGGCCTCTTTGCAGATTGCCACAAGTTATGTTTGCCCACCTGGTGGGGTCAGGAGTGGAAGAGTTGGTGAGAGTTAAACCTTGTATCAAATGCTTGGAGGATACACCAGATTTGTAGAATATTATATGGATTTAAATATGGTATATAGGTTCATGTTTAAAAGAATTGCATCTCAGTGCTTTTAAAAATTGTCTTCTTCCTGAGCAGTTCATCTTTTGGATAAACCTGGATAATTCTCTTTTTTTGTATCTTAAATTTCTATAAAACAAATAACCTTTATTGCTTAATTTATAGAGCATTTATTTTATTTTATACCTAAAAGTTGATTTTGCCCCAAATTTTACTTTCTGTTTTGAGTAGGTGAGATATTTACACGGCTTAAAGTTTCTAACTATAACAAGGCCTAAACTGAGAATTCCCATTACCACCCCTCCCTCATCCTTCCCACACACAGTTACTGTACTCATTTTTTGTGGAATCCTCCAAGTGTTCCCGTGTTAATCAGGGTTCTCCAGAGTAACAGAACCAATGAGAGGAAGAGACAGAGAGGGAGAGAGAAAGAGAGAGAAAGAGAGAGAGAGAGCGCCTGGTTTTTTTTTTAAAGGAATGGACTCACCTGATTGTGGGGGCTGGCAGGCCTGAAATCTGTAGGGCAGCAGGGAGGCTGGAGGTTAGGTAGGTGTTGAGGTTTCATTTGTGAGTCTGAATTCTGCAGGCTGGAAACTCAGCTGGGCTTTCTATGTCACAGTCTTGAAAGGAATTCCTTCTACTTGGGGAACCTCAGTCTTTGCTCTGAGGGCCTTTGACTGATTGGATGAGGCCCCCCGCAGTATGGAGGGTAATCTGCTTAACTGAGTCTATTTATTGTAGATATGAATTACATCTAAAAGGACAGCCACAGCAACATCTAGACTAGTGTTTAACCAAATGACCAGGCACCATAGCTTGGCCAAGCTGACATATAAAATAACCTATCATACTTCCTTTATGAAAATATAAACAAATAAGAACATACGTGCCCACATTCTCTTTCTCAGAGAAAAAGGGGTAGAATATGTACCTTCGCTTTTTCCACTTCACAATGCATTTGGAGATCTTTCTAAATCTGGACCGAAGAACCACCCCCCCCCCCCATTCCTTTTTACCAGCTCATATAGTATTCTTTGCAGCTATCAAATTTTGATAAATGTGACCATATCAAAGCAAAAACTTTTACGTGGCTAAATAAATAAAATAAAATTTCTAAGAAAGTATGCAAACTTAGAAGCAAAGTACCAAACTGGGAGAAATATTTCTAATTCAGATCGTGAATAGTTCCTGCATTCTAGAAGTTTATAAGAAAAAGACCACAAATATCCAAAAGAAAAATGGGCGGGGTCAGAGAGCTCACAGAAATGGCCTAATCACATGAAAACACTGTGAACCTCGTGGTAACAGAAATTACAATTAAAACAACAGTAAGATATTGTATGTCACCTGCCATGTCAGGCAAAAACCCACAAGCTGGAGAACATAATCTTTCACTGAGGCTGGGGTGAAACAGACCTTTTCACATTTTGCTAAGAGGAGTGTAAAATGCCCCCCCAACCAGCCCCAGGAGGATAATTTTTCAGAATTAAGACAATTATAGGTTAATTCACGCTTTGACTCAGGAATCCCGGTTCTGGAATTTGATCCTGCAGAGAGACCTGTACATCGGAAGGGAGACTTCGTCGCACTATGGCATGTGATGCAGAAGACTGAGAACAACCAAGAATCTCTGGGAAGCACTTATCTCTGGCATGTGCCCGATGGGAAATCTGCAGTTGTTTCGCATTCCTATAGAGCTGAAAGCTTGCATTAGGGCCACAGAGATAATGGAATCAAGATGCATGGAACGCACAGCAGTCCCTTTCCCTCACCTCCCTGCCCATACACATACAAATCCCACCAGCTGTTCCTTCAAAAGTTACCTGCAGTCCGTCCCCTCATCGCCATCTGTATGGCCACCTCTTTGGTTTCAATTGCCATCCCCCAACTTCTGCAGCAGCCAGAATCAGGGCACCTTCTGCCCTGCATGGCGGCCTGGCCAAGGGTTGGAATCTGCCTCATCACTTAGAGCAAGGGGTGGTCTTTTCTACTTGCAACATTACCCCTCTATGGGCTTGAGGGTCCAACCAGTATACTTCTTTAAAGATGTAAATAGGATTCTGTCAATAAAAAGTCGTCTGAAAGCTTTCAGTGGCTTCTTGACACATATAGGAAAAAATTAAAAAAATTTTCCTCCACCTGCAATGCTTTGCTCAAGCTGCTGACTTCATCTGACAATATCCTGTAGTCCAGCGCCACGGGCCTCCTGACAGTTTCTGTAACTTTCCACGGTTTCTCTCCGTGCTTGTAAGGTGCTTCTCCCGGTTCTTTTCCTGCAGGCTCCAGGCCCAGATGCTACCACCTTCTTTATAGAAGGCCCCCAAGACCCGGGAGTACTTCACTATTCCCTTCCACGGCGCTTGACACAAGATGCAGCCTTTGCTTCCTCGCCACTCCCCCTTTTGACTCTGACTTTCAAGGGGCAGGGGTCCTGTCTGCGCGGCACCTGGAACATGTGAGCGTGTGTTGCATATTATGTTAGTGATCAGGTTTGCATGTTGTGGAGTGATTCACTAGCACTTGTCAGGGCCACTTCTGCAGAGCCTTCATCGAGCTGCCCAGACCAGTTCAGCTTTCACTGGCCAATGTGCCCGTAGCACCCTGGTTATGACCCGTGAGTGTTCATTAGCCTTGTTATGCCTCTGTGCCTTGTAGCTGAGCTGAGACAAGAGGGCCTGCCCTGTGAGTAATTAATGGATGAATAACTGATCGAATGTTGAAAGAATGAATGGGCAGTGAACAAAGGTATAAGCAAATGAATGAGCAAATGAATAAACCGAAAAATGAATGAGGCAGAGTGAGTAGGGTGGAAATTAGGAATTCTAGATTTTAGTTGTAGCTCTGACACAAACGACGAAGGTGTGATGGGCAGGACATGTCTACTCTATAAGCCTTCAGAGGCACCTGGCCTCTCCTTGGGAGTATGTGGCACAGTTGTACTTCCCTAACCAGCCCTGTGGTTATTGGTTCTCTCCTTCACTGGAAGGCGGGAGTGATAGTGTGAGATGGTGCTGGCTCCAGTTAGTTCACTGTGTGTCCCAGCTCTCCCATGGGGCCTGGCATATTTGAGTCATAAATAAGTGAAATAGTAAATGGATAAAGGGAAAATAGAATGGAAATTAAAACTGGGGTTGGGGGGAGGATACAGAGAAACAGGAGTAGACAGTCCATGACTCTGAAGTTCTGGAAAGCTTGAAATGGCACGGATGCTTCTTGAAGGGGTTTGGGACTTTTTCATCCACCCATCTCTCATACATGTGATTTCCTCGGCCACCTTGCCAGATCTCCATTATCTATTTTTATTTTTTCAATGTATTAGTAACAGTCATGCTAACACTGTTGGATGAGAGATGGTAGAAGCTTCCTACGATAATTGGTTTTCTGTTAAAATAAAAAGTTCCAATATTAGAATCATCACAGTTTCACATATGCTTAGCATTATTAGAACAGCTCTTGTTCCAGGTAGTTTTTGGTGTAGGGTCTAACCCAGCATTCCCAGTGAGGCTGCAAACACATTTGGTCTGAAAGGAATGTAGCATTCTTCTGAGTGGTCCCCTCCCCTGCACTGGCCCTCTGTTCATCCCTGCCCTGCTCCAAATCCACCCTCCCTGCTGTAGAACTTGTCACTTCAACACCCTGCTACGTCCCCTCTGATGCTTCCCCATTGTCTACAGAGGAAGCATGAAATTTATCAGCAAACTCCTATTCTTCCTGCAAAAACCCACTGAGATGTCGTTCCTGATACCTCCTAAACTGGGCCAACTTCAGAAGGCATTTCTTCATGCCACTACAAAACCCAGTATATGTATTGTATTGGATACAGGGTGGTTTTGTCCTCATTTGGGGCAAAGTTGCAGAATTATGGCCATTTTGCAGTTTTCTCTGGTTACCATGGTTGCATCTAATTGACAGACTCCTTAAGTCAGTTTTATCTTGCAGCAACTTGGAAGCAGCCTTTAAGATAAACTGTGTAAAACACCAGTGCTTCAAGAGAATCTTAGTGTCTTATCCTAACACAAATACTAATTCTGAAATATACCCAGCTAGAAAATCAGAATACGATAAAATGAAATAAGAACCTTGTATGGCAAAAATATCTATCTGGCGACTCCATCTGAAGGCGGAGGGATGGCCATGGCCGATAACATCAGGTGATGAATCAGTTGAGCCGCCTACTGGGCAGCACCTTCACCCACGTCCCATCTTCAGGACCTCGTTTGACATAAGCAGTTTATTAAACGGGAATGTTTTCATATGTTAATGAGTGACTTTAGAGTGATGAGATGACATGCCTTACAGTGACAGTTCTTTATATCTGGAAATCTTCCTAATTAGACATCTTTCTCGCAAGTCAAACGATGTAATTTATCTCGAAGTTGTACGTAAATTGGAGTATTGCTGGGGGCCACTGCTGTTGTCATTAAAACGTTATTTGGTAAATTAAATCTGTATTTAGTTCAGATCTAATGATTGAAATATTATGGTGACATATGGTAGAGAGAGCACTGAGCCTGTTACAGCGCACGAATTTTCTTTCTGTCTTCACTTCACAGTTCATCCCCACATCCCGAAGCTGCACACCTGTCCCAGTTAAACACGGATCCTTGGATGGATCTCTCATATCATGCCTGTCTGTCCCCAGAAAGACCTGGTTACCTGTTCCATCTCCACCCCACTAGCCATTAGAATGTCTTTTCAATTTTCCCTGCTGTTTCTCCCTTATTTGACCCCCTTCTCCCTTATGCTAAGAGCCACTCTGAAGGCCTGGGCCCATGGGTCTTGACTGTCACTGGCCCCAGCCCTCTCCCATGGCATCGAAGCCGAATGGAGGGGTGGGCCGCTGGGCAGCTGCCAGGGGCCCTATCTCGTGCCAACTCCACTAGTGCTGGGCAGTAGCACATCACTGGACCAAATCACTGAGGTTTTGCAGGTGATGGACTTGCAGTAGAGCTGGTGAGTCAGGAGTCAGCACCTTCCTGTTGCTGAGATTGGCAGTGCCTTTGAGGGCAGTGGAGGGACACATAAAACCCCACCCCGTCCAAGTGTTCCCTGGTCCCTGATGTAGAGGACTGGGCCTGGCACAGGCTCTCGGGCCCTGCTACATTCAGCTGAAAATCTGAAACTGAGTGGGGGGAGTATTATTTGCTGGGAATCAATAATTCATTGTATGATGTAAATTTTAAATGTTTACTATGCCTCCCACAACCGTTTTATTTGGAAATGGTATTTTTTAAAACCTTACTTTGCAATTAAAAAGAAAGGCATAATATTTTTTATTAAAAGAAAACCAGTTTACTCCCGTCCCTCCTCATGAGTGTTGAAGAGGTATTGAAGGAACATCAAGCTGGGTGGTTGGAGGAGGGAGTGGGTGGAAAGTTAACCCAGTCAGCCAGCCATCTAAGTGATGGCTGGCCGAGGAGCTCTTCCAGACACCAGTGCCCTATGGAGGCGACACAAAGAGACATCCTCTGTGTCCTCCAAGGCAGCTGCCTGCATCCGTGCTCTTTGTTCAGGCTGTGGTCCAGAGCCCTCTCAGGGGCTGACCTCTCCACGTGGCCATCTGTGCCTGCCTGGTTTCTTTTTTTTCTTTTCTTTTTTTTTTTTTTTTGAGATGGAGTCTCGCTCTGTTACCCAGGCTGGAGTGCAGTGGCGCGATCTTGGCTCACTGCAAGCTCTGCCTCCCGGGTTCAAGTGATTCTCCTGCCTCAGCCTCCTGAGCTGCCTGGTTTCTTAGTCTCATCTCCTATTCCAACCCTTGTCCTACCTCATCACCACCCTCCTCTTCACTCCTTATATGCAGAGGGGCTGTGGGACATGCACTCCTCACTCCCTAAACTGTCCCTTATCAGTGGATTTGATGGCACCTTGCCCACACTCAAAAGTGCCCTCCCTGTGAGGTTGGTTGGGCACATAGCTCTGCAGTCTCCTGTCTGCAGGCACTGGGCGAGATGATATACGTACATGTATGATGATATAGATACATATGATAAAGATATGTAAGATTCCTTTTTGCAAAGGAATCTTTGCAAAAAGAAGGTGTTGTTGTCACCTTCATTTGACAGATAAGAAAAATGACCCTCAAAGAGGTTGAATGATTTGATAAAAGTCAACACAACTATGAAGTGTCACAACATAGAGAGCTCAGGCTTTGGGATGCCTGGATGGGAATCCCAGCTGTACCTCTGATCACTTTAGGATCATAGGGAAATTGCTACTGTCTCTGTGCCTCAGTTTCTCACCTGTAACATGGATGACACCTCATGGGGAAGTTGTGAAAACTGAATGACGTAATATAGGTAAAGAGCCCAGGCAGGACCTGGCACGTGGAAGCTCTCAGCATTGCCAAACTCTGATTAGCCTCTGTCTTTAACTTTCTTCCTGATGGGGTTGATCTCAAAGTCTGGGCATTCAGCCACAGGGAATGTGGAAATGTGGACACAGCCTTCTTGGACCACGCTCTCTAGGGATCTATTTCTCTTGCAGTTTGTGTGTTTCCCTTTCTGTAAATTACAAATGTAATACAATCTCACTGTAACCAGTCATTGTGCCTTCCCCTTCTGGAAATTACAAACGTGATAAAATCTCACTGTCACCAGTCAATCAGTAGGGGAATGTCTACAGAAAAAGGCAGGCAGCCCTCCCTGACTCCGCTTCCCTCCCAGCTCTCTGAGGTGGAGCTTTTTGCATCTCCACCCACACTGTTCTCCATGCCCCCACACAGATCCACAGGTAGGCTTTTCTGTTTTCCAGTGTGATTTCAGATGGAAATGGATTGACAGTCCGCACAGCACTCTTCAGCTCCATGCTTTCCCTTAGCATTTCCACATTCCTCCAGGTCAATAAACTGAGACCCAGCCAACTTGCTCTTAAGCTCCATGATACTCTTTGAACGCTGCAGGGAATTCATAATCTCAAATTAATTTTCCTTGCCACACATAATTTAAACACTGTTCTCTCCTAACACCAAGGTAACTAAGTCTAACTTCACATCAAACAAATGAACAGCCTGAGACCTAGAATTCTGGCCATTTTGCACGGGATCTGGGAAGGAGATCTGTAAGATGCTCACCCAGCTGCTGGGGTCAGAGAGGGGATGAGAAAAGCCATGCACACAGCATGGACGGAAGGACCTCGGCGCTGCTGGTGGCTGGGGATGGAGGGGGTATTAGGTTGGCACCATCCAGATCCTTTTCTCATGGGTGCTGGCATCTGGTAGATCTGACTTTGACTGCCCTACCAGGAGCCAGCTGTGGGCCAGGGAGAGCTGCCTGACATTTTTGCTGAAATGAGCATGACATGGACTTGACCTGAGGCTTAAAGGAGATGGCATACGTGAGCACGTGAAAACGGTGAGCCTCCAAGTGTAGGCAGATTCAGGTCACTGTTAGTAACTGTTTTCTTTTGACTTTTAAAACATACTAAGGCTGGGCGCGGTGGCTCACATCTGTAATTCCAGGAGTTTGGGAGGCTGAGGCAGGAGGATCACATGAGCTCATGAGTTTCAGGCCAGCCTGGGCAACATAGTGAGACCTTGTCTCTACTAAAAAAATAAAATTTAGCTGAATGTGGTGGTGTGTGCCTATAGTGCCAGCTGCTTGGGAGGCAAGGTGGGAGGGTTGTTTGAGCCTGGGAGATCAAGGCTGCAGTGAGCTGTGATCACGCCACTGCACTCCAGCCTGGGTGACAGAGTGAGACTCTGTCTCAAAACAACAACAACAAACCATATTAATGTTGGTTTTCTGTCTATTTGAAAACAGTTTGGCATAGGTTATCTACCCAGCAGAGGCCACGCATCCAAGTATCATTGGCTGTGAACTCACAGTTTGGACAAGTATGACGATAGGAAAAGGGTTTATGTCCCAGCAAGGAATTTTTTTTTTTTTTTTTTTTTTTGAGACGGAGTCTCGCTCTGTCGCCCAGGCTGGATTGCAGTGGCGTGATCTCGGCTCACTGCAAGCTCCACCTCCCGGGTTCATGCCATTCTCCTGCCTCAGCCTCTTGAGTAGCTGGGACTACAGGCGCCCGACACCAGGCCCGGCTAATTTTTTTGTATGTTTAGTAGAGATGGGGTTTCACCGTGTTAGCCAGGATGGTCTCAATCTCCTGACCTTGTGATCCACCCGCCTCGGCCTCCCAAAGTGCTGGGATTACAGGTGTGAGCCACTGCGTCCAGCCCCAGCAAGGAATGTTTTCATGAGATAGGAGGAAGATATTTTTCCTTTGAAGTCTGTACAGACAACCAACAGAAGTTGGGGCTGTTTCTCTGGAGAGACACAATGGAGAGCCAGCTCTCAGGTTCTGTGGGGACTGTCTTAGCTGGGCAGTGCCAGGGTGGCTGACCCCAAGGTGGCTGACCTCTGGCTGGGGCAGCGACCCCTGGCCCTACTGAATCAGAAGAGCCCGTATTTCCAGGTCTTTGGCCACATTTTCTTTGGCATATCTGGTACCTCTTGAAATCAGAGCTGTGAAACCCATAAATGACCCCAGAAGGTCATTTTTATTGGCATTTCTGACCTCTGCTGTGGGGTTGAATCCTACTTTGCTTGCAAGCGTTGCAGTGACACTGTTCACCCTGACTAAGTCTCCATTTGATTCAGAGAGCTGTTAAAGAGTATGAACTTGGGGTACGTGTTGTACTGGATGACTTCACAGAGTATGATGTGGTTTGGCAAAGATAGTGCAGGCCTTTGCAGTGGGAAGATACATTAGTCCTGCTTACTTGTTAAAAAGCATCTTTAATGGAATTTCAATTACACCGTAGCCTCCGGATAAACCCATCTAACTGTTCGAGTCTGGAAAGAAAATACTTCACAGAAAAGTGTGCTCCAGTTATCTATGGCTGCACAATAAACCACCCCAAAATATAGTGGCACTAAACAACCACTTTTCATGATTCTGTGAGTGAGGAATTTAGCAGGATGACCCAGAGACAGACCAGTGACTAGAACCCTCACTGATGGCTGGAGATGGCCGGGGCAGCTGTGCTGGGGCCATACGTTTGGGATCTTGGTTCCCGCTGTTGGCTGGGTTCCCTGGGTCTTCTGCATGTCATTTCTGCTGCGATGGAATGTCCAAAAAGGTTCCTTTACTCACATGCCTGGCTGGGATAGACAGAGCAGCCAGGGCTGGCCAGACACCTTTCTGTCTTCAGATGGCGTCTCCATGTGGGTACCTGGGCTTCCTCACCACGTGAGTGATACTTGCTACATAGTGTCTGGCTTCTGCCAGAGCCAGCATTCTAAGAGGCTCCAAGAGGCTTCTTACAACTCAGCCTCCCGTGTCCCAGAGTGTCACCTCTGTCACATTCGCTGGATCACGCAAGTCACAGGCCGGCCGGTGTGCGAGAGGCTAGGAATTAGACTCCACTTTCCTTCAGGAGGAGAAGCCACCTTTAATTTACTACAAAAAGTTCCTTTTCAGTGTTAACCTTAAAGTATTTTAATATGCTCAAAGTTCAACCTAATGTTCTATTTGAATATTTAATATGTTGTTCAAATGTTTAACCTAATAGCAGAGACTTTCATTGTAGCCCTTAGAATCCTCGAACTATGAAAACATGCCTTTCAGAATTGATTGCGATGAGGAAGAAAACAGCTAGGAAATTCTTACTGCCTTGAAAGCCCTGCTTGCTGCTCATTAGAGATAAAGTGTTCTGCCTGCCCTGGGTTGTGTACCTTCCTGAGCTTCTAGTAAGAGTCGCGTAGTCTCCGATGGAAGGCCTGGGGGTTCCCATGAGTCAGGCACAGGGACCTTGAAGTGTGACAACAGCAGGATCCCCCGGGACGTTCTTCACTTGTTTTCTGGGTTATCATGTCCCGGGGAAGTTGCTGGAACATCTCTGTAAAACTGAAGTTCACATTACAGGCTGGATTCCTATCCTTGGGCTCCCATAACAAAGTACGATAGACAAGGTGGCTTAAGCAACAGAAATTTATTCCTTCACAGTTCTGCAGACTGGAAAGCAGAGATCAAGGTGTTGGCAGCGTGGATTTCTTCTCGAGGCCCTGAGGGAAAATCTGTTCCAGGTCTCCCTCCTAGCTTCCTGTGATTTGCTGGTAATCCGTGACGTGACGTTCCTTGGCTTGTAGATGCATCACCCCGTCTCTGCCTCCTATTCACATGGCGTTCTCCTCGTGTTCATGTCTCGGTGTTCAAATCCCCCTTTTCCTAAGGACACAGTCAGATTGGACCGCGGGCCTCCCCTACTGTCATATGACCTCATCTTAGTCAATAGCATCTGCAGTGAACCTATTTCCAATAAGGTCACAGTCTCAGGTATTGGAGGTTAGGAATTCCTGTGAATTTTGGGGGAAGGACAGATTCACCCCATAACATAGGATAACCACCAAAACTAATAATTCTGATTATTTTTCCTTGGGGAGTAAGAGAAAATGGATAAGGCTATGGGGAAAATCTTATCACTAAATGGAATGCAAATGAGGAAGGGGGATCCTGCTGGAGGGATAGGGTCTGTGTGTAGCTCGCTGCCCACGTGTCCCCCCAAAGCCGGGTGCCCAGGAGGGCCATGCAGGTACTGTGTGCACAGGGAGTGGGTATTCTCATCACAGGTGCTCACCCTGATGCGCCTGTGTCAAGTGGGGCGGGGGGTGCTGGATGTCTCTGGACTGCTGGCCAGGCTGCCTCCTGGGCACAGTGCTCCTGTCTTCTCTGCAGGCCCTTCTAAGGCCTTCATGAGCCCTGTATGGACTCACTTTTCTCAGCTCAGAGGTCAGAGGTGGCATCAGCTTCTATTTTCTGCTTATGGTGGCGTTTGATGTTAATTCTAGTTCTGCTCTAAAGACAGACTGTGACCCCTCTCTGGCCTCTCCCTGGTTTCCCAGGACTGTGTCCATAGCCATTTCTTCATGTCACTTCACTCTATGTGACCTCCAGTGGGTCTCCTCAGGCTCTAGCTGCTTTCTTAGGTCAGTTCTCTGAGGGGGGCATTTTCGGACCTCCCCAGTTTCTGCCAGTCACCCCTATCTAGCCCCATGTGCTCTAATTAGAATGCACTTTAGAAAGACTCATGCTTAAAGTCCGAGTATAAAGGGTTTTTTTTTTTTTTTTTTTGAGATGGAGTTTCGCTTTTGTTACCCAGGCTGGAGTGCAATGGCGCCATCTCGGCTCACTGCAACCTCCGCCCCGTGGGTTCAAGCGATTCTGCTGCCTCAGCCTCCCGAGTAGCTGGGATTACAGGCGCCCACCACCACACCCAGCTAATTTTGTATTTTTACTAGAGACAGGTTTTCTCCATGTTGGTCAGGCTCATCTTGAACTTCCAACCTCAGGTGATCTGCCCGCCTTGGCCTCCGAAAGTGCTGGGATTACAGGCATGAGCCACCCCACCCGGCTCCAAGTATGAAGTTTTTAGGAAAATGTCTTATGCAACATGTTTCGTTTCTGAAGATGGGCGATGCATTGGGCACTATTGTCTGTGGCTTGGCTGCTAGCATGCTTGCTTCTTACCACGGTTATTTATTCATGCCAGCACCCCAGGCTGCAGAGGAACTCAGGACACCACCTAATCTATTTTCTTCCCTTCAGGAAAAAAACTCAAAGCTTTTTAGCGAAATGAGAATTTATTCCTTTTTTTTTCTCTTTGAAAATATTCAATAATCAACTTCCATTAGAAGCTACCTATAAATAATCAGCATAAATAATTGAGTCTCAGTGGTCTAAAGTAACCACAGATTTTGCATTTTAAATCCAGTGTTTACATGTAAAGCTATGGCTATAGAGTTACACTGGGGTCACGATGATTTCATCTTTTTTTTTGCTGAATTTTAAAACCACCTTCTTTTTGTAATTTCCTGTTTAACTTTGTTATATCTTTGAGGATGCGATGAGAAATTTAACAACTTTCTTCGACCTCTTGTTTAGCTGGTACTAGTGTAAATTTTATTAAAGTATATTTTCTTTTGTCTGTAGTTTTGCCTATTGAGCAGTGCACTTTATCTTACTGTACACCTAAATTATTGACACGGATTATTTATGCTTTAGGTGTTTATATTCAGTTAATCCTGGCAGAAGAATCAGGCTGACAGTGTTGGAGAGGTTCACAGAGAAAATTCTGTTGTGGTTTTGGGGATGATTCGGTGTCCCTCCCCTTAGACTTTCCCTGCTTCCATCACCTCAGCTGCACTGGTGAATCAGTGCTGCAGGTGTGATGGGTGTGGAAACCAGATTCTTGGTCTGTCGGGTGCCTGCCTTTCCCCTGAGGAGCCTGCACTATCAGCCGTGGTTTCAAAGCTTTTGTGCTTTATTTTCTTTACTTAAGTAGAATTGTTGGGGTGAGAAGACGGAGCCTGCAAGGGCAAGTGACTTGTCTTCCCAGCCGCTCAGCTTGCATTTTTGGTTGGTGGATTAACGATCATGCTGTCATTGCTGAATATCGGTGCACCAGTGTTCATACAGTATGCTCAGTTCATGGGGATGTTTAGATGTCACAAGGGAACCCTCTAATTCTGTCAGTTGCACATAGATAGATGAGTCCCTCCTGCTCGAAACTGGATTAGGAGAGTCAATTTCTGGAGGTATGAAAGATGTTTTGAGCATCAGTGCCAAGGACTCGTCTCAGATTCCTAGTGCCCATCGAGAGGCCCCGGACAGGTGTTCTGACCTGACCTCCCCATCTCCTGTGTTGCACTGTGGCCTTCATGACAGGGTAGTATGAGAGGTGTCCCCAGCCCATCACTCAGTCCTCACTGGGTCCTTCATGTGTGTCCATTGTGCTTTTCCCTCCTCCCGGCGGGCCTGCTGTCCAGCGGCACAGACGTCAGCTATTGATCCTCGTGCCACCTGCTGCCGATTGAGAAGCTGCCCTCTTTGGTCCTTCTAAAAGTCATGCTCTAAAATTATTCCTCCATACATCAGTTTTACACCAAGCAAACATTAAGCCCTCATTCCGTCAGTGTAAAACTCACACCACATGTAAATTAATTTGGGTGGGGGATTGAATCCCTGGCAGTGGCAGCTCAGGGGCTTGCCCTGGGTATAGTGGGGACACAGCCCCTGAGCCTGGCCCTGGGGATTCTGCAGCAACCAGCAGCTGTTGGTTTATAAAAGCAACTTACTGTGGGGTGGGGTGTGGTTGGCTGTGATATTTATGCGTTGTGATTGCCATTTGGATTTTTAAATAAAGTTCATCCTTTAGAATAGTTTTATATGAACAGAAAAATTGCCAAGATAGTGTAAAGAATTCCCAGTTTCTTTGTTTGTAACATCTTACATTACTATGGTGCATTTGTTAAAATGAATGAGCCAATATCGCTACATTATGATTATGTAAAGTCCATGGTTATTCATATTTCCTTAGTTTTTACCTAATGTTTTTTGTCTCTCCCAGGATACCATCCAACCCCACATCACGTTTCGTCGCCATGTTGCCTTAGGCTCCTCACAGTTGTGGCTTTTTCATAGACTTTCCTCACTTCGTATGACCTCGACAGTGTTGAGCAGTACTGGTCAGTGTTACGTAGGGTGCCCCTCTATTAGGATTTCTCTGATGTTTTTCTCATGATTAGACTGGATTTGGAGGAAGAAGACCAGAGAGGTAAAGACCATTATTTATTTATTTTTTTTGAGACAGAGTCTCGCTCTGTCGCCCAGGCTGGAGTGCAGTGGCGTGATCTCGGCTCACTGCAGTCTCTGCCTCCCGGGTTCAAACGGTTCTCCTGCCTCAGCCTCCTGAGTAGCTGGGACTACACGCTCATGCCACCACTCCTGGCTGAATTTTTTTTTTTTTTTTGTATTTTTAGTAGAGGCCGGGTTTCACCATGTTGGCCAGGATGATCTCCATCTCCTGACCTCATGATCCACCTGCCTTGGCCTCCCAAAGTGCTGGGATTATAGGCATGAGCTGCCGCGCTCGGCCAAGACTGTTCTTATCTCATCACATCAGGGGGACATACTATCAGTAAGGCATCACTGTTGATGTTGACTTGATCACCTAGCCAGGTGATCACTGAGGGAGTGATTGGCAGTTTTCTCTACTGTGAAGTTCTACCTGCCCACCTTCCTATATTGTATTCTTTGGAAGGAAGTCACTATGTGCAGCCTCCACTTAAGGAGTGGGGAATCATGTTCCTCTTCCCTGAGGGCGGAGTATCTACATAAAGTATTTGGAATTTTTTCCCTTGGGAGATTTGTCCCTTCTTTACTATTTATTTACTTGTGTGTTCAATCATGTATTTATAGAAATATGGACTCATGGATATTTATTTTATACTCACAGTTATAATCCAATGTTACTTTATTGTTAAAAGTTGGCTTCTGTGTTCCTTTGACACACCCCCATCATTGTGAGGTTATTAATTTTTATCACGTTCTTACTTTCTGGCACCACAAGAGGTTCCTGGCTCATTTTGTATGTTTCCTGCCCTAGTCCATGGGCAAATTGGCCATTTCTCCAAGAAAGCTCTGGTTCTTTTGGTTGGAGGTTGGCATTAGAAACCAAAATCTCAGTGCCAGGTGTGCTTGTTATTACTGGGTGGGGGAGAGGCCTTTGCTTCTAGGTTCACTCAGCTGACAAAACAAGGAAATACATTGGTTCCTCTTTATTCGCAGTTTTCATTTCCGTGGTTTCAGTTAGGTGCGGTCAATCATGGTCCAAAAATATTAAATAGCAAATTTTAGAGATGAACAATTCATACTTTTTTTTTTTTTTTTGAGACGGAGCCTTGCTCTGTCACCCAGGCTGGAGTGCAGTGGTGCGATCGCAGCTCACTGCAACCTCCGCCTCCTGGGTTCACACCATTCTCCTGCCTCAGCCTCCCGAGGAGCTGGGACTACAGGCACCTGCCACCATGCCCGGCTAATTTTTTGTATTTTTTAGTAGAGACGGGGTTTCACCATGTTAGCCAGGATGGTCTCGATCCCCTGACCTCGTGATCCACCCGCCTCGGCCTCCCAAAATGCTGGGGTTACAGGTGTGAGCCACTGCGCCCAGCCTAGTTGTTCTATTTTATTATTAGGGATCATTGTTAATCTCTTACTGTGCCTAATGATAAATTTTATCAAAGGTATGTATGTATAGGAAAACACATAGTATACATAGGGTTCAGCATTATCTGTTTTTTCAGGCACCTACAGGGGTATTAGAATAGGGTATTCCACACATATAAGGGAGGACGACTGTATATGAGTGTATACCAACACATGTATATACCTGTAACCTGTAACTATTTCTATATATAACCATCAATAGTCTATTAAGCTAAACATGAGTTCATAGTGATGTCTTCAATGCCAATCCTTTACAGCGTGGATCAGTCCAGCCTCCTCCCCTGTTCCCACTCCAGCAGTGAGAAACCTGGTTCTCACCATCTGCCATCCATTTACTTAATGGTCAGTTTCAAAATACGTGAGTAGTGGTATCAGAACTATTAACCACTGCCCACCTGGGAAACAAATTTATCAACTAGAGTTCATCACTGATGTACAGCTTCTTTGGCCTTTAGTATTACAGACTCCATGATTTTCAGAGTTACTTAAGTCAGCACCTTTTCCCCCCAACCCCTTTCAGTGAGGTTGTTTCGTAGATTGTTTTTTGTCACATTTTGCAAAATTAGGATCCTGAGATCCTCCCACCTTTTAAATACTTTTTAAAAGTTAGCATATCTGCAGATTAGCTCTTTGGCCTGTACAGTTCAATGGGTTTTGACAAATGCATAGTCATGTATCCACAATTACATATCATAAAAATAGTTCACCACCCTGAAAAATTCTCTGGACTTCACTTATTTAATCCTTCCCTCTCTCCCTGAACTCTTACTGATCTTTTCACTATTACTACCGTTTTGCCCTTTCCAGAATGCCATGTCATTGGAATTATGCAATATGTTACTTTTTAAGATTCACTTATTTCACATAGCAATATGCATTAAGATTCATCCATATTGTTTTATGGCTGGATTCTTCATTTATTTTTATGGCCAAATAACATTTCATTATGTAGATGTACCACAGTTTGTTTATCCATTCACCTATTTAAGATACCTTGCTTGTTTACAGTTTTTGGCAATTAAAAATAAAGCTGCTATAAACAATCACATGCAGGTGTTTTCAAATCAGTTATGTAAATACCTAGGAATATGATTGCTGGATCATACAATAAGACTATGTCTCGTTTTGTAAGAAACTTTTAAACTGTTTTCCTAAGTGGCTGTTTTACATTCCTATAAGCAATGGATAAAAATTCCTGTTGGTCTGCATCCTCACTAGCAATTGCATCCTCATCAGCAACTGACAACAAATACTGTCCATTTTTGGATTTTAGCCATTGTGATAGGTATGTAATGGTATCTTATTGTTGCTTTAATTTGCAGTCCCCTACTGGCAAATGATATTGAACATTATGTCATATGCTTATTTGCTGTTCCTGTATCTTCTTTGGTGATGTTTGTTCAGATCTTTACCCTCTTTTTTTTTTTTTTTTTGAGATGGGGTCTTGCTCTGTCGCACAGCCTGGACTGCAGTGTTGCAATCTCGGCTCACTGCAAGCTCTACCTCCCGGGTTCACGCCATTCTCCTGCCTCAGCCTCCTGAGCAGCTGGGACTACAGGCGCCCGCTAGCACACCTGGCTAATTTTTTTGTATTTTTAGTAGAGACGGGGTTTCACTGTGTTAGCCAGGATAGTCTCGACCTCCTAATCTCGTGATCCTCCCACCTCGGCCTCCCAAAGTAAAGTGCTGGGATTACAGGCTTGAGCCACCGCGCCCAGCCACCTTCTTTTAAAGTTAGACATTTTGTTTTCTTATTGTTGAGTTTTACTTTTCTTTATACATTTTGGATACAAATTCTTTATCAGATATGTGTTTTACAAATATTTTCTTTCAGTCTGTGACTTCTCTTTTTCTTCTCTTAACAGTGTCTTTGAACCAAACCCCAAATCACCAAGATATTCTGTGTTTTCTTAAAGAACTTTTATAGTTCTGCATTTTACATTTAGGTGCATGATCCCTTTTGATATAATTTTTTGAGTAAGGTGTAAGTTTTATGTCTAGGTTTCTTTTTTTTTGCATATAGATGTCCAATTTTTCCAGCACCATTTGTTGAAAAATCTTCTCTTTTTTCCATTGAATGACTTTGTTGATATTTCAAAGATCAGTTAACTATATTTATGGGCTTTATTTCTGGGTTCTCAATTCCATTAAATTGATCTCTTTGTCTGTTCTTTTGCCAATACCATGTTGACTTGTTTATACTATTTTTATTGTAAATCTTTAAATTGGGTATTGTGAGTGCTTCAACTTCTTTTTTCTTCTCCTTTAGCATTTTGTTGGCTATTCTAGGTCTTTGGCCTCTTCATATAAGTTTGAGAATCAGCTTTTATCTACAAAATAGTTTTTGGATTTTGATTAGGGTTGCATTGGATTTATAGATCTAGTTGAGAAGAATTGACATATTAACAATATTGTCTTTCTGTCCATGAACATGGAATATCTCTATATTTATTTAGGTAATCTTTGAACTCTTTCATTTGAGTTTTCTAGTTTTCTACATATAGTTCTTATACATATTTTGTCAGATTTATACCTAAGTATTTCGTTTTCTTGGTGCAGTGTTTAATGGTACATTTTAAATTTCAAATTCCAATTTTTCATTGCTGGAATATGGGAAAGCAATTGACTTTTGTATATTAATATTGTATCCTGTGACCTATGCTAGCTTATTAGTTTGAGAGTTTCTTGACAGTTCTTTGGGATTTTGTACATGAACAATCATATCATTTATGAACAAAGACAGTTTTATTTCTGACTTTTCAATCTATGTATCTTTTATTTCCTTTTCTTGTATTATTGCATTAGCTAGGACTTCTAATATGATGTTGAACAGAAGTAGTGAGAGAGGATATCCTTGCCTTGTTCTTTTTTGGGGGAAAGTGTGCAGTATTTCATTATTAGGTGTGATGTTAGCTTTTTATAAACACTTTTTATCAAGTTGAGGAAGATCATCTTTGTTCTTAGTTTGTAGAGAATTTTCTTTCATAAATGAGTGTTAGATTTTGCCAGATGCATTTTCTGCATCAATTGATGTGATATGATTTTTCCTCATTAGCCTGTTGATGTGGTATATTGCATTGACTGATTTTCAAATATTGTACCAGTCTTGCATACTTATAATAAATCCCATTGGGTTGAAGTATATAATTCTTTTCATACATTTTTAGTCTTGCTAATATTTTGTTGAGAACTTTATGTCCATGAGAGATCTTGGTCTGTAGTTTCCCTTTTTTATGCTCTATGTATCTGGTTTTGGCATTAGGGTAATGCTGGCCTCATAGAATAAATTAGGAAGCGTTCCCTCTGCTTCTGTTTTGTAGAAGAAATTGCAGAAAACTGATACTATTTTTTCCATCAGTGTTTAGTAGGATTCGTCAGTGAAATCACCTGGGCCTGCTGCTTTCTTTTTTGGAATATCGTTAATTATTGATTCAGTTTCTTTAGTAGCTTTAAACCTGTTCAGACGATCTAGTTCTCCTTGTATGAGTTTTGGTCATTTGTATGTTTCAAGGAATTAGTCCTTTTTCTAATTTGTCAAATTTAGAGGTATAGAGTTCCTTTGTTATCATTTTAATGTCCATGGATTAATATTGGTAATCCCTTAATTTATTTCTGATATTAATAATTTGTGTATCCTTTTTTCTGAGTCTAATTTTCTCTATTATTTTTCAATTTTCTATTCAGATTTCTGCCTTAATTTTTAGTATTTTCTTTTTTCTGTTTGCTTTATGCTTGGATTGCTCTTCTCTCTCTAGTTTCCTAAGGTACACGCTTATATTATTGGTTATAAACGTTTCTTCTTTTCTGTTATAGGCATTTAGTGCTGCAAATTCTCCTTGAGTATGGCTTTTGCTATACACAATAGTGATAAGTTGTATTTTCATTTTCATTTAGTTCAAAGTATATTTTCATTTCACTTGAGACTTCTTTCAACCATATGCTATTTAGAAATGTGTTTTAAAATCTCCAAGTATTTGGGAATTTCCATCTTTTTCTGTTAGTGATTTCTAGTTTCATTCTACTGTGGTCTAAGAGCATACTTTGTATGATTTCAGTTCTTTTAAATTTGTCTAGGTGTGTTCTCTGGCCAAGAATGTGGTCAATCTTGGTGAATGTTCCCTGTGAGCTTGAGAAGAATGTGTATTCTGCTGTTGTTGGATGTAGTCTATAGATGTTGATGATGTATCAATTACTAAGAAGAAAATGTTGAAGTCTTCAACTATAATAGTACATTTGTCCATTTTTCCTTTCAGTTCTGTCAGTTTTTGCCTCATGTATTTTGACGCTCTGTTTTTAGGTGCATACATGTTAAGGATTGTTATGTCTTCTTGGAAACTGACCTTTATATCACTATGGATGCTCGTATTGACCTCTGATAATTTCCCTTGTCCTAAAGTCTGCTTTCTCTGAAACTAATATTGGTACTCCAACTTCCTTTTGATTAGCATAGCACACTATAACTTTCTTCATCCCTTCACTTCTAATCTGAGTCTTTATATATAAAGTGGATTTTTTGTAGACTACATATAGTTGGCTTTTTATTTTATCTACTCTGATAGTTTCTGTCTTTTAATTGGGATATTTAGGTTATTTACTTTAAAGTGATTATTGCACAGTTGGATTGATGTAGTTAAAAATATCTACATGGTTGGGCACAGTGGCTCATGCCTGTAATCCTAGCACTTTGGGAGGCCAAGGTAGGCCAATTGCTTGATCCCAAGAGTTCAAGACCAGGCTCTAAAAAATAATAATAATAAAAATAAAAAAATAGCTAGATGTGTGCCTGTAGTCTCAGCTACTCAGGAGGCTAAGATGGGAAGGTCACTTGAGCTCAGGAAGGTTGGGGCTGCAGTGAACAATGATCGTGCCACTGCACTCTAGCCTGGGCCACAGAATGAGACCCTGTATTAAAAAAAAAAATTCTACTATGTTTGTAACATTTTTTGTTGTTGTTCACTTCTTTCCCTTTTTTTCCCTGCCCTTTCTGGTTTGAATAGAGCATTTTTAATGAATCCATTTTATCTCCTCTTTTAGCATATCAATTACACTTCTTTTACAAATTATTTTAGTGGTTGCCCTAGAGTTTTCACTCTACATTTTCAACTACTCTATATTCACTCTCAAATAACACAATACTGGTTCATATCTAGAATAGGTACTGTTTGGGAAAAAATTTCTCAAACTGTGTTTTTCCTCTGCTCTCACAGCACAACGATAATCAACACAGAACCTTCTGTGACCTAAATTGTGGGGGTTTTCCCCACACAGCAGGGAGTGGCCACCAGATGCTTATTCTCTAATTTAATTTTAACATCTTCTACTTGGAAATAACCTCAGACCTCACTGGTGCAGAGCCTGGAACCCATGGCTGCCCCCTCTCCCAACACTAGTCCTAAGTCCAGGCCTCTAGGACTTCTGACCAATCAGCTTTCATTTGGGGTTCCCACAGCCTTCTCTTTGGGTTTGATTAATTTGCTGGAGCAGCTCACAGAACTCAGGGAAACACTTAACATTTACTGGTTTGTTATAAAGGATATTAGAAAGGACACCGATGAGGAGATGTATAGGGTAAGATAGGAGGAAGGTGTACTTGGGTTCCATGCCCACTTCAGGACGCCACCCTCCAGGAACCTCCGTGTGTTCAGCTATCAGGAAGCTCTCTGAACCCGGTCCTCTTGGGTTTTTATCGAGGCTTCATTGTGTAGGCATGATTGATTAAACCACTGGCTATTGGTGATCAACTTAGCCTTCAGGCCCTCTCCACTCCCTGGGGTTGGGGGATTGGGCTGAAAGTCCCAACCCTCTAATCCTGCCTCTGTCTTTCCAGTGAGCAACCCCATCCTGAAGCTGTCAGTTAACATTAGCATCATTAGCAAAAGGACTTTGGGGATTCCAAGGATTTTAGGAATTGTTTGCCAAAAAAAGAGGTCAAGACCAAATATTTCACAGTATCACAGGTACCTTATAAATGAGTATTCTCTGTTTCCTTCTTCCATTTCTTATGACATTGCTATCATTCATTGCATTTATCCATATGCTATAATCACTCAATAGATGTTGACTATTATTACCGTAAACCGAAAGGTATCTGAGACAGGTCTCAAGCAATTTAGAGGTTTATTTAACCAAGGTTAAGGATGCATCCGGGAAAAAGGAACACAAAACCACAGGAACAATCTGTGATCTTACTTTTTCCCAAGAGGATTTTGAGGTCTTCAGTATTTAAAGGGGAAAAGTGGGCAGGAAGGGAAGGAGGGTGGGTGTGGTCACATCACTGAATCCACGTGTTGCACGTGAAAAGGAGGAGACATAGAAATAATCGATTATATATTCATCTAGTGCTCAGCAAGTCGACACTTTACACAAGATAAAGTAAACACAGAGCAGCACTCGTGGAGACAGCTGGCCTCTGTCTGGCCTTTTATCTTTAGCTGTCTGCTGGGCAACAAAAGGAAAGGCAGCTTCTTGTGTGACTCAGCTTCCAACTTAATTTTTCCCTTTGCCATAGTGAATTAGGGTCCCGGGATTTATTTTTCTTTCATATTACTTTAAGCAAACAGTTATCTTTTAGATCAATTAAGAATAAGAAAATATATGAGTGGTTGAGGAGATGTTGGTCAGGGGATAAAAAATTTATCTTAGATAAAAGGGATAAGTTCAGGAGATCTACTGCACAATGTGGTGACTATAGGTAATAACAGTGTAGTGTATTCTTGAAAATTGCCAATAGAATATATTTTAAGTGTTCTTAACACAAAAAATAAGTATGTGAGGCAGTGCATGTGTTAATTAGCTCAGTTTAACCCCTCAACAATGTATGCGTATTTCAAAACAACATGATGTGCATAATACATATATATAAGTTTGTCAATTAAAAAATAAGTTTATATTCAAATTTTTAAAAAAATAAGAAAAATAAGACTTTATTTTACCTTCATTTATTCCTTCTTCAAAGCTCTTTTCTTTCCTTGTGTAGATCTGAGTTTCTGACCTATTTCATTTTCCTTTCTTCAAAGAACTCCTTTTTTTTAAATTTAAATTTTAATTTTTAGTTCTGGGGTACATGTGCAGGATGTGCAGGTTGGTTACATGGGTAAACGTGTGCCATAGTGGTTTGCTGCACCTATCAATCCATCACCTAGGTATTAAGCCCAGCATTCATTAGTGATGTTTCCTAATGCTCTCCCTCCCCGCCCACTCCCCCAAACAGGCCCCAGTGTGTGTTGTTCCCCTCCCTGTGTCCATATGTTCTCATTGCAAAGAACTACTTTTAACATTTTTTGCAGGTCACTTTGCTGGTGACACATTTCCTGCATTTTCCTTTCTCCGAAAAAGTCTTTATTTCTTTTTCACTTTTTTTTTTCTTTTTTTTTTTTTGAGACAGAGTCTCACTCTTGTCACCCAGGCTGGAGTACAGTGGCATCATCTCAGCTCACTGCAACCTCCACCTCCTGGGTTCAAGCAATTCTCCTGCCTCAGCCTCCCGAGTACCTGGGATTATAGGTGCCCGCCACCATGCCCAGCTAATTTTTTTGTTTGTTTGTTGAGATGGGATTCCACCATCTTGGCCAGGCTGGTCTCGAACTCCTGACCTTGTGATCCACCCGCCTTGGCCTCCCAAAGTGCTGGGATTACAGGCATGAGCCACCGCGCCCAGCCTCTTTTTCACTTTTATGGGATAATTTTGCTGGATATACATGTCTAGGTTGGTGGGATTTCTTCTTTCATCACTTTAAATACTCCACGCTCTTCATGCTTGCCTTTTGATGATAAATCGACTGTAATTCTTATATTTGTTCATCTATGGTAAGGTGTTATTTTTTTCTCTGGTTTCTTTCTAGATCTTCTCTTGGACTTTGGCTTTCTGCACTTTGAATGAGATGCCTCAGCGTAGAGTTTTTGGTAGTTATCCTGTTTGGGTTCTCCAAGCTTCTTTGATCTCTGGTTTGGGGTCTGTTTGGAAAGCTATCAGCTTATTTTATTAAATAAAATAAATGTAATTTAATTTATCATTATTAAATTACATTTGGAAAGTTTATCAGTTTATATTACTTTAGATGTGTCATCTATTCCATTCTCTTTTTGCCTTTTAATATTCCTGTTATACATATATTACACTTTCTGAAATTATACAACTGTTCTTGAGTGTTTTATGGTGGTTATTTTATTTTTATTTTTTCTCATTCTTTCTTGCACTTTAGTTTGGGACATTTGTGTTGACCTATCTTCAAGCTCACTGTTTCTTTCCTCAGCTGTGTCTGGTCTACTTAAGAGCCCATCAAAGGCAATTTTCATTTCTGTTACAGTGTTTTTGATTTCTAGCATTTTCTTTGATTTTTTCTCAGACGTTCCATCTCTGCTTATACCACCCATCTGTTCTTGCATATTTGTCCATTTTTCCCATTGCAGCCCTTAGCATATTCACCACAGTGGTTTTAAATACCCCATTTAGTCCTTCCAAATTCTCTGCTGTGTCTCAGTCTGGTTCTGTTGCTTGCTCTGTCTCCTCAGACTTTTTTCCTTGCCTTTTACCATGCCTTCTAATTTTTTGCTGAAAACCAAATATAGTGTATCAGATAATAAGAATTAAAGGAAACAGGCCTTACCTGTGAGGTTTTATATTAATATGGCTGTTATTAGGCTCTTAATATTTGCTGTAGCTGTAGGTGCCAGAGGGTTCAAATTCACCTATTTCTCTTGTTTTTGTCCTTTTCTTGTCTTTGGATTTCCCTAAGAATGCTTTCTTGTGTCTAGCAGCTCCTTCAACTGTAATTTGTGGTAGTTATACTGCAGCCCTGTTGCTGTGGTGGGAAGGTGTGTGTGTGGTGTGTTTTACTCTGATGATGAAATTTCAGTCTTTTAGTGGGCCTGTATCTCTGGGCTATCACCTTAACAAGCGTTTCTAGCCTTTTATTCCTGCCTTAGGTGAGACAGGAAGGCTGCACGGGCATGGGGTCAGGAAAACGCCTTCCCCCAGATGGAATACTGTGTTGGAGAGCAGGCCTTTGTTATGGAGAAGGTTCTGTTCATTTGTCACTAGGACTAGCCTTTCCCTCCCCTGCTACAGCCATCAGGGCTCTTAACCCTGAGAATCTGGTGATGTTCTCAGAGGCAAAACACACAAAAGTGTATGGTGTCCCCCTAAAACTGCAGCCCCAGCAGTCTCACTTGGAGGCTGGTCCACCCTCAGCCTCCAGCAATTTGTCAGAATTAACGTTTGGAGGCTCCAACTGGGGGCTGGCCCAGCAGCATCTCTAGGTGAGCAGATCTCAGCCGGGACCCTGTGCATTCCCATCTCTTCAGATTTCCCAGTGGCAGTTTGTTCTGCAACCTCAGCTCTCTGAGGGGTCCAAGAAAGGTTGCTGAGTTTCTGTTTGTTCAGCTTTTTTCTTATCATAAGGATGGGAGTGACAACTCCAAGCTTTTTACGTGTTGGAACTGAAACTGGATGTCCTTGTTTGGCTTTTTAAAGATAAATTTGTTATTCCAGATGAATTTCTCACCCAGTGGTTTATGTGTCAGAAATCTGGGCATCTCCGCTTCCCTAGTCCAGGGGCACAGATGCTCTGCCATTGGACTGATGGCAGCAGTGAATTTCAATAGGGAATTAGATGGCACTTGAACAACCCAGGACCTCTGTTCACTCAGCCTGCATTGACTTGTGCTACTTCAGAGGAAACTGGGGCTGTCTGAGCTTCTTGTTCCAAAAGAATGGTCAGTGCTTTAAAGCAGGGGTCTGGCTTGCACTTTCTCTTTCTCTCCACTGGTCTCTAATGTGAAAACCCAAGAGTTTATAGAACATGGAAGCCTTCAGATTTCCGTTCATCTGAAGTGAAGTAAGAAGTGGCCTGCCATTAACTATTTCTCGTGTCTTCAGTACCCATGGCGGTTGTGAGGGTCTCCCTGGCACTTCCTCTCAGGGCTCTGCCTTGGTTTGAGTATGCAGTGCAGATGGCAAAATGAGATGTTCTTACTTTTCATAGCTTTGTTTTGAATAGAGTAGGTACTTTAGGTGGTATACAGTTAATCGTTGCTTTTAATTTTACATATGACTGTAAACAAATTGGCTTCTCTTTGGTAACAGTTTTGTAGAGGAAATGGCTATGTGATGGTAGATGTTCCTGGAGAAAGGGAGCATTCAGTTTGCAGAAACTGGTTTCTACCTAATCTTTGCCAGTTTGGGTTCATCTTTTGCACTAAGCCAACCAATAGGAAAATGTATAAGCCTACCTTGGAGAGCTTGTGGGTTCTGTTGCAGACTATTGCAATAAGACGGTTATCACAATAAAGCAAGTCACACACATCCTTTGGTTTCCCAGAGCATATCAAAGTTACGATTACACTAAGCTGTAGTCTAGTAGGTGTGCAGTAGCATTGTATCTTTAAAAAGTGTACATACCTTAATTTGGCCGGGCGTGGTGGCTCACACCCTTAATCTCAGCACTTTGGGAGGCCGAGGTGGGCGGATCACGAGGTCAGGAGATCGAGACCATCCTGGCTAACACGGTGAAACCCCGTCTCTACTAAAAATACAAAAAATTAGCCAGGTGTGCTGGCAGGCGCCTGTAGTCCCAGCTACTCGGGAGGCTGAGGCAGGAGAATGGCGTGAACCCAGGAGGCGGAGCTTGCAGTGAGCTGAGATCGTGCCACTGCACTCCAGCCTGGGTGACTGAGCAAAACTCCGTCTCAAAAAACAAAAAACAAAAAAAAAGTGTACATACCTTAATTTAAAAATACTTCATTGCTAAAATATACCGACAGAGAGACATGAAGTGAGCACACGCTGTGAGAAAAATGATGCTGATAGACTTGCTCCTTGCAGGGTTGCCACAAACCTTCAATTTATCAACAACGCAGTATCTGTGCAGTGCAATGCAACGAAGTGCAATAAAACACGGCCTGCCTGCAATTACTCCTTCAAGTTTGTTGCTGGGAATTTTCCATCAACATATGAAGAGCTCTCTGGAAACGCGGAAAATTTACACCTCTAATCAGGAGTGTTTTGTTGCCTGTGAGAGCCATGTTTCGGTGGACATTCAGAAACACTGTCATGAGGTTTCAAAATCATCGACATTGCCACCGTGCAAAAGCCACACCCTCATCTCACCTTGAGAGCTAGCCAGAGTGGGCGCTAGTCTGTTCATCTCACCACAGCCTCCCGCCTCCTTCTGTGGGTCAGTGCTGAGAATTCTTCTCTTCATCCCACCCGGGTCGGATGAAGGCCTCTGGATCTTGCTGCTGTGACAGTTTTTGCCTCTTTGAGGTGGGTTGGCCTCAACAGCCATAAGTTCAATTCTGCATGAGCCTGTAGCAGCACTTTTTGCTTTAGGGCCATTCCCCATGTTTTCTAGATTAATATAGAAACATTATTGGAGTGATATTATATTGAATTTTTCTATGCTATGTCTAATGCACTCAAGCATTTTAATAAGCCAGCAGTTATGATAATTTTAATGGGAGATTCGTGTTCCGTTTTGCATATGTGATGAACTTGAATTTGATTGAGTCTTTGAATGCAACTCTCGAGAGTATAAAGATCTAGTTCTTTAATGCTTTGAGGTCTGTTCCTGACTATTTTGATTCAAATATTTCTTCATTTTAAAATTATTCTATTTACCAGGACATTTGAAAGGGAACAATGTTTTGCCTGTAGCTTTCTAATTGACCTAATCTGATTACTGTGTGTTTTTTATGAAACAGTAGGCAGAATATGTCAGCAAAGTTTTAGGTACAGCAGGCTTAGCAACTGCGGTCCCACAAATTAAATGTTATTTATGGTAATAGTTATATGTAGTTTTATGGGTGTTACTCAGAATAACATCATTATATCTGGTATTTGAATTGGGCACTAATTGAGGAATACATTTGGGCATAAATTTAGTTCTATTCTAGTATTGCTATTTTGTGTAATTATAAAACCAAAAGGCTTCATTCTTTATTTCCTCTTTAAAACTCCATGTGAAATCTTACTTTGATGTGATGTTTAGGAAAATATTTTTAGTAATTTGGCATAGTTAAATTCATACCAAAATAAAAAATAACTGGCCTTTGTTTAGTTCTGCTATATGACAGGCTTTGTAATATGTAATAAAACAAATTTGTAATATTTGTTTCCCCCAGTGATTTTAAGTGACCTCTTTATCATATACTAATTTGTCTTGTAACTTAGGTTTATGTGTCTTCTTTTTAAAAGGAAGGAATTCAGGTTCCCAAAACATAGGAAATTTTTACAAACTGGCTGTGTGACTAAGTAGCAGAGTTATTATCTGAACCCATATTTTCATATTTTTCGACATTTACATTGTGGATATCTCAACTATATACACAAGTAAAGAGAATGACATATTGAACCCTATGCATCCATTACTCAGCTATAGCTGCCAGCCACTCCTGGACAGTCTTGCGTCATCAGTACCCCACCACTTCTCCCTTGGATGAAGAAAGCAAGCCTGAGACATCACATTATTTTGTGTCAAAATACATACATGCCTACCTCTAAAAGAGAAGGTGGCCCTTATTTTTTATTTTTAAAATGATATAGTCACAATGCCATGATCACAACTAATAGATACCAATAATTTGGTTTATCATCAAATACCTCATGTTCAAATTTCTGTGTGCCTGTTTCTCTCTTTTTGCATTGGGTTGTTAGGTCTCTTAAGTCTCTCTGTCTCTCTTCTTTATTTTCCCTTGCTGGCCCCAGTGAGCAGAGGCCACCAGAGCTCCCATGTCTCTTGATTATCCTTCAGGAAATAAACCACTTGAGATATACAATTAAATGGTGATATGTTACAGTCAGTTTAAACCGCTCTCTGTGGTTAAGGCACCTGCTCGTTTTACTGGTTCACTTATTTCATTTTGCTTTTGATTTTAGGGATTTTAATTAATTTTTGATTTAATTTTGTTTCATAATTATATAAGACATTTACTGTTACAAAGTCAAATCTATGCAGTAAAGTGTTTTCCCCTGAAAATTCTAGTTATCATTTCTGTCCTGTTTGTATTCCTTGTCTCCCCACCCCCCGGCCCTATAGTAACTACTCGTAGATTTTCGCTTTGTCCTTTCATTTCTAAATTATAAGCAAGCACATGTGCTGTACACATACTGCATGTACGTGTGCCTACCTTGCACATTGTTCCAGCCTTTGGTTTTATAACTTAGTGATATCGCGTGGGGTCAGTCTGTAGCAGTGTATAAAGACATTTCTTATTCCTGTTTACTGCATAATGCGGTTTATCATTTGTCTTTCATTTGTCTTTTTTATTTGCTTCTGGTAGTATTCATATGTAAAGATTTGTATTTTATGTAGTTAAGTTCATCAGTTTTTCCCTTATTACTTTGGACTGTGAGTTATAGGAAATATTTCTCAACTTTCCGGTTAGAGAGGAATTCCATGTTTTTTTCTAATACTTAAAGTGGGGTCTCTCTGTCTCCATTTAAGTTTCTAATCTATTTGGAATCAGTTCTGATATAACTGGTGAGAAACAGATGTGTATTTTTCTTTTTCCATATGGCCATCCCATCTGGATTTATCAGTACTACTTATGAAAAGTGTATGTTTCCCTCAATTATTTTAAATGACCCCTTTGTCATATACTAAATTACCATAGACAAATGTGTTTGTTTCTGGATATTTCCGTTTTATTTTATTGGTCTGTCAATTCATCGGCCAAGAAGGGGGCTTTAAATACATTTTAATATCTGGAAGGGCTAGCCTTCCTTATTGATCTTTTATGGAGTTTCCTTTGTGATTCTTGCTTAGTTGTTCTTCCAAGAACTATATAATCAGTTTGCCTAGCTTCTAGGAGACAATGATGATTTTTTTTAATCAATATGGCATTAAATTTATAGATTAACTTTAGGAGAATTAACATCTCTTTGCTGTTGTATCTTCTTATCCAAGAATATATTTCTTTCCATTTATTCAAAATACTCTTTACTTTCACAAGCATGTCACCATTTTCTTTCTTTTTTGAGACAAAGTCTCGCTCTGTCACCAGGCTGGAGTGCAGTGGCACGATCTCGGCTCACTGCAACCT
The DNA here is from genome assembly GCF_000001405.40 of Homo sapiens. Taxonomy (NCBI): domain Eukaryota; kingdom Metazoa; phylum Chordata; class Mammalia; order Primates; family Hominidae; genus Homo; species Homo sapiens. The sequence continues at coordinate 1,590,469 of NT_187660.1, read as the reverse complement.
CCGCCTGCCAGGCTCAAACAATTCTCCTGCCTCAGCCTCCCAAGTAGCTGGGACTACAGGTGTGCACCACCACACCTGGCTAATTTTTGTATTTTTGGTAGAGGCGGGGTTTCACCATGTTGCCCAGGATCGTCTCAAACTCCTGAGCTCAAGCGATCCACCCGCCTCGGCCTCCCAAAGTGCTGGGATTACAGACATTAGCCACTGCACCTGGCCTTCTATTACATTTTCTAACTGTTTATCTATGTTATGGATAAACATTATTGATTTTTGTATACAGACATAACTCAGAGATATTGCAGGTTTAGTTCCAGACCAGTGCAATAAAGCGAATATCACAATAAAGCAAGTCACCAATTTTTTAGTTTCCCAGTACATATAAAACTATGATTACATTATACTGTTGCCTATTAAGTGTGCCACAGCATATGTCTAAAAAAATTATACATATACCTTGATTAAAAATACTTTATTGCTCAAAAATGCTAACAGTCATCTGAGCCTTCAGCAAGTTGTCATCTGTTTGCTGGTGGAGGGTCTTGCCTAGATGCTGATGGCTGCTGACTAATTGGTGGTGGTTGCTGAAGGTTGGGGTGGCTGTGGCAGTTTCTGAAAGTAAGACAGTGATGAAGTTTGCTGCATTGATTGGCTCTTCCTTTTACAAAAGATTTGTCCGTAGCATGCAATGCTGTTTGATAGCATTTTACCCACAGTAGAGCTTTTTTCAAAATTTGAGTCAGTCCTCTAACCCTGCTGCTGCTTTATCAACTAAGTTTATATCATATTCTAAACCCTTTGTTGTCATTTCAATAATGTCTGCAGTATCTTCACCAAGAGTAGATTCCATCTCAAGAAACAACTTTCTTTGCTCATCCATAAGAAGCAGCTGCTTGTCCATTAAAGTTTTCTCATGAGATTGCAACAATTTAGCCACATCTTTAGGCTCCACTTCTAATTCTAATTCTCCTGCTGTTCCTACCACATCTGTGATTACTTCCTCCACGGAAATTTTGAAAACCTCAAGGTCACCTGTGAGGATTGGAATCAACTTCTTCCAAACTCCTGTTAATGTAGCTATTTTGACCTCCTCCCATGAATCACAAATGTTCTTAATGGCACCTAGAATGGTGAATCCTTTCCAGAAGGTTGTCAATTTACTCCACCCAGATTTATTACAGGATCACTATGTATGGCATCTCTAGCTTTGTGAAATGCATTTCTTAAATAATAAGACTTGAAAGTGAGTTACTCCCTGACCCGTGGGCTGCAGAGTAGATGTATTGGCTGGCAGAAAAATGACATTAACCTTCTTGTACATCTCCATCAGGGCTCTTAGGTGTATTGTCAATAAACAGTAATACTTTGAAAGGCATATTTTTTTTCTGAGCGTTAGGTCTCAATAGTGGGCTTGAAATATTAAGTAAACCATGCTTTAAACAGATATGTTGTCATCCAGGCTTTGTTGGGCTATTTCTAGTGCACAGGTGAAATAGATTTAGCATAATTCTTAAGGGCCATGGGACTTTCAGAATGGTTGAGTATTGGCTTCAACTTTAAGTGACCAGCTGCATTAGCTCCTAGCAAGAGAGTCAGTCTGTCCTTTGAAGCTTTGAAGCCAGGCGTCATCTTTCCCTCTTTAGCTATGAAAGTCCTAGATGGCATCTTCTTCCAGTATAAGGCTGTTTTGTCTACACTGAAAATCTGTTGTTTCATGTATCCACCTTCATCAGTTATCTTAGCTGGATATTCTGGACTTGCAGGTTATCAGCATTTGCTGCCTCAGCTTCTTAAACTTCAGGAACCAACCTCTGTTAGCTTCAAATTCTCATCTGCAGCTTCCTCACCTCTCTCATCCTCATTGAATTGAACTGAAGAGAGTTCGGGCCTTGCTGTGGATCAGATTTTGGCTTAAGGGAATGTTGTGTCTGGTTTGATCTTCTATTAGACCACTCATAGTTTCTCCAAATCAGCGATAAGGCTGTTTTCTTGATCATTCGTGTGTTCACTGGAGTAGCACTTTTAATTTCCTTCGAGAACTTTTCCTTTGCATTCACAACTTGCTAACTGGTGCAAGAGGCCTAGCTTTTGGCTGGTCTTGTCTTTTAACATGCCTTCCTCACTAAGCTTAATCACTTCTAGCTTTGGATTTAAAATGAGAAACGTGTGACCCTTCCTTTCACTTGAACACTTAGAGACCATTGTAGAGTTATTAATTGGCTTAATTTCAATATTGTTGTGTCTCAGGGAACAGATAGGCAGGGGAACGGCCAGCCTATGAAGCAATCAGAACACATGCATTTCTCAGTTAAGTTCACTGCCTTATATGGGCACAGTTCATGGAGCCCCAAAACAATTATAATAGTATCTTCAAGGGTCACTGATCACAGGCCACTATATCAGATATAGTAATAATGAAAAAGTTTGAAATGTACTGAGAATTACCAAAATATGACTCAGAGACAAAGTAAGCACATGATGTTGGAAAAATGTTGCTCATAGACTTACTCAATATAGGGCTGCCACAAACCTTCAATCCGTAAAAAATCTCAACATCTGTGAAGCATGATAAAGTGAAGAACAATAAAACAAGGTATGCCTATATTTATTGTACAACCAGCTTTCTTATTAGATTTTCTTTCTTTTTTTTTTTGGTGCTTGTTTTGTGGGGATTCTTTTGTTTTTCCACATGTGAGTACATAAACATATGCTCTGCAAATAAAGATAATTTTAACTTCTTCTTTCATGAATGTTATTTCTACAGTTGATTTCTCTTGTCTAAGTACATGGGCTAATACTTCAGACCCAGTGTTAAAGAGTGAGTGCTTGTCTTGTTCCAGACTGTAGCAGGAAAAGTTAGTTTTTCTTTGTTAATTAAGATGCTGGCTTTTGAGGTTAGGTATGTGTTGCATAAATATGTATTTTCTATCTTGTTAGGCATGACTTTATCCTATCCCTCAGTTTCTGTTTTGTTGTTTCTCATAGGAATGAATGCTGATTTTTTCACATACCTTTGGTGCATCTGTAGAGATGATCATATAATTTTTCTCTTTAGCTCTGTTAACAGGATGGACTATATGCTAATGCTGAATCACTCTTGCATTTCTGGAATGAACTGTATTTGGAGTAATGTTTGTCTTCCTGAATCTATAACCTCCATGACTTTATCTGGAAGCTGGGCAAGGTCTTGGCCTAGCTCATAATCCCAGTGCCTACAATATAGTGTGTAATATCTACTTATTGAAAGAATGTTGAGTGGATTTTCTTCCCTTTAAAGATCATACTTTTTTTTTTGGGGGGGATGGAGTCTCACTCGGTCACCCAGGCTGGAGTGCAGTGGCACGATCTCAGCTCACTGCAACCTCTACCACCCAGGTTGTAGCGACTCTCCTGCCTCAGCCTCCTGAGTAGCTGGGATTACAGATGTGCACCACCACACCCTGCTAATTTTTGTATTTTTAGTAGAGACAGGGTTTCGCCATGTTGGCCAGGCTGGGCTGGAACTCCTGATCTCAAGTGATCCGCCCACCTCGCCCTCCCAAAATGTTGGGATTACCCGTGTGAGCCACCATATCTGGCCAAGATTATACTTTTAAAAATAAAAAACAATGCATGTCTCTCATAAATTATTTAAGCAAATACAGAAAAGTACAACAGCAAAGGCAATGAATTACCCAGAAGTATACCATCCAGAAACGATCAGACTGTTATGTGGTCATAAATTCAGAAATCTATCGATCATATAATGATACAAGACACAAGCTATGGAAGAATAATGTGTATGTTTTAAAAAATTGTCTTTGTTTGAAATTAACAGGAGAATTGAAATGAAACTGAAGAGAGAATACTAAATTTTAGATTACAGGTCTCTCATTACAAAGCACATTTGTTTCTAGAGTTAAAAAAAAAAATTCCCAATCTCCTTACGGGTCCTCTTCATTGTAATTTGTCTCTTCCTTCTTCTACAAAATTACTGTGGAGATCTCACACCTTCCCCCATGCCATTATCTTGAATTTTCACTCATGTCTACTCTGTTCCTTGCTGTTTCTAAATTATTTACTAGATTTGCAGTGATGGGGTTTTAATTCTCACGCTGTAATTGGTTTCCTTAGTTCTGTCTCTAGCTTTCTTTTCATCATAGTCTTGTTTTTCTCACTTTGAGTCCTTCCTTTGTTAAGTTTATGTGTGTATTAGGTTCCATGAAGTTCTTGTGGGGAGCTTTGGCGTCTGGGTTGATGTGTCTTTCCCCATTTTCAAGCTCTGTTTTCTGCTGACCTTCTGTTTGCCAAATAAGCTGTGGTGTGCTTCCATGCACCTTGATGTACCCACTCTCCTTGTGCTCCTGGGCTTGGCCCGGACAATTCTTCCCTGCCCCGACAGCCTTCAGACCCACCAGGGCCAGTTTCTCTTCTCCTGTCAGAGGCTCCATTTCAGACATGGATGTTGCCTTTGGCCTTGACTGTCTAACTTAGGACAGGGTGGGGAGATCCCCCAGGGGCTGAGCACATCCTTGCTAGGTCTTGGGTTCTTGCTCTTCCCTCTGAGGACCTCCCTAGAGATGTCCCCTTGACCGAGCCAGGGCAGTTCTGCTCCAGTGAGCGTCATCCGTCCCTCAGCCCTGGCCCTTTCTTTCTTGGTTGAGCTCCTGAGTTGCTGCGTAGGAGCTTCTGTTTTAAAGAGATTTTAAAAAATTGTCCTAGAACTACCTGCACCCAACTCAGACCCCATCATCCCAGACTTGAAGGTATTAGTGCGAATTCTCAGCTTCTGTCTGCTCACCTGTGCTCACATAGGTGAGGGCTGGGGAGGACATGGAACCTTCAGGATCTCCTTTTCTCCACTTATTTCTGTCCTGCCCCCCCTTTCTAGTTCATGACAGGACATGATGCCCCTTTCTTCCTGTCTTGATTGCTGCTGGTGACACTCATAAGATGTTTGTCTGGCTCATCTCATGAAGAATCAGGAGAGGGACCTTCAGTCCACGTCACATGGAAGCAGACCCTCGGAGCATGCAGGGTCTACTCCCAGGCCCCGTGTTTCCCTCTGACAGTCTCAGTCCTATGCCCAGGTCAGTGTACACATTTCCTGAGGGCCATGCATGCCAGACTTCAAGCACAGGCGTGACATATGTTATTGTTCAAAATCTCACAGTCGTCCTATGGGATAGGCATTACCACTGAGCACTTTTTTTTTTTTTTTGAGACAGAGTCTTACTCTGTCTCCCAGGCTGGAGTGCAGTGGCATGATCTCAGCTCACTGCAACCTCTGCCTCCCGGGTTCGAGTAATTCTCCTGCATCAGCCTCCCAAGTAGCTGAGATTACAGATGCCCAGCACCACACACGACTAATTTTTTGTATTTTTAGTAGAGACGGGGTTTTGCCATGTCGGCCGTGCTGGCCATGCTGGTCTCAAACTCCTGACCTCAAGTGATCCACCTGCCTTGTCCTCCCAAAGTGCTGGAATTACATGCGTGAGCCACCGTGCTTGGCTCACTGAGCACTTTCTATAGAGAAGAAAGCCAGGGTTCAGGGAAGGTCATCAACACACACTTGACTTGGACCCCGGGAGACCTGGTCTAGAGTCTGCTCTTTTAGCATATTGCTGCCTCTGTGGGAAAGCAAGTGAGGTGATTTTGTGTCATGGAAACTAATTACTGCGACAGTGGTAACAATACTACAACATGTGAGTGGGCCTTGGTATTACAGGAACTGAAACTATTTTAAAAGGGATTACTCTGATAGCTATCATTATCACTATACTCAAATTAATGACTTCTTTCTGAGTATATTTTTGTGTTATAATACATTCAATTATAGGGGAGACAGAATTTCACCTCTAATCTCCTAGGGTTTTCAGCTGGGCCTGTGAATTAAATTGACACAAGACAGATTAATAGGAAAAAGCACACCAATTTATATATGTTTTATGTGACTCAGGAGCCCTCATAAGGAAATGAAGACCCAGAGAAGTAGCAAAACACAAATGCTTTTATACCAAGATGGACAAAGAGAGGCAGCTGGGGACAGGTACACTGTGTGGGGAGGCTGAAGGAGTAAGAATCATTTCACAGGGTCTCTTGGCTCTTCCTCCCCATCGAAGAATGTTTCATTCTCCTGGTGAGGGAGGACATCTTTCACATGGCAATGTTTATCTCCTATTTTCAGGAAGAAAAGGGGTGATTAGAATGTTCTTCTTGCCTCTGCTGTTTTTCAAGGGTCTTTAACTGAAAACAGTATGCCAGAGCTCCATATGTTGGGGTTGGGTATTCTGAACATCTTCAACATCATTCTAAAAATAATTCCTGTTATGTGCAAGGTACCACTGCAGCTGCTTTATATATGTGGACCATTCACTGCCTCCAGTCACCTGCAAGGGAGCTCCTATCCCTGTGTTGCTGAGGAAGAAACTAGGGGTGGGAGGAAATGCAGTGAGCGCTAGGGCCGCGCCGCTGGTAAGGGGAGGCAGCTGACTCAGGGGCAGGTCCACTCGGCGCCCAGGACAGGGTCTCCCTGTGGCACTGTGCCGAGTCTCTGCTTTGCCTGGTCCTGTGAACTGTCATTATCAGTAGTGAAAGTGTCTAAAACAAGTCACCACGCTTTCCTTTTTTCTTTTTTTCAGACAGAGTCTCTGTCAGCCAGGCTGGAGTGCAGTGGCATGATCTCCACTTGCTGCAACCTCCGCCTCCCTGGCTTAAGCAATTCTCCTGCCTCAGCCTGCTGAGTAGCTGAGATTACAGGCGTGAGCCACCACACCCGGCTAATTTTTGTATTTTTAGTAGAGACGGGGTTTCACTGTGTTGGCCAGGCTGGTCAAGCATCAAGACAGTTCGAATTCCTGTTAGGAGTAATTGTTGAGGTCAGAGTTTATGGAAGAAGTAATCTGTAGACAGGCATCCTAGGGGGAGAAATTTACTCAATTTAAAATTTTTCTCTCTCAGAAAAATCATAGAAATATATAAGCACATTATTACTTATTTGTTGACATTACAACCCAACATATTGTTTCTCTTCTAAAATAATTTTTTAAAAACTCATTAATAGGTATTTTAGTCATCTTGGGGTGTCATAACAAAATAATGTAAACTGGGTGGATTAAACACAAAAATTTAGTTTTTCTCAGTTCTGGAGGCTGGAAAGTCCAAGATTAAAGTGGCAGCATGGTCTGGTTCTCGTGAGGACTTGCTTCCTATCTTGCAGACGGCCGCCTTCCCACTGTGTCTTTACATAGCCTTTTCTCCATGTGTGTGCAGGTAGAGAGAGAGAGGTCTCTGTCTCTTTCTTCTTTTCTAAGGCCACCAATCCTTGTGGGTCAGGACCCTACCCTTGTGATCTTAGTTAGCCTGGAGTACCTACTAAAGACCCTATCTCTAAATATAGTCACATTGGTGGTTAAGGCTTCAACATATGAATGGAGAGGGCACACTTTAGTCCATAGCAATAGGTAAGTTAGTTTTTTCTCTAAATCTAATTTCTCCTTTTTAAATGTTTTTCTATGTTCATATTTCATCCAATATCTCTTGCAGTTGGATAGTAAACACCAATGGGAAGGATCTGTATCCAATGCCTGATCTACCTTAAACCACTAGCAAGTTCTTCATCTTTCAGTGTTAAAGTGATGATTATGATAGAAAGCAATGTCAATTATCAGCATGTTCAGGTTATTTAAACGTTTATTTTGACTTCAGGTTTTTTTTTTTATGTTAGCTGAAGCATGACATGATCAGCTTTTAAAACATGGCTGTTCAAATTTTCCTATTTCGTCAGATAATTGTCAATTTTTTTTGTATAAAAGGAAGGATAGAACACCCTGTATGATTTTAGTAGAGAGATACATTTGAAATTAATGTTCTCATTTAGTTACAGAAAGCTAGAGAGAAATACCGCTATAAATAATTGAGTTCTTGGCAAATGAACTTGAAAATAAAAAAGAATATTTGCCAGCTGGGTGCAGTGGCTCACTCCTGTAATCCCAGCATTTTGGGAGGCCGAGGAGGGTGGATTGCCTGATCTCAGGAGATTGAGACCAGCCTGGGCAACATGGCGAAACCCTGTCTCTACTAAAATGTACAAAAAATTAGTCAGGCATGGTGGCATGCGCCTGTAGTCCCAGCTACTCAGGAGGCTGAGGCTGGAGAACCACTTGAACCAGGTAGGCGGAAGTTGCAGTGAGCTGAGATCGCGCCACTGCACTCCAGCCTGGGTAATCACGCCACTGCACTCCAGCCTGGGTGATCACACCACTGCACTGCAGCCTGGGTGGCAGAGCAAGACTCTATCTCCAAAAAAAAAAAAAAAAATTACCAATTATTTTTCAGTATATCTTAGATACACTACTATAACTTCCTCTTGAGAAAAAATATGAAACAAGTGTAAAAACCTGGCATAGCATTATCAGAAATACAAGTATGTGCTTTTAAAAATGTGCTGAATTATAAAAGTTAATTAAAACTAAGACATTGTCATGTGGTATCCTAAACTTGTTACATATAACCTTTTCCATGAGAAAAGCAAACCTTTTTCTTCTCTGTGAGTGTAACTCTCTTGGTGTCTTCAAGCTTCTGGAATTATAGGATGGCTATTTCCTTTCATATTCAGGTGCACCGCCTTGCACCCTAATGCCCCACATTTAGGAAATGCAGCATGCTCAATTCCTCTTCCTCATCCCCCCCAAGGATCCTTGTGCCCGATTCAGGAGATTTTCCTTGTCATCCTGACTCCAGGTTCCTGTCTATGCTGAATGCTCAGGTTTCCCTGAGCCCTGCGCCTCCCACAGTCAGCCTGTACCACCCTACTTGCCCCAGTGGGCACTGCTTCCCATCCTGAAGGATCACCAACAACCCACTGGGGTATCGCAGCGCTGCCTGGGGCCCCAAGGCCCTCATATGGCCAAATCCCGCAGTCAGTGATTAGACTCTTCTCACCTGACCCCACAGCAACATTTGAAACACATGCTCCATGTGGCTTCCAGTTCGGTAGAGCTGCTCAGCCCTTCCCTACCTCACTGGCTGCTTCTTTAGCCCCTCTTGCTGGCTTTTCTTCCTAAAGGGGAAGTGCTTCAGCACCAAGCCGTGAGTCTTCCTCTCTATCCAGCTTCTCTCTCTAATGGGATTTCAACCAGACCCATGGCTTTAAAAACTATCTTTAGTTCAGCTTCTTTTTTGGGCTCCAGACTCATGTATCCAACTGGCCAGTCAGCACCTCCATATGGATGTCTGGTAGGCATTTCCATTTTAACACATCCAAAGCAGAATTCTTGATTCCACTCCCAAGTCTGTTCTTCTCCCCTCTGTTCTGTCCCAGTAATGGATACTGCCATTTACTCAGTTTCTGAGGCCAAAACTTTAACAGTTACCCTTGACTCTCGCCACTCCCTCTCTTCCTCTCCCTCTCAGCAAAGTGCATCAACAAGACCTGTTAGCTCTGCCTTCGTAGTATATCCAGGGTCCAGCCACTTCTCATCACCTCCAGCACAGCTTCTCTGGTCTGAACCACTTTAATCTCTTGCTGGACCAAGGCAGCTGAAATACTCTCCCTGGCACTACTCCTGCCTTTGAATCCTGTGCACCACACAGAAGCCATGATGAACTTTTAAAAACCTGTAAGTCACCTCATGTCACTCCCCAGTTCAAAATTCTCATTTGTCTTCCAGTCTCACTCAGAATAGTCTTCTGAACTCATTGTGCCGTGCAAGCTCCAGTATGACTTGTCCTCTGCCCATCTTCTGGAACCAGAAACTCTGGCAGAGAATTTAAATGAAAAATTTATCTTTGCATTTGATAAGCCCTTTATTTGTTCATTCAACCAATATTTATTGAGTGCTTTTCAACTATTAACACTGTTTTGAGGATTTGAGATAGATCAGGGAACAAATCAGACCAAGATCTCAGCCCTCATGGAGCTCACATCCTAATGAAGGCATATAGTAATAGACTAAAAATGGTAACGTCTGTTAGAAAGTAGAATGTGGTACAGTTGGCTGAGGGAGTGATGGGGGCAGAAACTATCATTGTAAATAAGATGGGGACAGCAGAGCTGATTGAGCATGTGACTCTTGAGCCAAGTGAGGGAGTGAGGAGGTGAAGGAGTTTGCCTTGCAATGTCTGAGGCAGAGGGAATAGTCAGTACGGAGGCCCTGAGTGGGACTAACAGTTCTAAGAGCAACCAGGAGGCCCTGTGGCTAGAGGGAAGTGAGCAGTGGGGAGGAAAGAGAGGGGATCATAGAGGAAGGGAGAGGGAAGGAAACTGCAGGGCCTTGTAAGTCAATCTAAGTCCTCTGCCTTTTACTCTGTGTGCTGTAGGGAGCCACTGGGAGGTGTTAAGCAGAGAGTGTCATTGCCTGGCTTAATTTTTTAAAGGCCCACTCTGGTTGGTGAGTTGAGAGCAGGCTGCAAGGGAGGTCTTGAAGGAGGGAACAGGTAAGATGGCTGTAACAGTGTCATGGTTGTTTGCCACGTAGTCGTATGGTTTTGAGTGATTTTCTTAGTGTTAATTTCTATTTTTATTGCACTGTGGTCTGATAGTGTGGTGGCTATGATTTCAGTTTTTTTGCATTTGTTGAGAATTGTTTCATGGCTGATTGTGTGGTCAGTTTTAGAGTATGTGCCATGTGCAGATGAAAAGAATGTACATTCTCTTAATTTTGGGTGGAGAGTTCTGTAGATGTCTGTTAGGTCCATTTGGTCAAGTGTCAAGTTCAGGTCCCAAATATCTTTGTTAGTTTTCTGCCTCGATGATCTGTTCAATATTTTCAGTGGAGTGTTGATAAAGAAAATGTCATACAGCCGGGTGCGGTGGCTCACACCTGTAATCCCAGCACTTTGGGAGGCCAAAGCAGGCAGATCACCCGAGGTCAGAGGTTCAAGATGAGCCTAGCCAACATGGTGAAACCCCATCTCTACTAAAAATACACAAAAATTAGCAGGGCATGGTGGCAGCTGTCTGTAGTCCCAGCTACTTGGGAGGCTGAGGCAAGAGAATCGCCTGAACCTGGGAGGTGGAGGTTGCAGTGAGCCAAGATCACGCCACTGCATTCCGGCCTGGGTGACAGAGTGAGACTCCATCTCAAAAATAAAGAAAAAAGAAAGAAAATGTGGTACATATAAACCATGGAATACTATGCAGCCGTAAGAAAGAATGAGATCATGTCCTTTGCAGCAACATAGATGGAACTGGAGGCCATTATCCTAAGCAAATTAATGCAAGAACAGAAAACCAAATACCACATGTTCTCACTTATAAATGGGAGCTAAACATTGGGTACACATGGACACAAAGAAGGGAGTAATAGACACTGGGGCCTACTTCAGGGTGGAGGGTGGGGGAGGGGGGTTAGGATCAAAACACTACCTGTCGGGTACTGTGCTTAATCACCTGGCTGACAAAATAACCTGCACAACAACCCCCAACAACATGCCATTTAGCTCTATGACAGTGTACCCCTAAACCTAAAAAAAGTACCCCTATAACATGTGTCCCTAAACCTAAAAAAAAAATAAAAGTCTGAAAAAAAAACCAGTGTCATGGTTGGTTTTATGTGTCAGCATGGCCATGGGCTATCTGTCTGAAATCAAAGTCAGTTTGGTTGGAATCATCTGAGAAAAGCATTAAGCATTTCTGTGCAGCTGACTACATCAACTAAGAAAACAAATAGCAACTTGTTCAGAATGCATAATACAAATGTAAAAGGCTGAAATAGCTGCAAACAAATATGAACTAAGTGATGACATGAAAATAGACTCTTCCTGTCACCTTTTCAGCAGCTATGCCTGGGGCTGAGAAGGATACAGCAGGTGCCAGCAGCCCCATATTTCAAGTGGCAGGCCAGGCCACCCAGCCCCTGTGAAGGAGTGTCATGTGGGCTCCGAAGTATCTTAGAAGCTTAGGGTGGAGTGGATGCAAAGTGGCTCCGAGTAGAAGCGGCCCCTTGGAGTCTGCTCAGACTGGCCTGCTCCTCCCTGGGTAATGCAGAGTTGGTCAGGTCTGGGGTCGCTGGGATCAGCCTCAGCTCATGAACCGGATCAGGATCCTCAGCAGGCGGCTGTGCAGCATTAGAATCAATTCCAAATGTGATGCCAGTCTTCCATTATTGTGGCATTTGGAAATAAATGTTGTGTAATTGATTTGGAGAATAAACAATAGGTAAACAAATAAACATAAAAAAAGCGAATATTTCAAGACAGAGCGTTCCAAAATTGACACGCCTTGCAAATTGCTCAAGGGTTCCAAAACCGTTCTTCTTTCTTGCGGGAAACATCCCATTTGCACCAACCCTCTTTTTCCGTTTTCTATGAAATGAGTTTAAATGGTTGGCAGAAAAAAATGGGATGTAATTATTTTTGGCAAGCAGAATAGGGTTATAAATATGCCCATTTTGAAGCTATTGTGAGAGCTCTTTTCTCCATTAATTTCTCATTCATTTGCAAATCTAATATAAAGTACTCTCGCTGTTAATGGACTTAAACTTTATCAACTTTCAGTAGAACTGATTTTTATTTTGCTTCAGCCGGCAAAGGATATTGCTGCAGTGTGAGTGAGCTGCATCTTCCTTTAAAACATGGGACTCTATACCTCCTTAACTCACCAGCATCATTCTACTTTTTAAAAAGTCAGTGAATGGGGATTTTTTGTATCAAATACCAAGACGATAAGTTGAATGAACAGCTTGGACTCATGATAAATTTAACAGGAATTTTTTTAAAATCTTGGTATGCATTTTTTAAATGGCTTTTTTCAGAATAGTTTTGGTTTTCCATTTTTGTTACATGGTCTTATTGGAAGAGAAGCTTCCACTCGACTGTCATATCAGATATTTGCAATATGAAGATGAAGAGTGAAAATGGGCCACAAACTGAGCAAACATCAAAAATGAAAAAAACAGGGAAATGGGCATGGGTTTAGAGCTTCAATATGCATAGTTAACAAACAAAGACCCCGGGTGTCTTAGTTTGTTCAGGCTGCTATAACAAAATACCATAGGCTGGGTATCTTACAAACCATAGACATTTATTGCTCACAGTTCAGGAGGGTTAGAAGTCCAACATGAAGGCACAAGCAGATTTGGTGTCTGGCAAGGGCTCACCTTCTGCTTCATAGATGGTACCTCCTCGCTGTGTCCTCACATGGTGGAAGGGGCTGGGAAGTTCTCTGGAGCCTCTTTTATAAGGACACTAATTCCATTCATTAAGGTTACGCCCTCATGATTTAATCACTTTCCAAAGACCTCACCTCTTAATACTATCACACTGGGAATTAGGTTTCTATATGTTAATCTCATGGGCCACAACGTTCAGATTACAGAACCAGGGTTTCCAAAATGCTACTTCCATTGGGTCATTCCCAGGGAGCCATCATTGAACGTACAACCATGCCTCTACTTAGTCAAAGGTAGTATCTGGAGACACAGAATCAGACATAAAACTTAGTATAAAAAGTTTTAAACCATATTTATTTACTAAGTGTTTTTCTGTCAACTCTGTTATACTGCCTATTACCGTAAAATCACAGAAAAGCAGACGGTGTAGAGAACAAAGTGCTCTGATTATCTGAAATTTTTGTTACTGAAAACTCTAAGGACATGCATAAGTAAAAGTACTTCTGCCTTAGCAGATAGAAAATATTGAACATTATCTAATCCTTATGTGACAAAAGAAGACCTCTCAGTGATTCAAGGAAGTCCTTAAAAACTAGCATTGCTTTTCTCGATTCTGTTAAATAAAATTACCCTTATTTTTTATTTTATAACAAGTATTATTTTAGGTAGCAAGAATTGTAAAGAAAAACTGTTTTAAATAGTCCATGATCATACTGTCAAAAAACTCCTGTTGATATTTTAAAATAAAAATATGAGTAGCATGGTTAGAAAATTCAAACTTTGCAGAAAAGTGCTAAATGGAAAAGTAAGGCATCCTTCCCACCTGTATTTCAGTCCTTCTCCCTAGAACTTCCATTATGAATAGTATTTTTTACTTCTTTCAGAAAACACTGATGATGCATATCCACACATATTTACCTGTATAGAAATTATTTTTTAAATGGAAATAAAAGGAGCATATTAAGACTATGTTCTGTTCGGGCACAGTGGCTCATGCCTGTAATCCCAGCACTTTGGGAGGCCCAGGCAGGCGGATCACGAGGTCAAGAGATCGAGACTGTCTGGCTAACATGGTGAAACCCCGTCTCTACTAAAAGTACAAAAAATTAGCCGGGCATGGTGGCAGGTGCCTGTAGTCCCAGCTACTCGGGAGGCTGAGGCAGGAGAATGGTGTGAACCCGGGAGGTGGAGGTTGCAGTAAGCCGAGATCGCACCACTGCACTCCGGCCTGGCTGACAGAGCGAGACTCCATCTCAAAAGAAAAAAAAGACTATGTTCTGTACCTCGCTTCCTTCTCATAATAAATCTTGGTAATTGTTCATAACAACACATAGAGTTTTAATTCATTCTTCCTAATAGCAACATATATTCCATTTTAACCCAGTGATTATCTACCATTGGTGATGCCATGCCTCACATCCATCCATCCCATCCACTCATCCATCCATCCATCCATCCATCCATCCATCCATTTATCCATCTATCTATCCATCCATCCATCCATGCATTTACCCACCCTCCCACCCATCCATCCATCATGCATCCATCCATCCATCCATCTACCCACCTACCGATTCATCTGTCTACCCATTCATCCGTCCGTCCATCCATCCATCCATTTCTCCATCCACTTATCCATCTGTACACCCACCCACCCACCTACCTACCCATCCATCCATCCATCCATCCATTATCCATCCATTTACTCACCTACCCATTCATCCATTTATCCACTCACCCACTCATCCATTCATTTATCCATCCATCTGTCCACCCACCTACCCATTCATCTATCCATCTATCTACCCATTCACCCATACATCCATCCACGCATCCATCCACCCACCCACCTAGCCATCCATCCATCCATTCATCCACCCACCCATCCATCTACCCACCCACCCACCTCATCCATTCACCTACCCATCCACCCATCCGTTCATCCATCCATCCATCCCCCACCTACTCATCCACCTACCTACCCATCCATTTAATCAACAGCTAATGTTTGTGTGCTTTATTATATACTAGGCTCTGGGGATACAGCAATGAATAAAATTAGACAAAATATACCTGCCTCATGAAGCTTACATCCTCATGAGGGAAGACATAGAATAAAAGTATAGTTAAATAAGTTAACTATATTATATATTATAAAGTGATAATTACAGGCAGAAAGGGGGCCAGAGAGGGTCAGTGGGCACAGGATGGGGATTTTGATTTTTCATAGGGAGGCCAGAGAAATCCCACTGAGAAGTGACTTGAGAAAGAAGAGTGTCCAGCCAGGTGGATGTCTAGTTAAGAAGGCCCCAGACAGAAGGAAGAGCAAGTAAGGTCTGTGATGCTGGAGCCTGGCTGGTGAGTTGAAGGAACAGTCAAGAAGCCAGTGTGCTGCAGCCACGTGACCTGGGGCTGAGTGGTAGGTAAAAGGTGACGCTGAAGAGCCAGCAGGTCATCTCCACCACTGCGTCTTTCCAGCAGAGGCCCAGACATCATGGAGCAGACACAAGCCATCTCCACTGTGCCTGGAGAATTCCTGACCCACAGACCTCATGACCATAGGAAAGTGGTTTTCAGCTGCTGAGGCCGAAGGAGTTTGTTAAACACCAGTAAGCTGTAGCCAAAACTCCTAAACCAAGTATGCTAAGAGTTTTTTAACATGAATACTTGTTGAACACAGTTCTGTAATTTTCTTCATCTGTCACATAATCATAAAATATTTCTTCAACCTGTTATGGATAGACCAAGCTTCCTGGATCCAACCTTATGTGGTCATGGTGTGTTATCATTTTTATGTACTTCTAGTTTATTTCCATGGACATTACTCTTCTTTTTTCTTTTTTTCACTTTCAAGTCACGTTTGTTAAAGTTTTGTTTAGGATCTTTGCATTTATGTTCATGAGACAGATGGTTCATATCATTTTCCTTCATGAAAGGTCTATCAGAGGTTGGTACTAAGATTATGCTGCCTTTAGAAAACACAGTGAATAGTTCTTTTTCTATTTTCTGGAAGAGTTCATGTAAGACTGGTAGTATCTCTTCCTTAAATGGTCATTAGAATTCATTCACTGTTGAAGTCATCTGGCTGTGGGATTTTATTTCATGGAAGGTGCTGAATTATGATTCAGTTTCTTTAATAGTTACAATATATTCAAATTTAGTATTTCTTCTTCTTGTGTCAGTTTTGGTGGGTTGTATTTTTCTAAGCAATCCTCCATTTTATCTAAATTTTCAAATGTATTCCTATAAATTTGTTGATAATATCCTCTTATTAGCTTTCTAATGCCTGTAGGAGAAGTGATACCTCCTTTCCATTTCTGATAGTAGTTATCTATGCCTGCAGTTTGCTTTCTTCATCAATCTTACCTCAGATTTGCCAATTTTATTAATTATCAATGAATTGTTTTTCCCTTTTTATTGTATTTTGAAATTTTATTTCATTGCTTTCTGTCTTTATTATTCCTTTTTTTTCTGTTTTCTGAAGATTTAATTTGCAGTTCTTTTTCTAAATTCTTGAGATGAATGCTTAGGTCATTAATTTTCAACTTTACTTCTCTAATAAATGCTCTCAGGGCTATAAATTCCCTCTAAACACAGCTTGACTTGTATCCTGTTAGTTTTAATATCATTCTGTTCAAATTATTTTCTGATATTGATTATTTCTTCTTTGATTCATAGGTTACTTAGAAGGATATTAATTTGTGAACATAGGTTTTCTAGTATCTTTTTGTTATATAGTCCTAGCTTAATTATACTGTTGTCAGAAACCATACATTTTCTGTTTCAAACCTTTGACATTTGTTGAAGCTTGCTTTTCTGCCCCATGTGTGGTCAATTTTTGTCCATGTTCCACAAGTTTAAAAACCATGTGCATTCAGCTGCTAGATTCTTTTATTGTTTCAACACTAAATGTGCATCCTTCAGACACTGCAGTTTAGTTTTGTTTTGTTGGATTTTTTTAAAGTCTTTTTGTCTCCTTTTATCTTAATGGGTCATTTTTCCTTATAGTCTAGCTGTTCAAGAGCCGAAGCATTTCACCTGTAGACCCCGCATGGATTCACTGATTACCTACTTTTGCTGCAGTTCAAAATGTTCCTGTGTTCTGTATATTTCCTGTTAATAAGCAACAGGATTTAGAGGCCTGATCAGACTCCAGTTCTTTCTCTTTGGTAAGATGATAGGTGGGATTCTGTTCATTCATAAAGAGGCATGCCAAAGTCTGGTGTTCTCTGTGATGTTAGCAACTTTTAATGTGTGATGCCTGGATTCATTAATACACTGAAGGTTGCAAACTGATGATATTCTAATTCTACAATTTCCTCATCATTTATTAGTTTGATTATTTGATATAGAGATGGTACTAGTTATCTACTGTGCTTTGTTATTTCCCTTTATCTGTCATCAGGAGAATACATTGGTTTTTGAGCATCCTCTAGAAGTGGCCAAATGGTGTTTTTGTAAAGATCATTATGAACTTCATAGACATGTTTTACTCCCTGCAATTATTATTCCCTATGATGCGTACACTGTTCTAAGTTTGGCCAGTGCGAGCTTTCCATATGTCTCTTGTCAGTGTCTCTTTGGTCATTTTGGTTGTCTGAAACTTATTCTCTAGTGAATTAATCTATTAAGTTTTGAGCGTATGCTGGACATTGTAAATGTGATACGGCTGAGTATCTGGATTTTAGATTTTGTTCCCTTCAGAGAGTGTTGAATTTTGTTCTGGCAGGTAGTTAGTTCATTTATTTGTGGATTAACTTGGTGCTTTTGAGTTTGTTTTTAAGATTTTTTTATGGTAGGTTTCCAGCAGGGGTTGGTAAACTTACTGTAAAGGACCAGGGTTTATGGGTCACAGATGGTCTGTGACGTATATTTCTTCATTAAAATGTAAAAGTCATTCTTAGTTCACAGGCTATATGATAACAGGGCAATAGGCCACATTTGACCCATGCGCTACAGTTTGCCAACCAATGGCCTAGAGTAACCCTTACTCTAGAGCTGAGATAGACCTGCTCTTAAGGGATGGCCTTTCTAGAAAGCTCTGATTTGACCAATTCTCTCCCTGATGGATGCTCTGTTGTTTTAAACCACCCAATTTGTGGTACTTGATTACAGCAGCCCTAGAAAACTAATACATATCCCAATCCAGTTGTTACTGTAACTAGGATTACTGGATTTATATGTTATTTTAGTAGAACTGACATCTTTATAGTATTCAATATATGTAATGTTTAATTTAAAAAACATCAAGTTTTATGATTTTCTGTAGAGTTTCAGAGTTTTTACTTTGCTTTAGGTTCATAATATTTTCTGTCGATTTTGGGCCTAGTTATTTTGTAGTTTTGTAACAATTTTTTAAAGGATCTCTTTTTCCAATATTTGTTCTGAGGATTTCATGTGTTTTTTAAAATAGGTCTAATTCTGCCTTCTATAACATCTTACATTTGCCCTTCTGTAGATTCATTCTTAGCCCTTCTGTTTCTCTCAATCCTATAATCCAAACTTTCAGGAAATCCTACAAATCACCCTGAATGTAACTATTTCTCATCACCTCCACTGCTACCCCCTCATCCAAGCCACCATCATCTCTTTTCTACATTACTGTTTCTATTAATTGGGATTCTCTAGAGAAATAGAATCAGCAGGATGTGTATATATACATAGAGAGAGATTGTTTTCAGGAATTGGCTCATGGTGTTGTGGAAACCTGCAGGGTAGGCCAGCAGACTGGAGACCCAGGGAAGAGTTACAGTTCGATCCAAAGCCCTTCTGCTGGCAGAATTCCTCCTTGCTCAGGGGAGGTCAGTCTTGTTCCCTTGAGGCCTTCACGTGATTGGATGGAGCCCACACACATATGGAAAAGGTTTCAAAGTTTTTTATACAGCAGTCCCCTCTTCCCCAAGGTTTCACTTTCCACAGTTTCTGTTACCTTTGATCAACCATGGGCTGCAAATACTAAATGGAATATTCCAGAAACAGACAACTCACAAGTTTTAAATCCACTGTTCTGAGTCGCAGGATAAAAATCTCCTGCTGTCTTTCTTCATCCCTTTGTCCAGCGTCTCCAGGCTGTCCACACTCCCCACGTGGCCGTCACTTAGTAGCCAGGATGGTTATCAGACATACATCGCAGTGCTTCCGTTCAAGGAACCCTCATATTACTTAATGGTGGCAAAACACAAGAGTAGTTTTACTGGCATATTGTTATAATTGTTCTATTTTATCAATAGCTATTGTTATTCTCTTATTTGCTTAATTTATAAACTGTATCATATGTATGTAAGTATAGGAAAAACTGCTGCGTAGGGTTTGGTACCATCTGCAGTTTCACGTATCCACTGGGGGTCTTAGGATGTATCCCCCTAAGGATAAGGGATGAGTACTGTGCTGAGTTTTATGTCTGATTCTACATCTCCAGATGTCGCCCTTGACTCAGTAGAGGCCTGGCTGTCAATTCAGCAGTGGCTTCCTGGGAGTGACCAGGTGGGGGACACCAAGTGGGAAAGAGGTGCAGGGGGACCTGGCCCTCCCTGAGGCCATGCCACTCCTCTTCTCCCACTCCAGCTGCCCATCGTCATCAGTGCTGACTCCAGCTTCATGCTTTGAGGGAGGCAGCATTTCAGATGGAGCACAGGCAGGGGTTTTCAGTAGACAGTTCATTCATTATTTCCTCTGGAAGTTAGAATAAGCACATTCACGAAGTCCTGATTTACATGGGTTTTTCACTGTTCTTGGAATGAAATCCAATCCAAGGGTCTTCATGAACTGACCCCTGTCACCCTGTTTTCTCCCTCCCGATGGTCTGGCTCTAAGAAGCTTCTCTCAGTGCCTGGGCTCTGCACATCCCCCTCCATCCTTGCAGCACCGACAGCCTTCTCCCTACAGCAGGAGACTGGCGGCTTGGAGCCTGCAATGAAGAAGGCTCCCCACAGGGTCCCAGCCTCGGGACTTCACTTTCCAAGATGCCAAATTGTTCCTCAGACACCTTGACCTGTGCCTCTAGAATGCAGACTTAGCTACTTTCATCATTGTTTTCTGGGTAACTGTAAATAAGACACATTCAATCTCCTTGTGGAAAAGAAAGCACAATATTTTCTGTCAACCACGTTGCTGGAACCCTTTTCAGAAAGTCACGGCGTTTTAATATCATCCTGGAAATTATGGCACTTTCATTTCCAAGATTCTAAGATTTACCCTTGTTTATATATGGCTGTTTGGTTTCCCAGGTAACAAATAACAGTGAGTGGGTCTGCTGGAGGAAATGTGTGAATGTCTCCTTTTTTGTCAACTAAACCTTTCTAGGACAGTGGACTTGGTCCTGTAGCAAAAGAGACACGTTTGCCTCATTTCCCCACTGTGGAGGCCCAGGGCGGGCTGTCTCCCTACTCATCCCACTGCTGACCTGCAGAGACCCAGGACAAGTGCAATTCTATGCCTGGACCTCCTTCTGCCCCTCAGACTCGTCACCATCTTCCTCTGTTAGCAGGGAGTGGGCTGAGGTTGAAGGCAAAGTTGGTTCCTTCTGGGCTCTGGCCACTAACGGGAGTCTGCCCACACATTGCCTGCTTCTTTGAATTTCCAGAACCTTTCAATAACGCTGCTTCCAGGATTGGTCAATGTGCTTTCCCCTCCCTGTTTCCTCATTCCTGGGCCCTAATCCCAGCTCCTGGGGCTGGGGCTCTGGCTGCCCATACCCACCCTAAGTCTCCTTGTGTTGACTGTCCCCCCAGAGGGCCCTCTTTGCTTCTGAGCACCAGACCTAGTGGGCAGAGGCTCTTGCTGTCTGCCCTGGGCTGCAAGATTCCTTGGCAGTGACATGGGGGGTGGAGATTAGGCTGCAGGGAGCATCAGAATTGTAGGCCCAGCTCCTCTTCCCAGACAATCTCCCCCCACCCTCAGTTTCCCCACAGTTACTGCAGGATGCGCTGTGAGGACAGCATGAAGGCACTGTCTTGGGCATGGCAGCGAACCCCAAAGAATTCCATTCCCTAGAATACCTGGACTTGGCATGGTGTGCAGGCAGTGGAGCGGGGGTGGAGGGTGTGGACCCCACACTCCATCTCTCCATTAAGAGAGTTGCTCAGCATGGCCAACTTCCACGCTTCCCCGAGTGTGAAGTAAGCCATGCTGCAGGATTAGAGCCAAGCCAAGGACAGAGGGGACGGCCTGGACAGAGCGATGCCCACAGCAGCTCACACCTGCTTCTGGGCCTGCTTGCATCCCCACTCTCTGCCTGGGACCTGGGGGAACCCTTCCTGGTTCTAAGAGTCAATAAATTTGGCCGGGTGTGGTGGCTCATGCCTGTAATCCCAGCACTTTGGGAGGCCAAGGCGGGCGGATCACAAGGTCAGGAGATCGAGACCATCCTGGCTAAAACGGTGAAACCCTGTCTCTACTAAAAAAAAAAAAAAATACAAAAAATTAGCCAGGCATGGTGGCGGGCGCCTGTAGTCCCAGCTACTCAGGAGGCTGAGGGAGAATGGCGTGAACCCAGGAGGTGGAGCTTGCAGTGAGCCGAGATTGTGCCACTGCACTCCAGCCTGGGGACAGAGCGAGACTCCGTCTCAAAAAAAAAAAGAGTCAATAAATTCCCCTTTTTGTTTGAGGTAACGGGAGTTGAGTTTCTATCACTTACAACCCAAAAACCTCCCTACCTAGTGCATCTCTTCACTTTGGTTTTCTGTCCTCCTCCGGAGCCTTTGCCTGACTTGAAGATCTTAATCCAGAAAAAGCATCATGTTAAGCAGTGGATGTTGGGCCATGAGCCATATAGACCCAGCCTTTTTGTGCCGTTATCTTTGACACATGGCCACTCAAATAGATTCTTGTAACTACACAGCTGTAGTAGAGAATGCAGCATTGTGCTTTAATACTAAGCAGTATTGAGAAGCCATAAGTTTTGATTTTTATCTTTTTCTCATGGCAAATGTATTTGGCCTGCATCTGGTATTCTTTATGACCACGTATGTTAACAGTAGAAAAGAAGTGAGGAATGAAAGAAGCAACTGATTGGATTTATCCTCTCTCTAGCCCTCTCCTTTTAAAACCAAAGATGTACAGCTTCTAGATGGAGACCTTATAAATTTTCCAAGCCATATACATATACATGATCTTAGTACACACTTCTGTGTTTTATGGAATATATGAAAACGCATTGCTGGGCGCAGTGGCTCATGCTTGTAATCCCAGCACTTTGGGAGGCCGAGCAGGGCAGATCACCTGAGGTCAGGAGTTCAAGACCAGCCTGGACAACATGGTGAAACCCCATCTCTACTAAAAATACAAAAATTAGCCATGCATAGTGGCACGTGCCTGTAATCCTAGCTACTCGGGAGGCTGAGGCAGGAGAATTGCCTGAACCCAGGAGGCAGAGGTTGCAGTGAGCTAAGACCGTGCCATTGTACTCCATCCTGGGCAACAAGAGCAAAACTCCATGAAAAACAAGAAAGAAAGAAGGAAAGAAAGAAAGAAGGAAGGAAGGAAGGAAAGAAGGAAGGAGATTCATATATGAAATTATGTACTGAAGAAAGAGAAAAAGAAGGAAAGAAAGGAAGAGAGAAAGAAAAGAAAAGAAAAAGATGGATGAAGATTCATATATGAAATTATGTACTGAAGCCTGTCAGTGATGATCAGTAGTTAAACTGGTGAAATGCCTTGTTAAGAACATGAAAGTGCTGGCAAAGTTGCAGGAAGTGTCAGTCTCCAGCAGGTATTCTTTGGGTTATGCAGATAGAATTCCTATGAAAGGTGGGAAGATGGATATAAATGATAGCACTCAGGATAGTGTCCACTAGTAGAAAATCAGATCATGAGATGGGAGCCTGGATTGTGTCCCAGCATTGGCAGACATTGGGTGGTGGGGCAGTTTTTCAGACCTCACAGGGCTTTATCTGATTTAAAATGGTAATAATAATATTTTCCTTTTGTTCTTTGAACTGATATTTTAAATGTACTCTGAACTTCTTGGAAGAAAAAAAAAACCTATGCAAACCTAAAAGTTTTGCTGTTCTTAGCAGTGGTTACAATGAATATTCAAAATAAATAGGTATTCACGAAATAGTTATTGTTTATCACTATTTCTCCTGAAGCACCATTAAAATGACAATAAAAGAATAAAAGAAAAAAGATTCAAACTCACAAAGAGGAGATGAACAGATGGGAAATGTCAGCAGCATTTTGGAAGCACGAGAAGTGTATCATTGTGTGGTTGGCTTCGATTTCTTTCTGCTTATCCACCATGCTGAGAGCTGGGGGTCCAGGGTGGGGCAGGAAGAAACAAGCTGATTTGTGCCTCAGGGCCCTGCAAGGGCTCAGGAATTAGAGTCACCAGATGTCTCTGAAGGCAGGAATGTGGATGGGGCAAAAGGAGCACTGGTTTACAGTCTGTGATATGCAGGCAACCCCCTCAGAGCCCCAAATGGAGCCTGTGCAGCTTTGTAACTGTCCATCTGACCCCAGTAGCAGACAGAGGTTGAACCAGAGAGACATCAGAGTACAAGGATGTCTAGTACAGCTAAGGCAGGAGTGGGGGTGCCTGACAGAAGATCGTCAGGATGAGATAGTCTATGCTGCAGTAACAAAAAAACCCTTGAAATTTCAATGGCTTAACGTAGCAAAGGTTTGTTTCTTAGTCACAAATGCATAGTATGGACTGGATAGCTCTTCAGGGCAGCTTTCCTCTGTGTGGGAAGGGAGGTAATGAGACCCCTTCCATGGCCCCCAGAATTGCTGTCTAGGGGGAAGAAAGGGATGGGGGAGGCACCTGATGGTGAGCACCTCAGGCCAGAGGGGACACACCCCTTCTACTCACATGTCCATTCACCAGACTCAGGCACATGGCCCATCCCAGCTGCAAGGGAGGCAGGAACTGCAGGGGGGCACATGGATGTTCTGTGAACACTGGGATTAAGTCACTTGGGATTAAGTGAGAGCCTTTGAAGAGATGAGGCCGCATCTCCATCGGCCTCCTCAGCTTCGCTCCCTTTGGCTCCCACAGTGCTGGCTGCTAGTCTCAACAATGCCCTGGCAGGAGCTGCAAGAGTCCTTTCTATAGAAGTTCACGGCCTAGAGAAAGAAAATCACAGGCAGAGGAACCTACTGGTGAGGCCCACGGATAGACAAGCTCTGTCTAAGCACAGACAGCATCAGTCAGCATTTGTGTTTCTGTCTTCTTATGTGGCCATTCTTTTAACAGAATTGTACTGAGTGCCTTCTGTGTGTTAGAAGAGCTCTGGCTCCTACGGATATAACAGTGAACAAAAGAGGCAAAATTCTCATTCTCCCAAAGCTGCATTCTTGTGCAGGGAGATTGATCATACAGAATGGGCAGATAAATCATATACCAGATGCAGGTGAGTGTTATGGTGAAAAAGTAAAACTCGTTCAAAACCTCAGGAGTATGGACATGGGGTGATACCTGAATATAGAGTCATGGGAAAGGGCTCATGGTCCCCAAGACCTGCAGGAGGCAAGGGAGTGAGCCGCGTGATTCTGCAGGGGAAGAACTTTCCAGGCAGAGAGGACAACCCGTGCAGAGCCCTGAGGTGGAAGCACGCCTGGCACACTCAAGGAACAGACTGCGAGGAGAAGTTATGGCTCGGGAGAGTGCCCTCAGGGAAAGTAGGAGGTGAGGCTAGACAACAGGGGCTGCCCGGTGTGCAGACTGGTGGGGGATTTTAAAGAGTTTGACTTTTTTGAGGACCATTGTGGTGGTGAGGTGAGGAGGGACTTGCAGGAGGGTCCCTCTGGTACCTGTGCCCTGGGAGGCCAGGGCCAGATCCACAAAAGCAGTGAAGGAATGAGATCCATTCATGTTGCCGCATTTAGCCGTAGTTCCTCCTTCTTATTGCTGTACAGTGTTTCGTCGTATACATCCTGCATTTTATTTATGCATTTTGTTGTTGATGGACATTTAGATTATTTCAATTTGGTGACTATTACAAATAATGCTGCTGTGAACTTTCACTTATATATGTATATATATATTTTTTGAGATGGAGTCTCACTCTGTCACCCAGGCTGGAGTGCAGTGGTGCGATCTTGGCTCACTGAAACCTCCACCTCCCGGATTCCAGTGATTCTCCTGCCTCAGCCTCCTGAGTAGCTGGGTTTACAGGTGCGCACCACCATGCCTGGCTAATTTTTGTATTTTTAGTAGAGATGGGGTTTTGCCATGTTGATCAGGCTGGTCTCAAACTCCTGACCCCAGGTGATCCACCCACCTCGGCCTCCCAAAGTGCTGGGATTACAGACGTGAGCCACCACACCGTGCCTCATATCAAATCTTTTTGTGCACTCTCTAGGAGTGAAATTTCGGGGTGCATAGGTTCAACTTTAGTAGATAATGCCAGATCATTTTCCACAGTGGTTGGTCCAGCTTACATTACCCCACCAATGTTCCTGTTTTTCCCCATTATCACCCGCACTTGATGTTGTCAGTCATTTTCATCTTAGCCATAGGGTGGTGAGTCATGGTGTCTCATTACAGTTTTGTTCTGCATCTCCTTGATTGCTAATAAGGTAGAGTGCCTTTTCATGCTTACTTGACATTTAGATGCTCTTTTTCTTGAAGCCCTTATGTTCCATTGTGTTATGTGCATTTTTCTTTTCTTTTTCTTTTTTTTTTTTTTGAGACAGGGTCTCCCTCTGTCACCCAGGCTGGAGTGCAGTGGCGTGATCTTGGCTCGCTGCAACCTCTGCCTCCTAGGCTCAAGCAATCCTCCCACCTCAGCCTTCAGAGTAGCTGGGACTGCAGGCATACACCACCACACCCAGCTAATTTCTTCTAATTTTTTGTAGAGACAGGGTTTTGCCACGTTGCCCAGGCTGGTCTCGAACTCCTGAGCTTAAGCAATCTGCCCACAGCCTTCCAAAGTTCTGGAATTACAGGCGTGAGCCTCTGCACCCCGCCCATTTTTCTTATTTATTTTGTATGTTCTGGAAATGATCCCGTCATTGAGTTATTTGTGATTTGTTGGGCGGATATATACATATATGTATGTACATACATACACATGTACATATATAGTTATGTGTTATGTGCTTAATGACAAAGGTGTTCTGGGAAATGCATGTTGTGTAGACATCATAGAGAGTACTTACTCAAGCCTAGATGAGGGTACAGCTTACTACACACCTATAGGCTATAGGGTACAGCCCATTGCTCCTGGACCATAAACCTGTACAGCACGTTACTGTGCTGAATACTATAGGTGACTGTAACACAGTGGTGAGCATATGTGCTTCTAAACATACCTAAACACAGAAAAGGTACAGTAGAAATATTGTACCGTTAATTACTACACTTAATATAGAGTTATGAGGGAAGATCTCACCATTGCTGGGGACCTGAAGGAGGCAAGGGAGTGAGCCATGTGGGAAGAACTTTCCAGGCAGAGAGAACAGCCAGTGTAGAGGCCCTGACAACACCAGGTGTTGGTGATGATGGGGAAACAGGAGCAGGAGCACTGTGCTGGGCGTTACAGTCAAACGAGACCACTGTCACATACGTGGCCCAGACTTGCCTAAAACAGCATTGTGTGGCACATGACTGTATATGCACACACGCACGTATACAAATATGCATACAGAACAGTATGTGTTTCTTGCTTTCAGAGGCTTGCCTTTTCAGTGGTCTTTTTGGTGTCTTGATTTAAAAAATATTTTTCCTACCTCAGGGTCACAGAGTTTTTCTCCTGTTATCATCAAATAGCTTTATTTTCCCACCTATATTTAGAACTACAGTTTACCGAAAGTAAATTTTTGTTTAAAAAATGTAATTTCATTTTTCTGTATGAATATCCAATTGATCCTGGGCTATTTATTCAAAAGACAGTCCCTTCCCCACAGCTGTGCAGTGCCATCTCTGTGACGAATGAGTGTCCTCCTAACCATGGGTCACTTTCTGGATTCTCTGTTCGATCTTGTTGGTCTTTTTGTCTATACTTGCATTAATACCAGATTGTCTTAATAACTATAGATTTATAAATAAGACTTGGTATCTATAACATCAGCATTTTGTTGTTCAGACTTGTTTTGCTATTCAGGGCCATTTGCATTTTCACATGAGCTTTTTAGTAAATTGGTCAAATTGTATAAAGAAACCCTGCTGGAATTTTTAATGGGATTATATTGAAGCTTTTGATGAATATGGGGAATATTGATATCTTTACCGTAGCATGTCTGCTATGAACATGTATTTGGGTCTCACGTAATTTATCTCAATATTGTTTTATAATGTTCTGAGTAGAGGCACTGCATATCTCTCATTAGATATATTTCTACTTTAAACAAAATAAATGTGTGTGTGGTATTGTGATTGAGTATGGTGTTTTGGTTATCTATTGCTGTGCCACAAGCCACCTCAAAAGGTAATGGCTTAAAACAACAATAGTTTTATCATTCCTCAGGATTCCATGGGTTTTCTTTTTTTTTTTCTTTTTTTTTTTTTTTTGCTGGTCTTGCCTAAACTTTCTTCTGTGATTGCAGTGTAGCTGGAGCAATCCAATTGTAACCGAATGCAGGCACGGCTATTTGCTGCTTGCAAAGCCGAGAACAAGGATGCAATACAGTGAAAGGAAAGTGACTTTATCCCAAAAGCTTTCTTCCCCATTCCATGGGGAAATGGCCACGGATAGTGCCTGAAAGAAACCATTTCAGCTTTTTGGGTCAAGGTTAAGGGCTTAAAAAGGGTGTTTGGTATGAGGGGCATGCAGGAGTGATGAGGAGGTGCCAGTCTACATGACTTGTTCCTATGACTATCTTGCGTTATTGCCCCATCTGGTGAATGGGCTGGTGCCATCTTGGGTACAGCCCAGTTGCAAATTAACTGCAGCTTGGAAGTAATCTGCAGGTCAGGGAGAATCCCATAGTGGCCCGAATTGTTTCAAGATTTAGTCTCTGGAACTTCTAAACAAAAACATAATTAGATGAGGGAAACATTGTGCCAGGGAGTTCCTGGTAGAAGGAGGGAGAGCAAAGACTATTATCTCATGCTAAGGGCAAGACAAGGAACAGGCAGGAAGGAGAAAGAAGAAATACTTTTTAAAAACAGGACACTCAATTACATAATGGTCTAAACGGCCTCACTCTTCTATTTGGAACTTTGATGCTGGCTGCTGAGCCTTTCCTGTCATCCCTAGTCAGTGGCATGGGCTGAGCTCTGTCCGTGCAAGGAGAGCACTACAGTGGGGACCGTGGCCAGAGGACAGAAGTAGAGGTGTCAGCCTCCGAGGCCGGGGCTCCAGGACTCAGACAGTGTCACTACCGCCGCATTCCATTGTTCAAAGCAGGCCACAAAAGGAGTTCACATTTGAGAGGGTGGACAGATAGTCCCTGTCCCTTGATGGAAGGTTCAGCCACCCACATTTTGGTACAAAAGGGCATGTAGGGGGGAGATTGCGTTGCATCCATCTTTGGGAAAATGTACCACATATGCTGTTATTTTCATTCTATTTTGTTATTGGAAAATAGAAATAAAGCTGATGTATGTCTATTAACCTTATATCGAGCTACTTTGATAAATTCAGTGAGTCTATTAACTTATCTTTACATTCTTTTGAATTTTCTGCATGTAGAATCACATCATTTGAAAATAAGATAACTTGGGGTTTTTCCCCAATCTTGTAACTTTTATTTCTTTTTTCTGATTGCACTGACTGAGACTTCCAGTAAAATGATGAAGTGATGATGGCAGCTTTCTTTGTTATTTCTTATCTTTGAGGCAACATTCTCATTATTTTACATATGATGTTTAATGGAAGTTGTTGTAGTGATTGTTTAAGTTCCTTTCTATTTCTAGCCTGCTAAATTTTGTTTTGTTAGTTTAAAAAAAATCATGAATAAATGCTGAATTTTATCATATGACTTTTCTTTTTTGGGGGAAGACCATATGAGAGAACTCCCTTATTCTGTTAATATGGTGAATTATCTTGATTGGTTTTTGAATGTTGAACCAACCTTATTTCCTTGACTGAACTCAGCTTGCTCAAGCTGAATCTCTTGATTCTGTTTGTTAATGTTTTGTTTGGGATTTTTTTATCGTATATTCATGAGAGAGATTGGTCTTTCATCTTCATTTTTCAAAATGTCCTTGACAGATTTTATATGGAGGTTAAACTTCCTTCATAAGACACAATGGGGATTAGTCCCTCTTTTGCTTTTCTGGAAACATTTATTTAAGGCTGGTGTTATTTCTTCTTCAAATGTTCAGTGGAATTTACTAGTGAAGTCATCTTGGCCTGAAGTTTTCTGGGAAGGGAAGTTTGGAATTCCAGATTCAGAAGCTCCTAGAATTATTCAAACTTTGTGATTCTTCTTGCATCAGTTTTTCTTGGTTGTGTTTTTCTAGGAATTTGCCCACTTTCTCTGTTTTTCAAATGTTTTGGGAAAGGCTGTATATAGTATTCTCTTTCAGTCTTTTTCATATCTGCAGGGAAGTGCTTTGCTATTGTTCATACTTCTGAGAGAGCACAAGAAAGCTGGTTTGGAAGTCCTGAGAGAGGTTGAAGCCCAGGGCAGGGGTACTGCCAGGCTGGTACTGACATGGAGAGCAAGAGAAAAGGAAGAAGCAAGTTCATCTCCTCTCCCCACTTTCCAGGCTCCCTCCATTGCCTCTTACTGGAAGAACCCAATAGAACACCATCTAACAAAAGAAAACCACAGCTTAAAGAGCCCCCACTCCAGCGTCAGGGAGCAGTGGATTTGAAATTGAGAAAACGTAGCTTAATTACCAGCACACCCTTCTGCCTGAATATTTTCAGTGTCCTCTTCATCTCATCCCACCTGGAGGAGAAACCCTGGGAATCATGTTTCTTTTCACTCCTTCGCCCTTGTCTTCTCCTTATTCCTGGAGTATGCTGAGATTGGGGCTAGGATCTAACTAAAATTTTCATTATTTCATTTCAAGAATCCTCAAGAAAAATTGTGTTATAACTTGCATTGACGTTACCATTGTGCATGAAGATTTAAAAATAAATATTACGAGATTCACTCTCACTGTTGATCACTGCACTCTGTCTTCTCCCTTGGACCCTTGTTCTGATCTGGCTCTTTGGTAGCGTATCCTGGAGTATTCACAGAGAGTATGCAGAGAAGCTGTGTTTCCTGACTGCAGGTCCAATCATTGATTTCTCTGTAGTTGCCTGGTGGAGGATTCCTCATCAGTTCTTTCTTCTCCCTAGCCACTAAATGTTAGCCCATGATCTATTACTTTCCATGATTGCAGGTGAGAAATGTGATATTAGACTGGTTATTTATTTTTGGTTTTTTTTTTTTTGAGATGGAGTCTCTCTCTGTCACCCAGGCTGGAGTGCAGTGGTGCAATCTTTACTCATTGCAACCTCTGCCTCCTGGGTTCAAGCGATTCTCCTGCCTCATCCTCCTGAGTAGCTGGGATTACAGGCCTGCACCACCACACCTCACTAATTTTTGTATTTTTAGTAGAGATGGGTTTCACCATGTTGGCCAGGCTGGTCTGGAACTCCTGACCTCAAGTGATCTGCCCACCTCAGCCTCCCAAAGTGCTGGGATTACAGGCATGAGCCACCGCGCCCGGCCCCTAGACTGGTTATTTCTAAAAGCAACGTGTTCTTCCTGTCTGGAAGCTTATATGATTTTCCTCCCTATTCTGGAAATTCAGCAGCTTTGTAAGGATGTGTCTAAATTCAGCATTTTCAGAACCCTTTCAATCTTAAGACTCGATTGGTTTTGTTTCTTTGGCATTTCTTTTTTTATTCTCTCATACTTTTGTTTTCTCCCTCAACTCCTATTATTTACATAGGATGCATCCTCCTGCATCCACCCTCCATATCTTGATCCTTAACTCGTGATTCTTAGTTCATTAACTTTTTATCTTGTGCTGTGGGATACGTCTTTCATTTTATCTTCCTAAAATAGTAATTTGGTTTTTAGTGGGGACCGTTCTTTTATACAGTACCTCTACTAAATTTTTAAATGGAAAAAGTCGAGCATTTGGAGTTTCTCTTAGGATCCAGGAACAACAAAACAATAAAAAAAATCAAGCATTTTTCTGTTCTGGCAGCATTTTTTGTGCTCTAATAATATCTCCTTATGAATTCTCATTGTTTATATTATATAGTCTATTTCTGTATCTGTCATTAGTTCTGCTCTGTAGTAGCCATCTGTTCTAGAATTTGGCTGTCTCCTTCCTTCAAACCACTGTCCCTCTTAGGGGGCACATCAGTTTGCTGTGCTGCATTGTTTTGGTGGGTGTGGAGTTTCCCCAGCGCTGGTTTGGGCCCAGCTGCAGGCTATGATAGCTAAAATCCCCCCCAGGCCATGGTGGATTGATAGAGATGGGGCCAGGCATGATGGCTTATGCCTGTAATCCCAGCTACTGGAAAGGCTGAGACAGGAGAATCACTTGAGCCCAGAAGTTCAAGGTTACAGTGAGCTATGCTCACACCATTGCACTCTAGCCTGGGTGACAGAGCAAGACTCTGTCTCCAAAAAAAAAGAAGAAGAGATAGAGGCAGATAGGGTGGGATTGTTTTCCCTCCGCAGTTGCACTGGCAAACTACACTGTCTCTTCTCCTTATGGTGAGGGTGGGGATAGTCTTTTCAGAATCAAGTAGAGCTGAATTGTCCTTGGTACTACCTTGCAACTTCTCTTTCAAGTGTGCAGGACAGGCTCCCTCTCATCTGCTCCAGAGCCCCCAGATTGGCCAGCTGACCCCACTCTGGCCTGGGATAGCTGCTTCTCACCCTGGGGTCTGCCAGAGATGCAGACTGTCTCCAGACTGCCTGACCTTTGGTCCAGAGATTCTTGCTGGACTCTGGTCTTTGGTCCCAGCTCCCTGTGTGAGCATGGCCCTCTATCATAGGCCATGGGGAGCAACAGTGGGTCAACCTCTGGACACACCCCCATACCAGGCATCACCAGTGACCACTGGAGGCAAGAGAACATCTGGCTGGTTGGCCCGAGGCTTTCAAAGCTCATCTGTCCCCTGGCCATCACCATATTGAGACCAGTTGTAGCCAAGAAACGGTTAAAGGGCAGACTTGGATGTGCTGGAGGAGTCCAGGCAACAAGAACAGACCGGTATGCCTGAAGCCATCTACAGCCTCGGGTTAAAACTTCCTGTCTTCTTCCAAGCAAACAGGGGACCAAGACTGTAGCACATAGTGGGGTCTCAAGAGTCAGGGATCAGCGACAGGCAATGTGACAGGCATCTAAAATATTGAATTCATGAGGTGGGTGGAGAAGAGATGACTTGCTGGAAACGAGGAACAATTTGAAGAGTGCTAGGGAGCTTGTGGTAACTCCTGAGGTCCAGTGTGCAGTGGGAGAAAACTCCTTGATGGATACTCACAATGGACCACTCACTGAGGACAGGCATCATTCAAGTTAGGATGATGTATTAGTCTGTTTTTGTGCTGCTGATAAAGACATACCCAAGACTGGGTAATTTATAAAGAAAAAGAGGTTTAATGGACTCACAGTTTCACGTGGCTGGGGAGGCCTCACAGTCATGGCAGAAGGCAAAGGGCACGTCTTACATGGCAGCAGACAAGAGAGAATGAGAACCAGCTGAAAGGAGTTTCCCCTTATGAAACCATCAGATCTCGTGAGACTTATTCATCAGCATGAGAACAGTATGGGGGAAACCTTCCCCATGATTCAGTTATCTCCCGTGGGGTCCCTCCCACAACATGTGGGAATTATGGGAGCTAAGATGAGATTTGGGTGGGAACACAGCCAAACCATATCACATGATGTCCATGACATATGAGGATACATCTTTATAGCTTCCAAACAAATCCTGTCTTTCTAACCTACAGACTTTAGTTATCTGGGCAAACCATAGACCCTCCCCCTTTCTCAGGTCCCAGGTAACATTGAAATATCTCTTTGCCTTAGAGAGGGAGGCAGACTACCAACCTGTAGTCTCACATTCTTGAGCTGTAGTCTACCTGAACTTGAGCAGCATTTCACGCTCACATTCAAATGTCTATAGATCTCAGAGACAGGTGGAGTGGGTTGGCATGGCTTCACCAGGTGAAGTCTGTTCCTCTTGTTGGGACTCCCTAGTCTACAGCTGTCAGCTGGGAAGCTTTGGGGTGGCTTTTGGCTGCAAGTGATACAAACCAATTCACACAAGTTTCAATAACGAAGGAAGTTATTACGTCAAATGGCAAGTCCAGAGCGGGGTTGCCGCAGGGTTAGCTGGTTCAGCAGCCTCACAAATTCAAGGACCTAGAATCTTTCCAGCTTTCCCCTCTGCCAGTTTCGATGTATTGATGTGGTGGCTTAGCTCTACTCAGTCATGAGACAGTTGCCCCTGCTTGAGGCAGTACATGCAGATGTCTGGTATGGGAGTCCAGTAGAACAGGAAAGTTTTCCTTCTTTTTTTCCTACAATCTTCTTTTTTAAGAGCAAGTAAACATTTCTCAGATGCCCCCAAAAATACCCCTTGCAACTCATTGGCCAGAGCTCGGTCACATGTCCACTCCTAAACCCGTCACTTATTATATAACCTCCACTTTAATAGGCTGTATCATTTATTTATACATTTAGAAAATATCATCCTTAAGTAAGACTAATCAAGTAAAACCATAAATGGATAATAAATTACAATGAGTTCGGCAGAATTTCTATAAATTATATCTAATAATCACACCTAGGCACAAAGGATTAAGCGTAACAGGTGTATTCATATTACTATGTGAAATTTCCCAATACACAGCTTTTAAATATCCAGAATAATAACCATGTTGAATTAGGTAATTTGCTTAGAGGTAAATGTGGAAGGAAAATAAATGCATGAGAGTATGAACCACTTGGATAATGATAAACAATTGAACAGCTCAAGAAAATTTCACGGGTACATTTTTAATGACTGATTGAATCCTAGGAAGCAGTTAATTCATTAATACTTGCTTTCCCAACCACCTCTCTCAAACGTGTGGGATTAATAAAGTCTTAAAAAAAAAAGTACTGCTTCTCAAAAAGGATGCCCCGGTTTATCCATGCAGATGAAGGGATGGTGTTGCCAACTTCAAGGGGCAGCAAACCATCAGAAAACCAAGCTCCTCCGCCTTTCATGCATTTTGAGGAAACGCCTTCCCATGGCGGTTCCCCGGCTGCTGGAAGCAAAGCTGCAGCCACGCCAGCTGAGACATCACCAGGCAGCAGGGTCCTTCTGCTCTCTTTCTTCCTGATGAATGTGATTCTAACCTGTGTGGGGGGGCATTGGCTGGTCTTTCATAACCCAGGTGCTGACATGTGTCTGCCAGGGAACATCTTTGTATTTATAAGGTTGCTATTTTTTCCTGAGGTTACAGAGTCCATTCTGTCTTCCCTGTATCCTGCCTCTTCCTCTTCCTTCCCCAGGCCTTCTTTGTACCTCCTTCTGTCCAACTGAGATTAAGCTTGTTTATTTCCTGGAATGCCATTCTTCTTTATTTTGTCTGTTCAAGGCTTTTGACAGCTCCACATAGCAGCCAAAGCATATCATGCAAACTCAAGGAAAGCAGCTGGGGAGAAAACCGAAGTTTCCT
The DNA here is from genome assembly GCF_000001405.40 of Homo sapiens. Lineage (NCBI taxonomy): Eukaryota > Metazoa > Chordata > Mammalia > Primates > Hominidae > Homo > Homo sapiens. The sequence continues at coordinate 1,555,862 of NT_187660.1, read as the reverse complement.
TTCACATTAGGTTTCTGGGGGCTCCTCACTCAGGGGGCCAGAGACTTTGTAACAAATGAGTTGGTCGGCCTGTCCTAGTGGAGTTGTCACTATGCTGAGCATGATTTACACGTTTTCAGAGAATGCGAGTAGAGATACGTCTTTTAATGATCTAATAGAACTGAACATTGTAGATTGAAATATTTGTTTTTAATCATGGGTACTTCAGGATCACATATGTACATAACTGAGGGTTTTTTTTACTGTGAAATGCGGATACATCAAAACGGAAATGTGAGAATTCTAGTTGAGCACAGGCTTTACTCATTTTAACAGTTTTTCATACTAAGGAAAGCAATTATCACATTTTTGCAATACCTCATTTTTTTTTTTCCAGGCGAGCAAAAGAAAGTCTAGATAAGAAATTGGGTTGCCCATGTACAAAAGGCACACCACCTGACTTTCTTGCTCCCTCCAGGTAGAAAGATACAACATGATTTCTCATGTTGATATAAAGTTTGTGAAAATAGTTTTTTGGAGGAGTAATAAATTCACTTGTCCATATTAACTAGCATCCCACTTATGTGGATCGGTAGACTTAATTTTAAGATGTCAGTACTACCCAAATTGATCTGCAGACTCAAAACGAGCCCTGTGAAAATCCCAACTGAGGCCAGGCGCGGTGGCTCATGCCTGTAATCCCAGCACTTTGGGAGGCCAAGGTGGGCGGATCACGAGATCAAGAGATCAAGACCATCCTGGCCAACATGGTGAAACCCCGTCTCTACTAAAAATACAAAAATTAGCTGAGTGTGGTGGCGTGCGCATGTAGTCCCAGCTACTCAGGAGGCTGAGGCAGGAGAATCACTTGAACCCGGGAGGTGGAGGTTGCAGTGAGGCGAGATTGCACCACTGCACACCAGCCTGGTGACACAGCCAGGCTCCATCTCAAAAAAAAAAAAATCCCAACTAAATTTTAGCAGGAATAAACAAGCTGATTCTCAAATTCATATGGAGATGGAAGGGACCCAGAATAGCCCTAATAATCCTGAAAAATAACAGAACTGGAGCACTTATACTTTCTAATTTCAAAACTTACTAACACTCTGCAATAACCAGGCAGTGTGGCGGTGGCACACGTCAACATACGTGATGGGCTGCAGTGTCTCCCCCAGAATTCAAAAGACTCAACCTCAGACTTACTGTGTGTGGAAATAAGTTATTTAAGTGGATTAAGTTAAAATGAGGCCTTTACAGTGGGGCTCTGGTCCAACAGGACTGGTATCCTTATAGTCAACAAAAGGAGGAAGAGACACCAGGGATGTACATGCACAGAGAAGGGCCAGCTGAGAACACAGTGAGAACGTGGTCATCTGCAGGCCAAGGAGAGAAGCCTCAGGAGGAACCAAACATGCCGACTCCTTGATCTCAGACTTGGAGCCTCCAGAACTGTGAGGAATCACTTTGTTGTTTAAGCCCCCAAGTCTGTGGTATTCTGCTGTGGCAGCCCCAGGAAACCAGTGCACATGTAGAGCAATGGATTAGAATTGAGGCTCCAGAAATAAATTCTTACATCTGTGGTCAACAGATCTGCAGAAAAGAGGCCAAGGATATCCAGTGGGATAACTGGAATGGGGTCTGTGCTTCTCCCTTTCCTCTGTGAGTCATGTTGTTGGGAGTCACTGAAAAAGTATGAGGTGGCAAGTAGCAAGAGGCCCAGCAGGTTTTGCTTTTATGGTCACGATGCATCAGAGGGCACACTGTCTACATGCCTTTTGAAGTACTATGAAGGGCCTCTTGGAGCCCAGGCCTCACAGGGGGCAAACTGCTGGCTCTCCCAACCTTGAAGCCTGGCAGCAGTTAGCCTGCCTCTCCCAAAGAACAACAGCCTGGGACAGGGTCTTGGAGGACTATTCTCAGAAAGGGGACAGCTGTGGACTCTCTCAGAAGGGAGACACGGGCTTCTGCCAGCACAGACCCCACAAGTACCACACAGTCCTTGCTTTTCCCAGGACTTCCTTGGGAAGGGGCAAGCCCTCTTCTCCGCATGCAACTTCATTGCTAAGCTCTCACTTGTGTCTCAGGGAGGGAGGAACCCTGTACTGGATCTCTTCTGCAGATCTTGGGGAACCCATGGCCTCTGATTACCCTCCAGTCCTGGAAGCATGCTTGCTGTGGTTATTAGTCCAAGGGAGGGAGCTGCAGTGGGGTGGGGGTGGGATCAGAGAGGCGGGGCCTGTGTAAACCCAGCTCCCCAGGACTCCTACAGTCACCTGTTTCTCTCTTTATGGTTGTTATCTCCCTCAAGACCACCAGTTATGTATACATGGGGTCTTTCTTGTCTGCCTTGAATATTTTTATTTTTTCTCTAATTTATTTTTTTTCCATTTCAACGTGTTCAGTTTTCTCATAACCTATTCGCATTGTCCCTGTCTGGATATTAGCTTTGTCAGCTCTCTTTGTGGACATACCTCTGTCCTGTGCATATATCTCTACTTTAGGCTAAAGCGTAGTCTGGAAGAATGAGGTTTCTGTCATCTTGCGTGGTATAGCAAGTGGGGAAGTGCTCTGGGTTAAATATGGAGAACACAGCCACTTTAGAGTAGGAGATGCTTTAAGGCAGGGGTTCCCAAACCCCAGGCTGTGGACCAGTACCAGTTCGTGGCCTGTTAGGAACCTGGCCGCACAGCAGGAGGTGAGTGGCAGGCGAGTGAGCATTACTGCCCGAGCTCCACCTCCTGTCAGATAAGCGGCAGCATTAGATTCTCATAGGGATGTGAGCCCTACTGAGAACTGCAGGCGGGGATCCTCAAACCACCCTCCCACTCCCGCACCTTCCATAGAAACATTGTCTTCCCCAAAACTGGTCCCTAGTACCAAAAAGGTTGGGGACCGCTGCTTTAATTTATATTCCAAATTGTGTAAAACTCCTTTCTGCAAAGGTAAATCACCAGATTGATTAGCTCATTTGTACTTTTTTTTTTTTTTCTTTGAGACGGAGTCTTGCTCTGTGGCCCAGGCTAAAGTGCAGTGACACAATCTTGGCTCACTGTAAGCTCTGCCTCTTGGGTTCAAGCGATTCCTGCCTCAGCCTCCCGAGTAGCTGGGACTACAGGCACCCGCCACCAGGCCTGGCTAATTTTTGTATTTTTAGTAGAGATGGGGTTCCGCCATGTTGGCCAGGCTGGTCTGGAACTCCTGACCTCAAGTGATCTGCCTGCCCCGGCCTCCCAAAGTACTAGGATTACAGGCCTGAGCCACTGTGCCTGGCCCATATATACTTTCCATATGGAAAAGTACAGTTCTTCATAATTTGTCTCTCCCTTACCCCTGTTGCCACCAACTAAAATGATGAGCACATTCCCCAACCACAGAACACTGGGAAGAAACATAACAAAAATGTCATATTGTTTTCAATTCACCTCTCATTATATTCAAAACTCCTCATTGGTTTTAACCTTCCCTAGCTCCAAAGTCTCATTTCTTACTACCCTTTTTTCCCCTGAATAATAGGATTGGCTACTGATTTAGCCAGACCTTGTTCACTTTCAAGTGACAGGAACCAACTCAAAGCAGATTAAGCAAAAGGAGATGCTTTAGTAATTCATTATCTCCAGGAGTCTGATCTTGAACTCAGCATCCAGGGATTCAAATGGCAGCATTAAGATTGTTTCCCATCTCTTAGATCTCTTTTGAGTTGGCTTCGCCCTGAGGCAGGTTTTTCAGAAGCAAGGGCACAAGTGGCTAGGCTTACATCACCCCTCAGCTTGTGAGCTCAGAGGGGCGAGAATCTGTCTGAATGTCCTGGAAGGATGCTGACTGAACTTCTGAACCAGTCACTGTGTCTGGCCTGAATCCTGTGCACTCAGGAAAGGAAGGCAGCCCTATACTAAGGTCTTTTAAAGGTGGGAAGAGGCTGTTTCTAAAGGGAAAGGATACAGAACAAAGGGATTAGAAACCAAGCAAACGAAGAGAATCTTAGTGACCACTATCAAGACCTTGGATGTTTGTAATTTTATAACTTAATAGGCCCTAATGATTTTCATAAGTAAAGGGCCCTGGATAACTGGAAGATGCATTTCTTGAAAAGAGAGTCTAAGACCAGGCTTCTGGGCCAAATGGCTGCAATGCTTGGAAAGCACTATCTTGTCAAGGCTCACCTCTCCACCCGCTTCCACCAGCCAAGGAAAACTCTGTTGCTGCTTCATCAAAATATTCATTTATGAGGGACAAAGTGTTATTAGGTAGTCTACCATGTGACCTAGGCAGGAGGGATCTTTGCTATGAATGAATATATATAACTGTTGTAAATGTGTGGACACAAGGGACTTTATTGCAACCATTAAGATGTCTGGATTGCTTTTCCTGCTGTCTACCCACCAAAATAGTATTTGCCTCCCAACTCCCTTGCTCACATGCTGCACATTGGCCCACTTTCTTCCACTGGAAAAGGCAGAGAACAGCTCATATGTGGTGGCTGCATGCTTTGATCATTGCCTTTCTTCCTAAGAAGTCCTCACCTGCTTTTAGCACTGTGTTGCTGTCAGAAAAATTAAAGCCTTTTTCTGATTCACAAGAAATACCATGAATGAAGAGGAGAATCTAGTAGATAATAAAGATGATTAGAGTTTCTTGGCAGGCATTTGCTATCGAAAAGACAAAATAAAACATTTAATTACTATAAACATCTAAAGAGCAATTTGTAGTAGGCATTTCCTTGTTCTTTGCACTTGAAATCTTAGCTAGCTTAGCTTTTGCCTCAAAGACTTTTGATTTTTTCTTTTGGGTCTAGTAATTAAAGCATGAAGGTCATTAACATAAAGTGTTTGAAAATGTTTTTCTTTTTTAACCACTTGTCTTTGTGACTTCACTGCCTGAACAGAAAGTCACAAATGCCATATTCGAATCACACTGAATGTATTGAACATGTGAATGTGCATAGCTGCTATGGCATAGTGTCACTTTGAAGTTAAACTTCATTGAAAATATATTTTTTATTCATCTCCCAAGCAAGAAAATCAGGGTTGATTTTTATTTTTAAAAGCAAATTAACTTTAATAGTACCTTGATATATATATTTCTTTCCAGCCCTTTTGATTCTTGTGTACATGTGTTTTGCTGCAGTGAACATCTTTCTCATCGTTCTACTGAAGGATGGCAGAATATGCTGCCCGCCCAAAATATGCCACTTTGGCATAAGGATTACTTTGAGCTAAAGGCACTTGAAAAATAGCAGATGCAAGAAGGGCATTTGAATTTCCTCTTTTCTTCCTGAAAACAGGAGATAAAAACTCCCATGTGAAAAATAGCTTTACTGTACCAAGAGGAAAGAAACATTACTCAATGGGGATTCAAAGCCAAGTGAATTCTGTACAAACAACTTCGTTAAAATAATTATCTCCCTTTATCCTCCCCACATAATTTACTTTTCCCACAATTACCTCTCTTTGTTCAACCAAATATAAAAGCATTTAGGTTTTGCCACCTCTTTCGGTCTTCATTTCCCTAACAAGCGCTCCTGTGTCCTGTAAAACTTAAATGAAGTTTGAATGCTTTTCTCCTGTTAATCTATTTTATATTAGTTTAAGTCTCAGGTCCAGCTGGGGCCCTTCGAGGGTGGAGGGAAGGTTTTGCCTCCCCTGCAGTATATACAACTTTGTGTAGTCCTCAAATATTTTCCTTAACAGAAATCCCTGGAAAGAAGCAAATTGTTATCAAACTACCCTGCCAGGCACTGTGCTAGGTACTGGGTAAACCTATCTCACTTAATCCCCTGATGCCAGGTTTAGGCCTCATTTTGTTGACTTGGAGACTTAAACCGGGAGGAGTGTCAGTATCGTACAGGTTTCTAATGTTAGTTCATCTGATCCCAAAGCCCTTACTTTTCAAGGACACCATGTCTATGTTTGCTCTGAATCAGTATACAGTTAAAAGCCCACTCTCTGGAGGCAGATTGGCTGTGTTCAGATCTCACACCTACCACTTACTCGCTATAGAGCCTCAAAACTTAATAATCTTCTCCTGTGACAGTTTATTTGTGAGAAGAGAAACATAATAAATGCACATGCCTGATAGGTTTGTTGTGGGGATTAAATGAAGTCATACCTGTAAACCACCTGGAATAAGGTCTGACCCACCATTCACTTTGTATAGTAGTCCCCCCTTGTCTGTGGAGGATGTGTTCCAAGACCCTCAGTGGATACCTGAAATCGTGGACAGCACCAAACCCTAAATCCACAATGTTTTTCCCTATGCATAGATACATACTGTATTAGTCAGGGTTCTCTAGAGGGACAGAATTAATAGAATAGATGTATATATGAAAGGGAGTTTACTAGAGTATTGACTCACATGATCACAAGGTGAAGCCCCACAATAGGCCATCTGCAAGCTGAGGAGCAAGGAAGCCAGTCTGAGTTCCAAAACCTCAAAAGTAGGGAATCCAATAGTGCAGCCTTCAGTCTGTGGCTGAAGACCCTTGAACCCCTGGCAAACCACTAGTGTAAGTCCAAGAATCCAAAAGCTGAAGAACTTGGAGTCTGACTTTCAAGGGAAGGAGGCATCCAGCATGAGAGAAAGATGAAGACCAGAAGACTCAGCAAGTCAAGTCCTTCCACGTTCTTCTGCCTGCTTTTATTCTAGCCGCACTGGCAGCTGATTAGATGGTGCCCACCCAGATTGAACGTGGGTCTGCCTCTCCTAGTCCACTTACTGAAATGTTAATCTCCTTTGGCAACACCCTCACTGACACACCCAGGAACAATACTTTGCTTCCTTCAATCAAGTTGACACTCCACATGAATCATCACACGAACCTATGATAAAATTTAATTTACGCCAGGAGCGGTGGCTCACACCTGTAATCCTAACACTTTGGGAGGCTGAGGTGGATGGATCACTTGAGGTCAGGAGTTCGAGACCAGCCTGGCTAACATGGTGAAACCCCATCTCTATTAAAAATACAAAAAAAGCCAGACGTGGTGGTACACACCTGTAATCCTAGCTACTCGGGAGGCTGAGATGTGAGGATCTCTTGAACCCAGGAGGCGGAGGTTGCAGTGAGCCAAGATCGTGACACTGCACTCCAGCCTGGGCGACAGAGCGCAACTCCATCTCAAAAAAAAAAAAAAAAAGTTTAATTTATAAATTAGTCATAATAGAGATTAACAATAATTGATGAGAAAAATGAAATCTTAAGCCCTCCAGCTGACTGAACAGACCCCCTCTTGGCCAAGGGGACCCCGAATAACCTTGGAAACCCTCACCCGCTCTAAATGCCATTAGGCTTTCTTCCCTAAGAGCTAAACAGAAATCAGCCCTTTCAAAAGACTCCACTGCTGGTATAAACCAACCACCTGATGCTGCCCCTCCCTTTTGCAGTTTTGGCACAATTGACCAGCAGTTCTTCCTGGTAAAAGACCACCAACCATGGAGTAGTTCTGGCCAGTCTATGGAAGACATGCAGTCAGGGTTTTCATGTCCTCTACTTCACCTTTTGATGTCAGAGGGCTGAAAACTCCTACCCTGGATCATGCTAACACTGCCAATTTTGGAATATGGGTCCCAGGGAGAGACATGAAGTGCAATTGCGCATATGCACATTTCTCCTTGCATAAATGTTCATGACTCCTCCTATAGCTTATTAAATATGTATATTTGGCCACCCCATTCTGCATAGATTCCTGCTCCCTTTGCCCTCCCTTGAAGTGTCTGTTTCTGGCTTCTAGCATGAGGTTGTCTTCCTAGCCTGTTGGAATGGCCGCCCCGCAGACTGCAACCCTTTATGAGAAATAAAGCTCTTTCCAAATTTATGAACCTCGTCATCCTTCAGTTGACACTAACAATAAAGTAGAACAAATATAGTGTAATAAGTTATATTGTGGTTTCTCTTTGAAAATATCCTAATATTTTCGGACTGTGGTTGACTGCAGGTAACTGAAACCACAGAAAGTAAAACTGCAGACATGGAGATGGAGCAGCAACTACTATAATCATTGGCTGTTGTCGGTTATATTTATTGTTACTAATGTTAGTATTGTTATCACCACAGTTTCTCCCCAGACATCCATGGCTTCCAGTATCAATCCAAGGTGGAATGTGGGTCTGGATGACTTCTCCATGCAGGGCCTAAAACTTCATTCTAATACTCTTATTTTATGTCTGCATTTTCTCACCTGCATTCTTCTGGAAAGAGTGTAGAGAGATGTTTTGAGACTTAAAAACTGGTATCTCTTCTCCTCTATCTTGAGTAATGACAGTCTGCTATCTAGGTAAGCGTGCTGCTGGAGGACACTGCTGATTTTCACAGTGACAGGGGTAGTCTGACTGGTGGGCTGCTTGGTAACGTACATGAATACCTTAGCAAGAAAGAGCACTGAAAAACCAGCCCAACTGTTGACAATAGCTTTTATCTAATTTTCCACTTTCCCCTTATATCTCGGTCACTGAACTTTTTTGACTCAAGGCACTGTAGCAGGACGAGCCGCAGACAAAATCTCTCAGACACCGAGTTGCACAAGGAAGGGCTTTATTCAGCTGGGAGCATCGGCAAGCTACTGCCTTAAAATCCGAGCTCCCCAAATGCACAATTTCTGTCCCTTTAAAGAGCTCACAACACTAAAGATTTTACATGAAAGGGTCGTGATTGATCAGAGCAAGCAGGCGGTATGTGACAGGGGCTACATGCACCGGTGGTCAGAGAGAAACAGAACAGGGCAGTTCTGTTCTTTATACAATGTTCTTCTATACAATGTCTGGAATCTATGAATAACATCGGTTTCTAAGTTATGAGTTGATTTTTAACTACTGGGTTTAGGCCAGGCAGGCCCAGGCCTGGTTTTGGGCCTGGCGCTGGGCTGCCTGTATTTGGTTTTACTTCCTTGTTGTTTTTTCTTAAAACAGGTACTGAGTATAAAACAATATAAAACAATATGAGACGGTCTCTCTATTCCCTCAATACAACATCCACATCCTGCAGTAGGGACCTTTTGCAGAATTCTAGATGGCAGGAAGCTTCTATGAACCTAAGTCCAGATTTTAATTTGCAAGGAAACTGAAGCAGATGAATTTTCTCATTGTAAAAAAATGAATGCCTTGATAATATATTTGTTTTTCATAGTAGGCCTTTGTCATTAAAATTGATGCCTGAGGATATAGTTGCATCTTGTGTGGAACAGTAAGTTATTACTCATTGCATACCAGATTTTAGCATACTTGCATTAGTTCATGGAATATGATTTTACATTTACTATTGCAGTTCCAGTGCCATTATCAGATTGCATTTTCCTACTGAATTACAAACAAAAGTGTTATGCTACTAACAATTAACAAAATTTTAATAAGGTTGTGTTTGATGCTATTACTCAGATAATGTGTTCTAAATTGCTTTCCTTTGAATATATTTGCATTAAAGAGGAACTCAATTTGGTTCTTTGAAGAGTTTATCCACTTTCTGGGTAGCTTTAAAAAGACACAGGGAAATTCAGTTTCTTCTTTGCAAGTAAATAGAGAAGAAACAAATTTGCTAAGATCTGTAGAAGTCATGGCAGCAGACTGCTGATGGTTTGAGTTAATGAAATGACTCATTTTGGCTACTTGAGTTGCACAATTAAAATATACAGTAGAGACTGTATATCACATCATAGATGAGAGATAAATCCCCCAGTGTTCTCTTTTTTTTCCTCAAAGCTAATATATTATGAATTAAGAAATTTAAGAGCTCCACATTATTGCAATTCTTGATCAGTGATGCCCCAAATTAAGTAGTAATCTCTTGAGAGTGCACGTTTGTTTGCAGCATTCCTCTTACCCATTTCTGCTAAAATTGTGGTTGTGACGAAAGCAGTTGTTTTCCAAAAGATAAACCCATGTGACCAAGCTAAAACATTTACCTAATACTGACACGTTTTTTGTGGTCTTCTCATAGTTGTCTAGCTAAAGGAGTTTAATGCAGAGAATATAAATACGGAAATAGTGAAACTGAAGTCCTGCTTGCGCAGAAAGCCTGCAGCCGACTTTGGTTTTTAACAGACTCCACGGGGCATTAGAGAAAGTAACTGGGGGCAGTGGGATGGAGGGTATGAAATTGGGTGGAGGGACGAAAACTAAGAGCCCTCTGGGTCTTTTATGTCCTTCTACATTTTGTGTAGAAATAAATGTTTTTACTTTACTTCCACGGTCGGCCCTTCCTCTTCACCTTTTTTTTTTCTCACACGTTCATCCTCTGAATTCTTTCCGTTTACAAATGCTCCCGATTTAGAAACTCATAATACTGTCTGTAAAACTTGCCTGAGCCTGTGTGGTCTGAATTTAGCGACACACTTGTTTAGGAGTTTCGGTTCTCGCTCTCTGTTTGCATGGTTTGGTAACAACACTTCACTATACTAAAAATCATCGCCCGGACCTGCAGGGCTGCACGGAAAACGCTGTTCCTTTTGGTACCCGCCGCAGCCGCGCAGGCGCACCGCCCAGCCGCCCTGACGCAAGGCGCAGGCTTCATGACGCAGCACGCAGTCTCAGCCGACACTGCGCGCGCCTCCAGGCACCGGCGTTAGCGGGTCGCCGACCCGCAATCCCCGCCGCGGCTGCTTGCCTACCGGAGTGTGCGCCGGCACCTGCCGCCGGAGACATGTTGCAAAAACCGAGGAACCGGGGCCGCTCTGGCGGCCAGGCCGAGAGGGACAGAGACTGGAGCCATAGCGGAAACCCCGGGGCTTCGCGGGCCGGGGAAGACGCCCGGGTTCTCAGAGACGGCTTTGCCGAGGAGGCCCCGAGCACGTCCCGCGGGCCGGGCGGCTCGCAGGGGTCGCAGGGCCCCTCGCCTCAGGGCGCCCGCCGGGCCCAGGCCGCCCCCGCCGTGGGGCCCAGGAGCCAGAAGCAGCTGGAGCTGAAAGTGTCCGAGCTGGTGCAGTTCTTGCTGATTAAAGACCAGAAGAAGATTCCGATCAAGCGGGCCGACATACTGAAGCACGTCATCGGGGACTACAAGGACATCTTCCCCGACCTCTTCAAACGGGCCGCCGAGCGCCTCCAGTACGTCTTCGGGTATAAGCTGGTGGAACTTGAACCCAAGAGCAACACTTACATCCTCATCAACACCCTGGAGCCTGTGGAGGAGGATGCCGAGATGAGGGGTGACCAAGGCACGCCCACTACGGGCCTCCTGATGATCGTCTTAGGGCTCATCTTTATGAAGGGCAACACCATCAAGGAAACTGAAGCCTGGGACTTTCTGCGGCGCTTAGGGGTCTACCCCACCAAGAAGCATTTAATTTTCGGAGATCCAAAGAAACTCATTACTGAGGACTTTGTGCGACAGCGTTACCTGGAATACCGGCGGATACCCCACACCGACCCCGTCGACTACGAATTCCAGTGGGGCCCGCGAACCAACCTGGAAACCAGCAAGATGAAAGTTCTTAAGTTTGTGGCCAAGGTCCATAATCAAGACCCCAAGGACTGGCCAGCGCAGTACTGTGAGGCTTTGGCAGATGAGGAGAACAGGGCCAGACCTCAGCCTAGTGGCCCAGCTCCATCCTCTTGAAAGGTGGATTCAGAGGGACCCCCGGGACAAGGGTCTGAGACCCAAAGGCACAGTTTAGAGGATTGGGGGAAGGGAGAACGAACCCAGGGAGCATATTGCTGTAAACGCTTCAATGTGTGTAGCTTTAGGATGTGTTTGCAAAGTTTTGTTTTTTTAATGTTGTGTTATTTTGCTCCAGATTTTCATCTATAAACAAAGGAGCATTTGTTTTGATTTTACTCTTTTTGGTATAAAAAATTTTGCTAGCTTAGTAAAACGAATTGGAAAACTTGACTATGATCTGGAACAGATAATGCAAGAAGGAACACATAAGTAAGTTGCTTTGGTGCCAAGAAAATAAAAAAGCTATTATCAGGTCTCCTAACTACCCCAGTTTGTAAGGAAAAATAAAAGTTTTTATAAAATTAAAAAAAATAATTGCCTATATCCTTATTATGTTAACCTATTTTATTTTTCTATATTTCGTACATATATAAGTATTATTCATGGTTCCAAGCAATGAGTGTAATGTATTTTCTCCCAATAGTAATTGTTTATATTCATAATTATTCAGCTCTGCTGCTAAACACGTAGTTCCACTTCGTTTTTTTCTTCTTGCTACTGTAGTTATTACAATAAATACTGTATTTTTGAAGCACTTAAGCATTGTGTGTTTTTTAAATCGTGGGTCATGAGAGAATTTCATGACTGGAAATCAACATCTTAAAGTTTTTGCTACATATTAAGGTCAATGCTGTTTTGTAGAAGTTGTTTCACTTTTGTGTGAAACAAAATCAGGATCATGAGGTGAAATATATTTCTCACTGTGGATCTCAAAAAGGCTTATAAAACAATAGCGTAACCATTAACCATGCCTGTTTGGGAATCGGACTGTCTGGGTTGAGATCCTGGCCCCACCATAACTAGTATATGAATTTACATAGGTTCCTTAGTTTGTATGCAGATGTTTCTTGACCTGTAAAATGGTTTTAGTCCGTGATGTGGAGAATTTTATTTGTTATTCTTTAATGTTTTTATTTTTTATTCTCCTTGGTCTGGAGCTGCCACTTTTTAAATATAACTTTTCTTTATCTTTTTTTCCAAATCATTCCTAGGAGAGCAATTCCTGGTTCAAAAGATAGTCCTCTAGTCTCACTCTATTGTATGGGGAAATATAACGTGTATGGTGAGTGTGCCCCACATAGAACATAAGAGCAGGACATAAGATCTACCTCCTAGGGAGTTAGGTATAGGGAAAAGGGTATGGGTCTTGGGGCTGTCTGGCAAACTGAATTTGAATTACGGCTCATGCTAACTTGTCAGCATGGTGGTTGTGGGGGTAGGTTTTAAGCTCTCTGAATCTCAATTTATCTGTAAAATGAGAAAAATAATAGCTATATAATAGTTTTATGCACCAAATGAACTAGAAGAGTTCATAGTCCCATTGTGTTCCTCCATTACGTGTAGCAGATGCTGTTTTTAATGCAGAGATTCAACACGTTTTATTCAGTGGGCAAATAAGTTAATTGTTTTAGGGGGAGGTGCTGCAAATTAACCTTGAAATAAGGCAAATATTTTTCACTCGGGGAAAAAAGTGAACTTCATCAACACTGGACGGAATGTCATTTAAAAGAGTCTATAGTGAGTATGGAGGAATGTGATAGGTTACTGGGTTTTATTTCATTCTGTTGAATTGGGATTTGCATTTGTTTCATCAGTGGAATATGTTTGGCCCTTACAGGCATTTCTTCTTGATCTGCATTTTATTTCAGTGTATAAACTCCTTCCTGCCTCCTGGTCCCCTTACCTCCCTGACTCAGCTTTCTCCTCCTCATGCCCTCTGATACTCGCATTCTCACCTGTATAATAAAAATTATTACCCAGCAGTCACCACCAGTTATATCTGAGGCAAAATTCCCCCCGCTTTTCTCAGAGGTGTTAGCAATTTACCATCGATAATCTTGTTTCAAATTTTAAAATATGAAACATCAGAGGCCACATCAAGGCCTTATATCTTTTCCTTCTCACCCTCCCCAGAGGTAACAAAAGTCTGTGGCTATCGGGCTGTTGTATGACTTTATAATTTTACTATACATGTATATATACATAACCAATATAGAGTTTTATTTTGTGGGCTTTCATGATTTATATAAGCGGTGTTACGTGTGTCCTTATGCAACTTGCTGTACTCACTCACCATTATGTATTTGAGATTCAGCCATGTGGATATATGTAGACCTGATTCACTCATTTTAATTGTTCTTTTATGGGGGAAAAATAACTATCCATTCCTTAATGTCTGGACATTTAAGGTCTTTCCAGTTCTTTGAGATTTGCAGGCATTGTACAGTACTTCTTTAGGCACATGTGTGAGTTTCTCCAGCCAGAAACAAATGGAGCAATCAAGGACTATTGCCAAGCTGCTCTTGAGCTTGTGTCAAGTTACACTCCCATCAACATTTTATACAGTTTTGTTTTGTTTTTGTTTACCAATCCCTCCACCTTCACCCCCTGTGAACACTTGGCCTTTTCAGTATCTTTTCAGCCATTCTGGTACAGTGTGAAATGATAATTTATTACGGTATTAACTTATACCTGTTGCTTACTAGTAATGTTAAGTATCTGCCTATCTTTTGCTCTCACTCCTTTTTGAGTGTCAGATTTCATGTCTTAGACCTATTTCTATTGATTTGTAAGACATCTTTATATGTTCTACATGTTAATCCATGGTCTGCTCTATCTATCTAGTGCAAATACCTTCTCCCACATTTTCACTTCTTTTGGTCATACAGATCATTTGACCTAAATGTGTTACGATCATTAGTGTTTATAAGAGCTACATTTGTGTATAGTGCTTTAAAAAATTCCCCTAATCCTAAAATTGTAAATATGTTTTCTGCCTTTTTTCCCTAAGTGTTCAAAGTTTTGATCTTCACATTTTATGCTTTTAATCTGCTTTTGTGTATGATGTGAGGTATGGAAATAGTTTTTGTATTTTTCCTATATGGATAGCCTAGCACCAGTTTTTCATCATTTATACTTTCCACACTGATTTATGACACTCAGTATTTTGTAGCAATGTCCCATGTATAGATAAATTTATGGCTAGGACTGAATTGGTTTATTTGCTATCCATTTGCAAATACCATACTGTAATTCTTTTTTTCTTTTTGAGACGGAGTCTTGCTCTTGTCGCCCAGGCTGGAGTGCATTGGCACAATCTTGGCTCAGTGCAATCTCTGCCTCCTGGATTCAAGCGATTCTCCTGCCTCAGCCTCCTGAGTAGCTGGGATTACAGGTGCCCGCCACCACGTCCGGCTAATTTTTGTACTTTTAGTAGAGACGGGGTTTTGCCATGTTGGCCAGGGTGGTCTCAAACTCCTGACTTTAGGTAATCTGCCCGCCTCGGCCTCCTAAAGTGCTAGGATTACAGGCATGAGCCACCTCGCCCAGCCTATAATTCTTTAGCATCATATGCCTGTCTTCTTTTTCAATTCTTAAAGCCTTTTATTTTAGTCTTTTTTGCATTGGCTGAAAATGCAATATATTATTGAAAAGAAGCAGTTACAGCAGGCTCTAAGGATGTTTCTGATTCCTTATTCTTGATTTTAAAGGAAATAATTTTAAGTTTTGCCATAGAGTGTGATGTTTGCTGTTAAGAGTTTTTTTCCCCTATAAATACCTTTTATTGGGCTATTTAGTTACCCCTTCAGTCCTAGCTTGCTTAGAGATGTTCAGAAAAAAAACTATGAATGACTTTGGATGTATATATGCTCTTTATTTACCTGCTAATATGATTAAAATGTCTTATTTACTCTGTAAATTTGTTTTTTGGGGCATATAATTTGGTGTAATAACATACAGTTTTCTGATATCTAAACATTCTTGCATTTTGGAGACAAACAGTTGTTGATAAAATTTTTAAATACATATAGCTCAAAATGTATAATTTTGCATCTTTTGACATAAGGGGGGGTTAGTCTTTAATTTTCCTATATTATCATTATTTTTGAGGTTATGCTAATTTACTTAGAGATAACCTCAAATTTACAGAAAAGTTGCAAGCCCAGTGCAAAATAATTTGTTCCCTGAACTATTTAGTTATGTTTCTTTAGTCTCCTTCCTATTGCCAGTAGTTCCTAAGTCTTTCCTTGACTATTATGACCTTCACTTGAAGAATACGGGCCTGTTTTCTGTAGAACATCCTTCAGCTGGGGTTTGTCTGCTGTTTCTTCATGATTGGATTTGAATTATGCATCTTTGGGAAGAATATCACAGAAGCAATGCTGTGTTATTTTTGGATCCTATCAGGTGGCACAAAATTTCAATTTGTCCTGTTATTTTGAAACCTTGATCACTTTGGTTAAGGTGGATTTCTGTCATGTGCCTCCACTGCAGAGTTTTCTCCTTTAAGGTAAACAAATAACTTGTGTGGAGACACTTTGAGACTTTGTATAGACCCATGGGTCTCTTATTATCATTAACTTATTATCTAATCTTTTATTATCATTACATATTTCAATACTCAAATTGTCCCTGATTTGGCCAGTGGGAGCCCCTTAAAGCTGGCTTTTGCATCTTTAACATGCCCCCAACATCATTTATTGAGCATTTCCTTGCTTGTTGGCACAAAAAGAGAGGGAGTTCTTTTTTTTTTTTTTTTTTTTTTTTTTTGAGACGGAGTCTCGCTCTGTCGCCCAGGCTGCCAGGCTGTAGTGGATTGGTGCAATCTCAGCTCACTGCAATCTCCGCCTCCTGGGTTCAAGCGATTCTCCTGCCTCAGCCTCCCGAGTAGCTGGGACTACAGGCACCCGCCACCATGCCCAGCTAATTTTTTGTGTTTTTAGTAGAGACGGGGATTTCACCGTGTTAGCCAGGATGGTCTCAATCTCCTGACCTCGTGATCCACTTTGGCCTCCCAAAGTGCTGGGATTGTAGGCGTGAGCCACCGCGCCCACCCAGGAGTTCAGACTTTAACTCTCCCTGCCCTAGGCCTGGAATTAATCCTTTTCCTAAAGAGCTCCGGTTTCTTTTGGTGGAGAATGGAATTCAGAAACAAGGTTGCTAGGTTTGCTCATGCCTATGGGAAATATCATTGCTTCCAGCCCTCTAGGTGATGAAGTTATAGGATATTTATCTATCAGTCATCTACACAGCACTGAAGACTATGAGATTACACTGATACTGCCATTTGCAATACAGCACCGCTGTGTGTATTCTGGTTTGAGAAACTTAGCACCTATTATCTTTACCATATTTACTTATTTGATTAATTCCTCTTATAAATAACCAATCCACTATCCCCTCTGCCACACCATCCACATGGGTGCGCTTAGCTTCCCACGTGGGCTCCAATGTCCCACATAACTGGCTTTTCTGTGCAGTCACCCTCCACCCATTGCTAGAGCTCTAACCCCACTCAGGTGACCTTGGCCTCTCCCAGGACATGGAACTTGTTCTGTCCCACTTAACAGCTATTGCACTGAATTGTTCAGGAAATAGAAAACCTTTTGGTCTTATAAATGCACTGGGAAGCTTGCCTTTTGCCCTGTTATCAGAAGATTAGATGTTTTCGAAAGTTTGGAACAAATCTACATGTGAAAGGCTGTGGGCCTGGTGTTTTTTGTGGGTAGATTTTTACTGATATTTTTCTCAAGATTATGTTCAGGTTTTCTCTTCTTTTGAAATTGGTTTTGGTCACTTGTATTTTCTAGAAGATGTTTTCATATATTTTCTGATATAATTAGTAGAAAGCATTTCTTAGTATTGTCCTTTGATTTAAAAATAATTCTTTTACATCTTTTTTAGAGAAAAAACTCTCAAACTTCGTTTTTCCTCTGCTCTCACACCACAACAATCATCAACACAGAAGAAGACTTCTGTGATCAAATGTGTAGGGGGTTTCCCCTACGGAGGAAGCAGCAGATACCAGCTGGGTGTCCTCCAATTCAGTTCCAACACTATCTACCTGGAGATAGTGTCAGATCCCACAGGATGAGGGCTTAGTCCCCAAGACTGCCCACCCTCAGGACACTAGTCACAAGTCCAGGCCTCTGGAACTTTTGACCAATGGTCTTCAAGTTGGGGTTCTGATGATGTCCTCTTTGGGTTCAAATAATTTGCAAGAGCAGTCCACACAACTCAGGGAAACACTTACGTTTACTGGTTTATTATAAAGGGTATTGCAAAAGACACAGATGAAGAGATGCATAGGGCAAGGTATGGGGAAGGTGTGTGGAGCTTCCATGCCTTCCCTGGGCACGCCACCCTACCGGAACCACCGCATGTTCAGCAGTCTGGAAGCTCTCTGAACCCTGTCCTTTTGGGTTTTTATGGAAGCTTCATTACATAGGCATGATTGACAACTGTGCAGAAATGTGATTGGACAAAAACGCACACGAGCTAAAGCCAGCAAGGCCTGTCTGCTCAGAGTTTTCTTGGCCTCTCTGTGTAGCATTCCTTCCTCTAGGGTTTGGGGCAGGACTCTTTTCTGAAATGAGGGTCTTTTGACCCACAATCAGAGGCCTGACTGGGGCAGATGAAAGAAAGACAGGAGAAGGTCAGAGAGAGAGATTCTGTTGCCTGAGGCCTAAAGAACCCCAACAGTATAACGAAGATTATGGGAGTTAGGAAACAGGAACCATGGAAGGAAACCAATATGTATATATCATAACACCATGCATCTTTACTTATAGATTCTCTTTCTTTTTGTACTCCCAGAATTATTTTTTGCCTTCGCCCCTTTTTTTTTTTTTTTCTGGAGCCATTTGTGCTGGGAGTTTATTTATTTTATCAGTATTTTCAAGAAACTTTTGTTGTATTGATCTTTTTTATTGTTTCCCTTTTTGATTTAATTACTTTATGTTTCCTTTCTTTTTACTTTCCTTGGGTTTACTTAGTGGTTCTTTTTTTTTTTATTTCTGGAGTAGATACTTAGTCAATTGATTTTCATTTCTAATTCATTTAAGGCAATATATTTATCTTTACAATATTGCTCATATTTGATAAATTCTCAGATGTATTTTTGTTATATTCAATGCTAAATATTTCCTAATATCTGTTTTGATTTGTCTTTGATTCTAATTGCAAGTGAGTGATCTTTTTAAATTTTCAAATATTTGGATTTGAACTATGCTTTTTGTTGTTGGTCTTTGATTTTTTAAAAAATTGCTTTGAGTGAGATAAAATGTTGCGTATAAAATCAGTTTTTAAAATATTTTAACATGGTCTTTGGCCTAATATGTGGTTAGCTTTTGGTATGTTCCAAGTGTCCTTTAAAAAAGAAGTGAATTCAGTATGTTTTCTTTTTGTCTTTTCCTTTTTAGAGATAGAAGTTTGCTTGTTGCCCAGGCTAGAGTGCAGTAGAAGCAGGCTCAAGTGAGCCTCCTGCTACAGCCTCCTAATTAGCTCAGACTACAGTCAAGCGCCACCATGCCTGGCTAATTTTTAAAAAACTTTTTAGAGATAGGATCTTGCTTGTTGCCCAGGCTAGAATGCAGTGGCACAATCATAGCTCACGGCAGCCTCCAACTCTTGGGCTCAAGCGATCCTCCTTCCTCAGCCTCCTGATCAGCTGGGATTACAGGCGAGCACCACCATGCCTAGCTAATTTTTAAAACTATTTTTTTAGAGATGGGATCTTGCCATGTATCTCAGGCTGGTCTTGAGCTCCTTACCACAAGCAGTCCTCCCCCGCTAGCCTCCCAAGCAGCTGTGTACGTGTTTTTGATATGTTCACAGTATGTTTATTACCTAAAGCTTGTTAATTGTGTTGTTCAAGTATTATATAGTCTATTTTTATTGCGTAATCTATTTCTAAGCAATGGGAAAGATCTCTCATTATGATTTTGTTAAGTCTTGTTTTTTATTTTATATATTTTCAGGCTGTATTTGTAAAGGCGAAACAGGTTTAGCATCATTATCTCCTCCTGGAGAATTGTTGCTTTTAGACTCTCTTTATTCCTAATAATGCTTTTTAGTATTATATTAACATATTTCCAGTTTCCTTCCTGCCTTATTTTAAAAGTATTCTCTTAAAATGTCTTTTCATCTGTTTTTAAATTTTTTATTTTAGAAAATTTCAAACATGTGAAAGTAGAAAGATGAGGTACAAGATTCAATATGTGGATAATCTTATTTCGTCTGTATCCCCACCCAGTTCAACTACTTTGTATTCCTCCCTAGTCCAGATTACTTAGAAACAAATGCCATATATGATTTTACCTGTAAATATTTTGGCACGTGTCTCTGAAAGATAAGAATTCTCAAATTGGGTCAAATGGTTTTTCTGTGTTGAGATGATGATGTGCTTTTTTTTCTTCTTCAATGTATTGATGTTGTGTATTACATTGATCGACTTTCTTGCATTCCTGAAGTAAATCCCACTTGGTCACGGAGTAGAATCCAATTTCCTTTTGTTTCCTTCCAGTTTTCTTTCTGTTACTGATTTTTAACTTCACTTTATTTTGGTCAGAGTAGGTACTTTGTGTGATTTAATCTTCTGAAATGTATTGAGGATTTTCTGTGTATATTCATAAGTGATGTTAGTCTATGGTTTACTTTTCTTGTAGTGTCTTTGTCTGACTTCGGTACCAGGGTAATCCTGCCTCATGAAATGAGTTAGGAAGTGCTCCCTCTCCTTCAGTTTTTGAGAGAGTTTGCATAAGACTGGTGTTAATTCCTTAGATGTTTGAGAGTATTCACCAGAGACCCCAAATAGGCCCAGACGTTTCTTTGTTGGGAGGATTTTTGATTCCTGATTCAGTCTCCTTCCTTGTTATACAGATATTGAGAATTTCTATTTTGTCTTGAATCACTTTTGTTAATTCATGTGTTTCTGCCAGAGATACACAAAGCTGGACACCAGTTAAAACGGAAAGGGCAGATTTTAATGAGTAATAAACTATTACACTATGGAAAAGAGCCCGGTGTTAACTGAACTCAACTTCAATTTGTACAGAGGTTTCTGGGCTTTTGTTTTGTTTTGATTTTTTAATAATTGCATTTTTTTCTTCATATATATATATATGTAAATGGGATTTCACCATGTTGCTCAGGCTGGTATCTAACTCCTGGGCTCAAGTGATCTGCCTGCCTTGGCCTCCTGAAGTGCTGGGATTGTAGGTGTGAGCCACTGTGCCAGGCTTCACTAGGTGTTTTAAAGGAAGAATGAAGAATCAGGAGGGAGGGTGAGCAGGGTGTAGGGGGTGGTTAGTAAAGTCAAGGAAGTGAAAAATTACCAAAAGTGGAAAGTAGGGATTGGCCTGTGTGAAACCCATCTGGGATTGTTAGCTAGTGCTTATCAAAGTTAGGCTCCTACCCTCCCACAGATGCTGGGACACAGGGTGTCTTCAAGTGTCAGCTGGAACTAACAGTAAACTCTTTTGGCAGCCTTGAATTTTCTCAGGCAGGCACTTTAGGGGGAGCTAGAGCCATCCTAGGGATGTGGCCTTGAGCTGTTAGAATCTATGTTAATATTTTGTTCAAGTGCTAGAGATTGGTCAAGAAGGAAATATTTGAGAATTGGACATTTTGAATATTGTAATGTGGTGACTCTGAAATCAGATTATCTTCCCTCCTCAATGATGCCTGATAACTGCTTTTTGAGAGCTGTAGCCATCCATTTCTTTAGTGACTTTTCCAAACTAATTTTGAGCAGATTTTATTCCTTATTGTGTGTGATCACTAAAGTCTCTATTCCATTATATCCATGGTCAGCCAAAGACCTGATGGAGATTTCCTTGAATGCCAACCTCTTTCTTTATCAGATTATCCCTCTGGATGCTACAAGTGTTCAGCCAGCTTCCAGAGTTATGAAATAGTTGATTCAAAGTTCTTGCCCACTCAGAAAAGTTGTTTCATTGGCAGGACCAATTTCTGGAACAATGGAATATTATTCAAATAGCCTTGAAAAGGAAGGAAATTCTGACACATACTACAATATGGATGAACCTTGAAGACATTATGCTATAAGTGAAATCAGCCAGTCACCAAAGGAAGAGTACTGTATGATTTCCCGTATGTAACATATCTAGAGTAATCAAATTTCAAGGGACAGAAAGTAGAATGGTGGTGATTGCTAGGGGCTAGGAGGAGGGAGGATAAGGAATGATTGTTTAATGGGTATGGAGTTTCAGTTTGAGAAGACAAAACATTCTCTGGAAATGGATAGTGATGATCATTCCACAACAGTGTGAACATACTTAATGTCATTAAACTGCACACGTAAAAATGGGAATAAAGGTAAACTTCATGTTATGAATATTTTACCACAGTTTAAAAAACAAATTAGAAAATGCAAGTACGTTTTTATTATGGATATTTTACCACAATTAAAAAAAAAACAATAAACAGGCAAAAAGATCTTATTGTCTCTTACCTCCTTGACTTTCGTAGCATCTGTGTTGTTCAGCACTTACTAAGTCTCAGGGTAGTCTCTTGTTGGCTTCTGTGTAGGTTTGCTTTCGTGATGTTTTCAGCAACTATTTTTTGACCTCAATTTCAAAGCTGTGCAGGCCAGTTTATTTACACATCATTTGAATGATATGGGACTGCCGTAACTTCTAATATGAAAAATTTAAGTTGGCCCTTTCTTTTTTCTTTCTTTCTTTCTTTCTTTTTTTTTTTTTTGAGACTGAGCCTTGCTCTGTCACCCAGGCTAGAGTGCAGTGGTGCAATCTCGGCTCCCTGCAACCTCCATCTCCCGAGTTCAAGCGATTCTTCTGCCTCAGCCTCCTGAGTAGCTGGGATTACAGGCGCGTGCCAGCACGCCCGGCTAATTTTTTTGTATTTTTAGTAGAGACAGGGGTTTCACCGTGTTAGCCAGGATGGTCTCGATCTCCTGACCTCATGATTCACCCGCCTCAGCCTCCCAAAGTGCTGGGATTACAGGTGTGAGCCACCGCGCCCAGCAAAGTTGGCCCTTTCTATGTGACCTAACTTTCCCAAGGGATGCTGTCAGACTCTGCAGTTATTAAAACCATTGCTGAGATACTGCTAACATTATGAACTTGAAATAGTTCCTAAATGAACAAAATATCCTCTTATGAATTCTGTCTCCCATGTACATTTTTAAGGAAAATAAATTTAACTACAGCTGAGGGGTATACATTATAGTTACGGTAGAGAATGGTAATACCAGTTATTTTCCTAAATTTAATTTAGCTTACATTTTTAAGGTATTAACAGAAAAAGTAAGATCTTATCCTTCTCATACATTGTTAGTGGGAATGAAAAATAGTACCAGTCGTATGATGAGGAATGTGGTAATGTCTAGCACATTAAACAAACATTTATCCGTTGATCCAGCAATGCCACTTCTAAGAATATATCCCAAAGCCATGCTGGGAAACCTATAAAAAGATATATGAACAAGGCAGTTCGTTGCAACACTACTTATAATAAATAGCAAAGGACTAAAAATAACCCAAATGTTCATCAGTAGGGATCTGGCTTAATAAATTGTGATTTGGCCTGGCGCGGTGGCTCACGCCTGTAATCCCAGCACTTTGGGAGGCCGAGGCGGGTGGACCACCTGAGGTCAGGTGTTCCAGACCAGCCTGACCAACATGGAGAAACCCCGTCTCTACTAAAAATACAAAATTACCCCGGTGTGGTGGCGCATGCCTGTAATCCCAGCTACTTGAGAGGCTGAGGCAGGAGAATCGCTTGAACCTGGGAGGTGGAGACTGCGGTGAGTCGAGATCGCTGCATTGCACTCCAGCCTGCACAACAAGAGTGAAACTCCATCTCAAGATAAATAAATAAATAAATAAATAAATAAATAAATAAATAAATAATAAAAAAATAAATTGTGATTCATCTGTGCCATGAAGTATTAGGCAGTTGTAGAAGGGAATAGGGTTATTTGTGTGTTCTTATTTCGAGTGATCTTCACCATATTAAGTGCAAAAAAAGTAAGTAAAGAAAATGTGTGTATTATGCTACTATTATATACTTGTACTAAAAAATGATGGGAGGATAAAATATAAAATTAAAAAATAAATGCTTGCCTATTAATAAATGGGAGGAAATAGAGTGGAGGAACAGAATAAATGCCAGACTTATGTGAAACTTCATTTATGGACCTGACTTTGGAATCATTTTATGTAATTAGAAATGAAACTCAGTTTTAGAAACAATTCTTAAACAAGAAAAAATGAAATAAAAGGAATGAACCTGGGTTCCTGATCAGTAGCGTAACCACATATAAAGGAACCATGTGAGTTTAAAACACCATAATTTGACTATTTCTGGTAGAATGTAATGTAAGAATAAAAAGAAATATAAATGTTAAACTATTTTCAGTCATTTTTTTCGGCAGTTGTATTGGTGTTATTTTGAGACTGTTGTGTGGATATTGTGAAATTAAATCCAACAGATTAATTATGTTGAGAAATAGTTTTTGGCATGGTTGAAAGGAGATACAGATGTAAAATTAATATGGTTACATAAAAACCTTATAGTTTTGTTTGCGGTTTTTTTGTTATGTATGACTATATTTATTTTAAATTTTAGATTCAGGAGGTACATGTGCAGGTTTGTTACCTGGGTGTGTTGCATGATGCTGAAGTTTAGGCTTCTCATAATCCCATCACCCAGTTAGTGAGCACAGTACCCCAATAGGTGGTTTTTCAGCTCTTCCCCCCAACCTCCGGTTGGAGTCCTCAGTGCCTGTTGTCCCCATCTTTGTGTCTGTGTGTACCCAAAGTTTAGCTCCTACCCTATAAGTGAGAATATATAGTATTTGGTTTTGTTTGTGTTAATTCATATAATATGGACTCCAGCTACATCCATGTTGCTACAAAGAACATGATTGTGTTCCTTTTTTTTTTTTTTTTGAGACGGACTCTCGCTCTGTCGCTCAGGCTGGAGTGCAGTAGCGTGATCTTGGCTCACTGCAAGCTCCACCTCCCGGGTTCATGCTATTCTCCTGCCTCAGCATCCCGAGTAGCTGGTACTACAGGCGCCCACCACCATGCCTGGCTAACTTTTTGTATTTTTAGTAGAGACAGGGTTTCACTGTGTTAGCCAGGATGGTCTCAATCTCCTGACCTTTTGATCCGCCCGCCTCGACCCCCCAAAGTGCTGGGATTACAGGCATGAGCCACCGCGCCTGGCCATGATTGTGTTCTTTTTTATGGTTGCGTAGTATTCCATGGTGTATATGTACCATGGAATTTTCCTTATCCAAGCCACTATTGATGGGCACCTGGGTTGGTTCTATGACTTTGCTATTGTGAATAATGCTGTGGTGAACATATGGGTGAAGGTGGGGTTTT
Organism: Homo sapiens; assembly: GCF_000001405.40. Taxonomy (NCBI): domain Eukaryota; kingdom Metazoa; phylum Chordata; class Mammalia; order Primates; family Hominidae; genus Homo; species Homo sapiens. The sequence continues at coordinate 1,531,082 of NT_187660.1, read as the reverse complement.
TTATTTTTTGGCAAAACAATGTATTTTCCTTTGGGTATATACCTAGTAATGGGATTGCTGGGTCGAATGGTCGTTCTGCTTTTAGTTATTTGAGAAATCTCCACATTGCTTTCCACAGTGGCTGAACTAATTTACATTTCCACCAACAGTGTATAAGTGTTCCCTTTTCTCCACATCCTTGCTAACATGTTATTTTTTACTTTTTAGTAATAGCCTGGTGTGAGATGGTATCTCATTGTGAAAACTTAGTAGTGTTGAATTTAAATCAGAAACATAATTGTGAACTCATGATATGTCTGACAACTGAAAACAATGAAGCTCCAAGTAGCAAACAGCACCTGTAGCACAAAAATTATGGTATCTGAATACCATTCTCATTGAATGGAACCTGGACTTACTGGAGAAATGGCTGATTATAGGTCTCTTGGGTAGAAAACTGTAAGATGATCCTGTGCTATCTTCTCATACAGAAAGCCAGATAGCTGTCAAGGTCTACTGGAGTTGTGTTGAAAGGACCCAGGTGTCAACTTGAGTGGACTCTGTCTAATGATGCAGATGATTAAAACTATCAAATGTGTTTAAGTTCTTGGCTCATAATGACTCAAACTCACTCCCCTCTCCACCAAACAGACAAAATACTATTTCATGATATTGTTAATTTTGGAGGATGCTAGGGAACCAGGTTTTTGTTTGTTGGTTTGTTTGTTTGTTTGTTTTGACGGAGTCTCGCTTTGTTACCCAGGCTGGAGATCTCGGCTCACTGCAGCCTCCACCTCCTGGGTTCAAGCAATTCTCCTGCCTCAGGCTCCTGAGTAGCTGGGATTACAGGCGCGCAGCACCATGCCCGGCTAATTTTTATATTTTTAGTAGAGATGGGCTTTCACCATGTTGGTCAGGCTGGTCTCGAACTCCTGATCTCATGATCCACCCACCTTGGCCTCCCAAAGTGCTGGGATTACAGGCATGAGCCACTGCGCCTGGCCGGGAATCAGCTTTTTAAAAAAATAGACATGTGTCAAAGACTATGTCTAACTCATTATTTAATGAGGAAATCAGTAAGATGTTACAAGCAGTTCAAAGGTTAATTCAAACACTGCACACATATAAGCAATCAGGAATGCTGAAATAAATTTACAAATAAATGTAAAAGTGGCCAATATCAGTGGGGCAATAATCAGTTACGTTCTACTGGACAAAATTCCTTTACATTTGTATCGTCAAGAATCATTTGCACTACTATCAGTTTTATACAACTATCAGTTGATAAACTATCAGTTTTATCAGTTTTATGCAGAGTTTTGAAATAGCATAAAGACATTGAAAGGCAGAAATAACCCTGAAGTGTGCATTAGACAGAATATCCAGTGAATTTTTTTTTTTTTTTTTGCTCTTTAACAAGTTTTAATGCCAGTCTCCCCGCCTCTTGATCAGATTAATCTTAAAGGTTATTCTCCATCACAAAAAGGGTCTTTCTTCATTAGATTTGGCCTAATTATTTACATAGGTGCAGAAAGAGTGCTAATTAAGCATACAGACTTCCTTGAGTTCATTTTGCAAAATTTAAAATTATTTTAAAGCCTGGAAAATGAACAGAAAGAGTCAAGTATATATCCTGCTTTTCATATATGAACTATACCTCAGGGTAACAAAACAGTTGATGAGGAAAAGTCTGTGTCTCTATATGTATTCTTATTCATAAAGAAAAAATGACAGAGTGAGACTAGCACTATTTTGGAAACCCTAATAAATTAATGAGTCTGTCATCATTAAAAATGGCCGCTAACATCACAAAAAGAGAGACAATATTGGCCGGGCGTGGTGGCTCATGCCTGTAATCCCAGCACTTTGGGAGGCCAAGGAGGGCAGATCATGAGGTCAAGAGATCGAGACCGTCCTGGCCAACATGGTGAAACCCTGTCTCTACTAAAAATACAAAAATTAGCTGGGTGTGGTTGTGCGCACCTGTAGTCCCAGCTACTCAGGAGGCTGAGGCAAGATAATCGCTTGAACCCGGGAGGCAGAGGTTGCAATGAGCCGAGATTGTGCCACTGCACTCCAGCGACAGAGTGAGACTCCATCACAAAAAAAAAAAAAAAGAGAGAGAGACAATATTTGCCTTTTATTGATCTGAATTTGGCCAAACCTCTGTATTTAATCACCAAATTACAAGAAATACAGAGGCTAGAGAAATGTTTAATGATAGAGGACTACAATCAGAAAGTTTAGACTGTAAGAAACTCTTTAGGACAAATGAACTGGTTTCTTCAGTAAATTTCACAGAGGAAAAAGTGGATGGGAAACCCATAGACTGTCTAAGATTCCTAACAGCCAGTTGTACCACATGGACCTGCTTTGTATCCTGTGTGGCCTGATTCAAAGTGTGAAAAAATTTAGACAATTAGGGAAATGTGAACTCAGTATCTGATGATATTAATGAATTTTTATTTATTATAGATATGATGACTATTTTGGCTATGTTTTCAGAAAGCTTCTCAATTCCTTTAGAAAGATTTAAGGGTAAAATTATATGATGCCTGGTATTGGTTGCACAATAATTCAGATGGTAGGGGCTGTAAATGAAACACAGTTGGCCGTAAGTGGATTAATTATTGATGTTGGGTGATAGACACATGTGCCTTCATTATGCTGTTTTCTTTGGTTTTGCATGTGTATGAAATTTTCTGTAATAAAAATTAAACCTAAAGGCCTTCTAATAAATATACTTCTTTCACTTGATTTCCTTTAATAATGTGTAACTTGTCACTGTTAAGAGTATATAATGCACAGTCTTTCAAGTTTAACTCCTTAAATATTTTATCATCATAGGTTTTAAACAAAATCATGGTAGCTTGCTATGGCTTCCTACAGATCTTACTTTTTCTATTTCAGATCATATGAATTTGGAAGTTTGAGAAATAACCTACCACTTTCCTTTAAAACACATACATGTTATTCATGTAATTATGTGATCAACTGTTGTATAATAAATGAAAGCTGTTGTAAAGCCATGTCATTTTTCCTTTGAGCCTCTCCAAGTGAATAATCAATTTTATGTTTGGTTTGTTTCCAGATAACCTTTTTCATGCTGCTTTCTGCGGTGTGTGTAATGCTGAATTTGGCTGGTTCAATTCTCTCTTGTCAGAATGCTCAGCTAGTCAACTCCCTAGAAGGCTGCCAGTTGGTAAGTAATGAAATGCAAACCCTTTCATAAAGGTCATAGGATTTGATTGTGTACAAGAGCAATTTTAAAAATAATTTTACTGTATTCTTAGGTTCTCATGTACACTTTCAATTCATTCTGATGTTTTCTAGTTTAGGGTATTTAGGTTAAGCTGATTTATTTCTATAAGTTAGATAACAATTCACTTACTGATTTATAAGTAGAACAATTAAAACTTTTTCTTCTTGTAAATCAGCTACTAGTAGTATATTTTTAAGGATCACAACGTAGTGCTATTTTGGAATAAATATCCTTAGTAACTATTATATTTTAGCATTTGTTGCATTGATTCTTATTTGTATTGAATTTTTAAAAATCAGTTTGCAAGTCAGTTTTAAGTGCTGATGTACATATTATGCTGGATGACGAATATATCAAAACAATATAGTTAGCATTTCTCAATTAAAAAGAATTTTCTTTCAGATCCAGGAAAATTGTAGACAGTGTGCTATGTACATTGTAGAACAGAGGTATTCAATCTTTTGGCTTCCTTGGGCCACGTTAGAAGAAGCATTGTCTTGGGCCACACATAAAATACACTAAAACTAGCGATAGCTGATGAGCTAAAAAAAAAAAAAAAAAAAAAGTCACAAAAAAAACTCATAATGTTTTAAGAAAGTTTACGAATTTGTGTTGGGCCACATTCAGAAAATTGTAGACAGTGTGCTGTGTACATTGTAGAACAGAGGTATTCAGTCTTTTGGCTTCCTCGGGCCACGTTAGAAGAATTGTCTTGGGCCACATATAAAATACACTAATATTAGCGACAGCTGATGAGCTAAAAAAAAATAAGTCACAAAAAATATCTCATAATGTTTTAAGGAAGTTTACGAATTTGTGTTGGGCCTCATTCGAAGCCATCCTGGGCTGCATGCAGCGTGGTGGGTTGGACGAGCTTGTTGTAGAAGATCAACAACTTGTTTGTTGGATAGAACGATCATTTCAAAATAACTTAGCTCATGGTACTGTAATAGGTACATCTGGCTGTGACAGAAATTGCAGTGTGTTTGGTTGCATTCTGGTATGAATATACTTAAACTCCTGATAGGACTGTGGTTCCCTGGGTATGGGGACATGGGCCTTCGTTTCTTTGTCTTGGAAGCAACAGCAGGCTACCTTTCAGAGCCATGTCCCTCCACAGTTGCCCTCTGCCTGCTCTACCTGTGGCTATGATTCTGAGAAGTGATTGCTGAATTACCAGAAGCTTTTCTGCTGTGGGACCATGCCTGCTTGGCTTGGGACCATGTTGTTTGGATTCACAGGGGCAGCCACTGGAAAGCCTGCTGCTCTCTGCATTCTTATCTACGAAGGCCAGCAGGACCAGTGTCGCTGGCACAGTTTCAATGCTGAAGCTGCCCACTGAGTTACAAAAATGAATTGTTGGGGCTTCATCTTGTTATTGTCTGTTGAATGTGGCCTAGAAAACATTGATCAGATTTCATCCCTATATGATGTGCACAGAAGTATTCTCGGTATGGTGTAGACCCCCTTAAGATTGACAATTGACACAACCTGGATCCCCATCTCCATCTGAAAGGATAACTTGCCATCTTGTATCCATAACTTGGCCAGCCTTTTTGTTCCTAAATACTAGGTGCTATGAGTATAGCAAAATCTGGTGACCTACAAGGAACTGGCCATTTTTTTCTTAGACTCTCATTTTCCAGTGCAGGGCTCTGTGTGGGGGAGACAGAGTGATTGGGTGAAGGGAAACTCAGTGTCTGGAGGTTCACACCAAAAAGAAAGCCCACACACATTGCCCAAGCTTGAAGGGCTGACCCCTCCTGGTCTTAATCTCAGACCGTTTTCCCACATCGCAGACTGCATGGAAGTATAGGAAAGGGAGATTTGGTCTCCTCTATTTCTTACCGCTTTCTATACCTCCACGGATACATAAAAAGAACATCATGTACCACAGATATGTACTCTCACATACATCTGTTTGGTTGATGGTACCACAGAATCATCAATATTTCCCTCACTTTAGAACTTGATCCTAGGTCTCCCTCTGCCTTGGCTCATACAAGGCCAGAAATCTCAGAGCTACAAACCAGTGTGTTCATTTGCTTGGGGGCAATGTGTGCAGCACAAACAGTACTGGATTTGGAGTCAGCAATCCAGGATCAAAGCCATGCTTCACCACCTCCTGGTTATGTGACTTAGGACAAGTCACTCACTGTTTCTCGGCCTTGCTTCCCTTTCCTATTGATATGGTTTGGATTTGTGTCCCTGCCCAAATCTCATGTTCAGTTGCAATCCCGAGCGTTGGAGGTGGAGACTGCTGGGAGGTGATTGGATCATGGGGGCAGATTCTCATGAGTGGTTAGCACCATTCCCTCGGTGCTGCCCTCATGATAGTGAGGGAGTGAGTTCTCACGAGAACTGGTTGTTTAAAGTGTGTGGCACCTCCCTTCCTTGCTTTCTCTCTGGCTCCTGCTCTGGCCACGTGACTTTCTGGCTCCCCCTTCACTTTCCACCATGATTGTAAGTTTCCTGAAGCCTCCCCAGAAGTCAAGCAGATGCTGGCATCATGCTTCCTGTACAGCCTGCATGAGCCAGTTAAACCTCTTTATAAATTACCCAGTCTCAGATATTTCATTCTAGCAATGCAAGAATGGACTAATACACCTGTTCAGTGTGGACATGACCTACCCTGAGTTCTTCATAGAATATTGCAAAACCTATACAACACATAAAAGGTATGCTCCTTTCATATATAAAATTTCATATATAAAAATTATACATTTACTATAGAAATTCAAAAAACAAAATTTCATATATAAAAATTATACATTTACTATAGAAATTCAAAAAACAAAACACTTCACAGTCCTACCACCCAGTTGATTATGTCCTTCCAGTCTTTTCTGTGCATAATGTGTGTGTATATGGATGTATGGGTATGCATGCATGTATGTATACATATATATTTAATGTATTTAAATGTGCTATCCACTTCATGCTGCCTTGTGATTTCTTTTTTAACTGATCACATTGTTCCATGTTTTATTTATTTATTTTTTGAGATGAAGTCTTGCTCAGTCACCCAGGCTGGTGTGCAGTGGCACAATCTCAGCTCACTGCAACCTCTACCTCCTGGGTTCAAGCGATTCTTCTGCCTCAGCCTCCCAAGTAGCTGGGACTATAGGCATGGGCCACCACGCCCAGCTAACTTTTATACTGTAGTAGAGACAAGGTTTCACTATGTTGGCCAGACTGGTCTCGAACTCCTGACCTCAGGTGATCCGCCTGCCTTGGTGGGATTACAGGCATGAGCCACCACGCCCGGCCTGTTCCATGTTTTAAAATATTCTACAACTTTATTGGTAGTGACTACTCTATATGTATGAATGTAACATTGTTTATTTAACCATATCTCTGCTTTTTGCAATTAGAGAGATGGCCATTATTCTTATACAAATTAAATCCTTTTTACAGCTCCTAAAATTAGATATACATGATAAAAATGAATGTATCTTTAGAGTATTTGGTGCATATTGACATAGTGCCTTTTAGGGAAGTTTACCCATTTATATTCCCAATATATGATAATGCTCTTCCCCTACACCTTTGCCAGCACTGAAAGTTGTTATTCTTTTTAATCCATGCTAATTTGAAAGATATAAGATGATTTCATTGTTTAATTTGAATTTCTTTGAGTACTAGTAAGATTAAACTTTTTAGTCATTTATAATTGCATATACATAAGCTTATATGTATTTATACATATATGTGTAATTATGTCATATATTCATGTTTATGCACCATTTATATTTTATTTTCTTCTCTGTTTTGTCTGTATGTGTTCTGTACTCAGTTATAGATTTAAATATTTATCAATGATTTATAAGAGCTCTTTATATATTATAGTTTTGAATCCTTTGACTTATATTGGGCAAATATATTCCCTGGATTGTTATTTGCCTTTTAATTTTTGTCAGAAAAGTAGAAAACTTTTTAATTTTTATATATTCAAATTTACCAATGTTTCTCTTTGTAATCTTACCTTAGAATCATGCTTAAAAAGATTGTCTCCTTTCCAAGATTATGCTACCCCAATAACTTCCTGGTTATGGTGTGCTTTTTTTTAATATAGTTAACTCTTTAGTATTTTACAATCTACTCGATGAATTGAACTTTTTCTCTCTAAACAGTTTAGTAGTTTACCTGAAACCATTTTCTGAATACTCTAGTATTTCCCTGCTGATTTGAAATGTCACCCAGATCATTAAAAATCATTTGCAGCAAGTTACAATTACTAAGAAAGCCACAGGCCATTTATTGTGAGGATAGTGGGGCCTATTGAATCATCAAGGAGGCTAGAGATCAGGCTTGAAAACTGGCTGGTTCTAAGGAAGCTTCTTCTGTTGGCTCAGAAATCTGACTGAGACTGGGGCCTACAGTGGGAACCCTGAACTTGCCAGGGTGCAGTTCTGCAGGAGTGGACAATTCCTATGGTTCTTTACCTCTGGGTCTGTTTGCATTAGAGTCAAAGAGCTGGGAGGGAGTGTTTAATTGGATACAGGAGGATGATAATTTGCTTACCTGTCCTACCAGACTGAATTCAGTCACACATGGGCTACTTTTTTTTTTACAGACATACCGGAAACAAAGTTGGCTGCTATTAAGCAGGGTTGGGGGAGGGAAGCTGGACATGTATGCTGGGTGGTGAAGAAACAACCAATATCAACTCTGCCAGTGTTATCATTGCATGCACACATGCGCACACAGATAGTAGTGCCCATTTGTCTATTTCTGGACTTTTTATTCATATTCATTCAACATTCATATGTCTGTTTATTCATATTCCAGAGCAATACCACTTAAATTACCTTGACTTTATAATCTATTTTTATACATGGTAGGACAAGTTCTACCCCTTACCCCATCCCGGACTTTTAATCTATTTCTTTAAAATGTTCTTGCCTGGTTTTAAATGTTTAGTCTTCTAGATGCACTTTGATTTTCTTTTGCCAAGACTTGGAAAGAATGGATTTGAGATTTGAATTGGCATCATATTAAATTTGTAGATTACTTTGAGGGAAAATTAAAACATCTAAACAATACCATGTCTTTCCATTCCAGAACATACAGTGTATGCTTTGATTTATCCAAATTCTTTTCAACTTCTTCACTCCAGTTTTTGTTTTTCTTTAGGATACCTACTACATTTCCATATGTTTGTGTGGTGATTGTGTTTTTTTCTCTGCATAATTTAAGACTAGCTAGTGTTCTCTGCATAAAAAGGATATCTAAACTAAAGTCAATCTTTTATTCTGGGCTCCTAGCACCTCCCCTTCCTGCTACAGGGTTTTGCGTGTGTGTGTGTGTGTGTGTGTGTGTGTGTGTGTGTGTGTGTGCCTTTCCAGTCATCATCTGCACATATTTTTGTTTATGGATTTTTTTTTACACACGTGGGCTACTCAACATGGATTTTGTAGTCAACCATGTAGCCTGGTGACATTTTCACATCAGCACTTGGAGGTCTTCTCTGCTGTTAAACAGGGAGTAGCGGATAATTCCACTGGATGGATGTGTGATAATTCATATAACCACCCCTTAATGAAGGATAAGTTAAAAGATGTTTCTAGTCTTTTGCTAAAATGAACATGCAAATAATTTTTTTTTTTTGAGATGGAGTTTTGCTCTTGTTGCCCAGGCTGGAGGAGTGCAATGGCGCAATCTCAGCTCACTGCAACCTCCACCTCCTGGGTTCAAGCGATTCTCCTGCCTCAGCCTCCTGAGTAGCTGGGATTACAGGCGCCCGCCACCATGCCCAGATACATTTTTTTGGTATTTTTTTGTAGAGATGGAGTTTCACTATGTTGGCCAGGCTGGTCTCAAACTCCTGACCTCAGGCGATCCACCTGCCTCAGCCTCCCAGAGTGCTGGTATTACAGGCATGAGCCACTGCGCCCAGCCTTTTTTTTTTTTTTTTTTTGGAAACAGGGTTTCACTCTGTTGCTTAGGCTGGAGTGCAGTGGTGCCATCACGGCTCACTGCAGCCTCAACCTCCCTGGGCTCAGGTGATCCTCCCGTCACAGCCTCCCAATTAGCTGGGACTACAGGCATGTGCCACCACAACCAGCTAACTTTTTTTGTATTTTTTGTAGAGAGTTTCACCGTGTTGGCCAGGCTGGTCTCAAACTCCTGAACTCAAACTATCTACCTGCCTTGGCCTCCCAAAGTGCTGGGTTTACAGGCGTAAGCCACTGTGCCCGATTGAATAGTATTCTTTGTACATATTCATTACTCAACAGATACTGAGTGGCTATTGCTGCTGCTTGGGGAACTGGCCTAGGTGCTGGGGGTGTAGCAGTGAACAAGGAAGGAATGCAAACAGATCTAGAGAAAAAAATCACTAAGACCGTCCCTGCAGTCAGAGCATGAGTGCACTTTAAATTTAGAATCTTATTCCTAAATTGCTCTCCAAACACAAGGCACCCCTTCACACCTTTGCCAGCAGTCTGAGCCTGTGCCTGGTTACCCAGATCCAAACTTGTGTGTTGTCAGAATTGTTTTTGTCTTCACCAATCTGACAAAATTGTACAATTTTATTATGTAATTTTCATTTCTTTAATTAAAAGTGAAGTTGAGCATCTTTATATTTGTTTATAAGTTGCTTATATTTCTTTATCTGTTAACTGCCACTTCACGTTTGTTACCTATTTTACTGTTATATTGTTGTTTTTATAATTTACATATTATATATATTATATACATATATATACTTCCTTATGTTAAGGAAACTGGCTATTGTTATATTGGTTGCAAACATATATTTTTAATAGTTTGTTATGCATCTTTTGACTTTTTGAATGGCATTCTTTGGGTATTTTCTGTACTCACATTGGTTTTATTCATTTACGTATTTTAACCCTTTTGATTGCTGGGTTATGTGTTTTTCCTAGAAAAGCCTTTCCCACTCCAAGATTATAAATAATTTTCTACTATCCCCTCAGTATTTTCGGGTTTTATTTTTTAAATATTTATGTGTTTTATCGATCTAGGATTTATTTTGTTATAAATGTTACTACACTTTTATAGTTTTCTAAAATATACATATGAACTTTCCATGTTTCAAATTTAGTCCTAGGTATTGTAAATATTTTCTTGCTCTGGTGGATGCCTGTTTTAGTTATTATTTTATACTGAAGAGGCTACTCGCCGCATGTAAGACTTTTTGCAGTTTTTTATTACTTGCATTGAACTGTACAAGCAGTTGAATGTACACCTGAATCTTTGATCCCATAGTTTGTCAGAGGAAATGATTACATTTTCTTCTGCTTTCCAGTATCTGTACATCTTGTTTTGCTTTTCTGTGTAGTTGCTGTGGCTAAAACTGTTAAAATAACATTGGATAATGATGTTTTGTTAAAATAACATTAGATGATGGTATTTCATCATCCACCTCTTGCTCCTGAATTTAATGAGAAGCTCTTAGTGACCCACCACCAAGCATGCTGCTGAGAGATGGTTTCTATTAGCAAATCTCCCCATTTGCTGAGCTTCATAGGACACAGGACAGGAGACACAGCAGGGACAGCATCTTCACATCACTGGGAGGTCCCGCAGCTCCATTTCCCTCACACCCACATGCGGTGTTCACTGCCTGCGTGGGGGAGACTCTCACTGAGAAGCCACAGTTCACTTTTCCATCAGTTGTTTTTATAACACTTTTGTCTTCACGGAGGCCCAAGGCCTGCAGGCCACCACGCTGCTTCCCTGATCCAGGCGTCCTTCCCAGCACATGAGATGACCACAGCCTTCCATATCCATCTCAACGCTGCAGTGTCCGAGAAAAGGAAGCAGTGACCTGAGAGGACAGAACTTTTGGGTCATTTTTCCTGGCGCACATGCGTCAGCCCAGACCCGATGTGACCCTTCACTCACAGTGAGGATTTACAGGGAAAAAGGTTGACTAACACTGGAATTTTTTAACACCCTTGTTTTATTCCTGGCTTTCACAGGATTGCTCCTAATGGGTTACCATGTAGAGTAATGTCTGCCATCAGCTTCTGAGAGATGCCTTTATTAATGGGAGGTATTCGCTTCCATCCTGGCTTTCTAAGATTTTTTTAAATCAAGATGCATGTAAATTTTATCACCATCCTTTTAACATCTCTGAAGATGATCATATGGCTTTCCTCCTTTAGTTTATTAATGTAGTGATTTGCATTAATGGATTTCCTAATGCAGAATCACTTTTGCATTGCAGAAATAGGCAATGGTCCTGGTGCTGAGAAGGTATACATTAGGCTGCATTCACTTTGTTAATATATTATTTAAGAGTTTTGCATCAACATTCAGAAATGAGATAACCTACAGTTTACCTTGAGGTGCCCTCCTTGTCCAGTTTCGTCTTAGAATTATGCATACTTTAAAATGAAAGTGGAAGAATTTGATTTGACTTATGCTCTGAAACAGTTTATATAACCTGGGAATTATCTAGGTTTATTTTAATTTGGGGGAGGTAATTTGACTACTTTTAACGTATTTTCCCATGTTCATTATGTTATTCGTGTTTTCTTTCTTTTTGGGGATCATTTTTGTTAATGTCTTTCGAACATTGTATATTTCATCTGTTTTTTCCAATTTATTGTTATAAAGCTACAGATAATATTCTTTTACAGTTCAAAAATAAACATTTTAGCAAATCTTTAGAGATTCAAAGTAGATTAATAGTTCCCTAGAGCCGGGGGTCTCGGGAGGAAATGGGGAATTTGAGGGAAGGGTTGACTATGTATGTTTTTATTTTATTAACCCCTTCTACTTTCTTAATTCACATATTGTTAATTTTCCCCCTTTTATAGTTGAGTAACAGTAATAATACTGTATAGATTGGCATTGTTGATACACAGTGCTCTTGTGGACTTAGTTCCACTTGGTTTGTAATTTTCATTTTTGCTTTTCTCTTTAACCTAATCATCGCTCAGATTGATGTCCTTAACTTTTTAGGTAGTTAGACTTTTTGGTTTTTTGCTTTCCTTTTACTGTTAATTTCTAACGTCATTGCATGAGAACATGTGGCCCCTAATTTCTACTTTTTACAATCCACTAAAATTTTCTGTAACTTTGTATAGGAATAGTTTTTGGATGTATTTTGTGGGTTTTTGTTAAATACAACAAAACATGGATTCCCAGCTTGTTGTGATCAAAATGTATTCACATATTTGTGTGTCTGTGTGTGTGTGTTCATGGCGAGAGAGCTTCTTACAACATAAACTCAGCCACGTGCTTCCCACTGGACTCGGAGCGCTGTCCAGCATCCTCGCCGTGGCGTGTGAGTGCCTGCTTTCATCTGGCTCCTCCAGCTTCGCTAGCCTGCAGTGGTACTCCTGGGCACCACGTCCCTGCCTTGCCAGCTGTGCTAGAATCTCAGGGTCTTTCTACTTCAGGCTGCCCCTGCACGCTGCACCACAGCTGTTCTTCCTCCCAGCTGGTCTCTAGGTGGCTCCTTCTGGACCTCTAGATTCCAGAGTCGGTGGGACATCGATGCAAGGGCCTTCCCTCAGCCCTCGTCCAAGGGGCTCCCCAGCTCTGCGGTTCTCTGAGCATTCTGTCTCTTTTTCTCCAAGCCCTGACATTTCCCCATCATTCGCTACATGGCAAAGCAGCACAAGGGAGAAGGCCATGTCTGTGCTGCGCCTTGTCCCACATCCAGGGCCTGGCACCATTCCTGGAGGGGAGCATGTGAGTGAACCACTGAGTGCCTCCCAACTGTTCCTGTCTGAAGAGCCCCTTAGGAAATTAAAAAGGCATTTTGGGATTTCAAGCAAACATGCTGTTTCACTTAAATTAATTAGAAAAGAGCATTATTGATTTTCAAATGCCCCTTAAAATGCCTCATTATATTTTAATTTGAGGCTCCATGCACATTAAAATATGACAGCAACAAAACTTTATTTAAAAAATGGATTTTTAAAAAATATACACGTTTTTTAATTTAAAAAATTCTTTTGGCCAGGTGCAGTGGCTCACGCCTGTAATCCCAGCACTTCGGGAGGCCAAGGCAGACAGATTACTTGAGGTCAAGAGTTCGAGACCAGCCTGGACAACCTGGTGAAATCCCATCTCTACCAAAAAATACAAAAATTAAGTGTGAATGGTGGCATGCACCTGTAATCCCAGCTACTTGAACCGGGGGCAGGGGGACGCAGGGGGTGCAGTGGAGGTTGCAGTGAGCCAAGATCGTGCCACTGCACTCCAGCCTGGGTGTCAAAGTGAGAACATGTCTTCAAATAAATAAATCATAAAAATACAAATAAAACAATTTTTTAGAGACAGGGTCCAGGGTCTCACCTATTGCCCAGGCTGGAGTGCAGTGGTGCAATCATAGCTCACTGTAGCTTCATACTCCTGGGCTCAAGTGATCCTCCCACCTCACTCTTCCAGGCAGCTGGCACTACAGGTATGCACCACCACACCCAGCTAATTTTTTAATTTTTTGTAAGGGTGGTGGTGGGGGGGGTCTCACTGTATTGCATAGGCTAGTCTTGAACTCCTGGCCTCAACTGATCCTCCGGCCTTAGCCTCCCAAAGCACTGGGAAATAAACTGATTTTTAATGACTCAGTTATTTCAATTCATTCTGCAGAAGTTTGGGATTTCCCATCATACTTTTCTTACTGTATTTTTAAATGAAAGCATAACAGAGGATGCTTTTGAAATGCAATTTAATGTAATATAATGCATTATATGGCTTGATGAATATTTGGTTTTAAATGAATAGAACTATTTTCCCTTTCTTTTTAAATATGAAATGAAATAGTAATAGATTCTCATTGTAAAAGATGCAAGAAGTACACAAACTGGAGCAAAACAAAGTCTCCCTCCTCTCTCTGCCTCCTACTCCCTACCACACAGGCAATTGCTTTATGATGTATCCATTTTTTGTGTATGCACATATATATTTATGTACATGTATATGTACACAGTCATCCAACTGTATAGTTTTATTTTTAAGCAAATATGCTTATACTGTATGCATTTGTCTGCAATGTTTTCCCTACTCAAAGTTCCATTTCATACATTGCTGTATATCTAGGGGGCTGCTTCATCTTTGAAAGGCAGCAGAGAGTACTTTACCCCTGCTGAGAAGCGGTTAGCCCATCCCCTCTGTTTTGCTATCGCAGGCCTGACCTCAGTGAATATACATTCTTTTTCTTCTGTAAATTTAGATATAGTCAGGCACTAATTTCATTATAAAGAAAACAAACAAAATCTTCATTATGATAGCATTGAATGAATTAAAATATTTTTCCTACTTAGCATTGTCACAGAAACTAGAAATTTAGGTGGAAAATTACATAAAAGATACGTATTTAACACATTTTAGTATATGTTTGGACATAAGCTTAAAATGTGCTCTTTGATATTTTTATACAAACCTAATACTGACTGCATGATGATCATGATGATGATGATGATATGATGGTCGCTAACTTTCCTGAGCCCTTGCTGTGTGCAGGGCACTGCTTGAGCACATTCTGTACGTTCATTCATTTACTTCTGACAACTATGCATGGGAGACAGGTAGGGAATCTGAGACCTTGGGAGTTAGCTGGCATCAGATTCCAACCTGTGCTGTTAGCCGTTCACAAATCATTATATTTTGGCTTGACAGTGCATCTTAGTCTGTTGTGTGCTGCTATAGCAGAATACCACAGACTGGGTAATTTATTTCTCACATTTTGGGAGGCTGGGAAGTCCAAGATTGAGGGGCCAGCATCTAGCCCGGGCCTTTTTGCTGCAATATCCCATGGCAGAAGGTGAAAGGGCAAGAGAGGGCCAAAGAAAGAGCAAGATATTGAACTCACAGCCTCAAGCCCTTTTATAATCAGCATTAATCCATTCCTGATGGTGGAGCCCTGCTGACCAAAGCACCTCCCATAGGCCCCCGCCTCCCAACGCTGTTGCATTGAGGATTAAGTTTTCCTTTTCTTTCTTTCTTTTTTTTTTTTTTTCTGAGACGGAGTCTCGCTCTGTCGCTCAGGCTGGAGTGAATGGTGCAATCTCTGCTCACTGCAACCTCCGCCTCCCGGGTTCAAGCAGTTCTCCTGCCTCGGCCTCCTGAGTAGCTGGGATTACAGGCATGTGCCTCCACGCCCAGCTAATTTTTTGTATTTTTAGTAGAGACAGGGTTTCTACATGTTGGTCAGGCTGGTCTCGAACTCCCGACCTCAGGTGATCCGCCCGCCTCGGCCTCCCAAAGTGTTGGGATTACAGGCGTGAGCCACCATGTCCAGCCAAACATTAAGTTTTCAACACATGCTTTTTGGGGAGCTTATTCAAACCATAGCACATAGGACTTTTACTCTAGAATTATACTGACAATTAAAAGAGGAGAGCATGAGAAACACCCGACAGCGGAGGGAAGGAATATATCTTATTTATTTTGGGGAAAAGTCATTCTTTGAATAATGAGAGAAACTGTCCCATACAGATAATTTTAAAGAATCTAAACCAGAGGTTGTGTGTCACAACAAAGAGATGCAAAACTAGTGTGTAGTTTTGTACGAAGTGTGAGCTCTTCCTTGCTGGCCACGTCAAGCATGTAAACGGGAAAAGTATTGTTTCCTGTAAGTAAACAATAAAATGATTTCTGTTGTGCTTACCCATTATTACACCAGTGTTTTTCTGACCCTAAGTCCTTTTTAATTAGATTCAACACACTGCAGGGACAACATGACATATCCTTGTCAGCTGTTTATCCTTGAAAGTCTGGTTAGCCCTGATCCCAGCTGTGCCTGTGATCTGCATACTAATCAAATGCCTCTCTCGACTTGCTCCAGGCTTTCTGGATACACATATTTACCTATGTCCCCCCCAAATTAAAGAGGGGTGTCCCTGGGAGATCTGACACCTGGCTGAGGGCTTTGATGGAAACTGATTGCTGCCTTCTTTTTCCTTGTCTGTTTGTGTTTCTGATTGGTGAACTTGACCTCAGCCTCTTCCCTGGTGTGTGCCTCAAGTATGATGCGTGGTTTCTGGGAGGTGAAGGCCAGAATGTCGCCCTTTTCCTAAAAGTAATTAGCAAAGGACTTTTTATACAACCCGGGGAACAGGTGTTAAAAAGAAATACAAGCATTTGGTGGCAAGGGAAGGAGGCATGATGAGCTTGGTTTTTGTAATTTTCACCTTATCCTTATTTCCACGTCTACCTGAGGGATGTGGAAAGGATTATGGTTTCCTCCCTTCACGTGGCATAAACATCTCCTGAAGCAGGGGTGTGCTGGAGCTGCCTTGTATTGGCTTGAGAGAGTGGCTTATTAAAATATTAGATTTTTTTCAAAAAACAAAACAATTTTATATCTCTTTATTGACATGTAAGTCATTGATGTGGTTTGGATATATGTCCCCACCCGAATCTCATATTCAATTGTAATCCCCAGTGTTGGAGATGGGGCCTGGTGGGAGGTGATTGGATCATGGGGTGGTTTCTCATGGTTTAACACCATGCTTCTTGGAGCTGTCATCATGATAGTGAATTCTCATGAGATCTAGTTGTTTAAAAGTGTGTAGCACCTCGCTCCTCTCTGTCTGGCTCCTGCTCTGGCCACGTAAGACGTGCCTGCTTCCCTTCACCTTCTGCCATGATTGGAAGCTCCCTGAGGCCTCCCCGGCAGCAGATGCTGCCATGCTTCTTGTATAGCCTGTGGAACTGTGAGCCAATTAAACCTCTTTTTTTTTTTCTGAGATGGAGTCTCACTCTGTCACCCAGGCTGGACTGCAGTGGCATGATCTTGGCTCATTGCAACCTCCGCCTTCCAGGTTCAAGCGATTCTCCTGCCTCAGCCTCCCGAGTAGCTGGGACTACAGGCACGTCCCACCAAGCTGAATAATTTTTTGTATTTTTTTTTAGTAGAGATGGGATTTCACTGTGTTAGCCAGGATGGTCTCAATCTTCTGACCTTGTGATCTGCCCACCTCGGCCTCCCAAAGTGCTGGGATTACAGGCGTGAGCTACCGCGCCTAGCTCCAGACTAATACACTCATGTATCATATAATTCACCCATTTAAGGTATAATATTCAGTGGTTTCTAATATATTCACAGATGTATGTAAACATCATTGAAGTCAATTTCACCTTAAAAAGCAACCCTGTACCTTTAGCTCTCACTCTCCTTCCTTGCCCCCATCCCTGGGCTACCACTAGTCTACTTTCTGTCTTTATAAATTTCCCTGTTCTGGACTTTCATATGAATGGAATCACATAATATGTAGTCTTTTATGACTGGCTTCTTTCTTAGCGTAATGTTTTCAAGGTTCATACATATTGCAGCATGTATCAGTACTTCATTCTTTTTTATGTCTGAATAATATTCCATAGTGTGGATTAAGCACATTTTGTTTATCCGCTCATCCATCAGTGGACATTTGGGTTGTTTCCACCTTTTGGCTATTATGAACAGTGCTGCTATAAACATTTATATACAAGTTTTTATGTGCATATATTTTCATTTCTCTTGGGTATATCACTTTTAATGGCAAAAACCACAATTGCTTTTGCGTCAACCTAATACCTCGGAATAGAATTGCCAGGTTACTTGGTAACTCTAGTTGAATCATTGAAGAAAGTGCCAGACCATTTTACGGAGCAGCTGCACCATTGTACATTTCCACCAGCAACGCGTGAGGGTTCCATTTTCTCTACATCCTTGCCAACGTTTCTTTTCTGACTTTGTTTTAAGCCATCCTAGTGGGTACAAAGTAGTATCTCATGATGGTTTTGAATTGCATTTCCCTGATTACTAATGATTCCAAGCATCTTTTCATGTGCTCATCAATCATAGGCAAAACAGTGAACCTCAACCTAAACCTCATCCCTTTTATAAAAACCAACCTAATGGGATTAAATATAAAATGCAAAACTACAAAACTTTTAGAAAAAACATAGGAGAAAAAATGTTGGTATCTAGTGCTAGGCAAAGAATTCTGAGACTTGACTCCAAAATCATCACCTATAAAAGGAAAATGTTAAGAAAAATTAAAAACCAGGTCTCCGAAAATCCACCTGAAGAGGTTGAAAAGACAAGCTACAGACAGGGAGAAAATATTAGTGAGCCACATGTATGCCAAAGGACTAGTATCTAAAATATATGAAGAACTTTCAAAATTCAACAGTGAAAAACAAGCCAATTAGAAAATGGGCAAAACACATTTCATTTTGTCAAAAGCTTCTTCCTTGTCAATTAATATAATCATGTAATTTTTCTTCTTTGGCTTGTTGATCTGGTGGATTTCATTGATTTTCAAATGTTAATCAGTTTTATATACCTAAAACAAATATCACTTGGCCATGGCATGTAGTAATCTTTACACATTGTTGGATTTGGTTTGTACATATTTTATTGTGGATTTTTTGCTCTAAGTTCACGAGAGGTATTGGTTTATGGTTGTTTTTCTTTTCTTTTTTCCTCCCTTCTTTCCTTCCTTCCTTCCTTCTTTTTTTTCTTTCAACTGTCTTTGTCTGGTTTCAGTATCAGAGTAATACTAGCTTCAGAAAATGTGTTGCGAAGTCTTCACTTCTAGTTTCTGGAAGGGATTATGTAGAATTGATGTTAATTATTCTTTAGGCATTTGGTAGAATTCTCCAGTGAAACTCTCTAGGCCTGGAGGTTTTATTTTGGAGAATTTTAATGCTATGAATTCAATTTCTCTTTTTTGATTTTAAATTTTTGAGACAGGATCTTGCTCTGTCACCCAGAGTAGAGTGCAGTGGCACAATCATAGCTCAATGCAACCTTGAACTCCTGAGCTCAAGCAATCCTCCTGCCTCAGCCTCCTGAGTAGGTAGGACTACAGGTGCATGCCATAATGCCTGGCTACTTTTTTTTTTTATGTTTTATAGAGAGAAGTCTCACTATGTTGCCCAGGCTGGTCTTGAACTCCTGGAATCCAGCGATCCTCCCATCTCAGCCTCCAAAAGTGCTAGGATTACAGGAATGAGCCATTGTGCCTGGCTTCCCAATTTCCTTAATGGTTACAGGGCTATTCAAATTATCTGTTTCATATTATGTGAATTATGGTAGTTTGTGTTTTTCAAGGAATTGATGCATTTTATCTAAGTTGTGAAATTTACTTGTGAAGAGTTGTTCATATTACTCCTTTATTATCCTTTGGATGTCTGCAGGGTCTGTAGTTATATTTTTGTTTCATTCCAGATATTGATAATTTTTGTTTTCTAGCATTTTTCTTGCTAAACTTCTGTCAGTGTTGTTGATCTTATTAAAGTACCAACTCCTGTTAAAAGTTTTCATATCAATTGTTTTTCTGTTTTTTATTTCATTGATTTGTACTTTTATCTTTATGATTTCTTTTCTTCTGTTTCCTTCGGGTTTTTGTTTTGTTTTGTTTTGTTTTTTTGAGATGGAGTCTCACTCTGTCGCCCAGGCTGGAGTGCAGTGGCTCAATCTCGGCTCACTGCAACCTCTGCCTCACGGGTTCAAGCAGTTTTTTGCCTCAGCCTCCCAAGTAGCTGGTATTACAGGCACCCGCCACCATGCCCAGCTAATGTTTGTATTTTTGGTAGAGACAGGGTTTCACCATCTTGGCCATGCTGGTCTTGAATTCCTGACCTCGTGATCCACCCACCTTGGCCTCCCAAAGTGCTGGGTTTACAGGCGTGAGCTAACACGCCCAGCCGCTCTTCTTTATCTAGTTTCCTGAGGTAGGAATTAGCTTACTGTTTTAAGAGCTTTCCTTGTTTCTTATGTAAGCATCTAGTGCTATAAATTTCCCTCTCAGTATTGCTTTAGCTGCACTCCACATATTTTGATATGTTTTGTGTCCATTCAGTTCTCTTGATTTTTTCTTTGAGGCTTTCTCTTTGATCCATGAATTATTTAGAACTGTGGTGTTTAATTTTCACATGTTTAGAGACTCTCTTTAAGGTAGCAAAGAAAAGCTAAGGTGTGGCCAGGACTTTCATGTTAAGGACAAGCAAGATGAAAAGACAATAGAAGGCAACCACGCAGATATCTTACAGCAAAAAAAGGTAAAAGAAGGAGTATACAAAATATCACAACCTGTAAACAGGACCAATCATTATTAAGTGCTTTTGGAAAACAGAAGCTTTCCTTATTTTTTTAAATGTTCTATAATGATATCAAGACTATAGAACTATCTGTTTTATGACACTTTGAAAAGATTCAGGTAGGGTCTCCCCTCCCACCTCGCTCAGGCAGAGCCATGTCTCGGGGTGGCTCCTGCCCACATCTGTTGTGGGACATGAGGAAAAGGTCCCTCGGGCTGGAGGACCTGTCCTGGCTGTGGGGCCACTACCTGGGAAGAAGAGAATTTATCTAAAGATTGAAACTTGAAGCAACCCTAAATGTGCATGATGGCTGTGTTAATACAATCTGTTGGAATGACACTGGAGAATATATTTTATCTGGCTCAGATGACACCAAATTAGTAATTAGTAATCCCTACAGCAGAAAGGTTTTGACAACAATTCGTTCGGGGCACCAAGCAAACATATCTAATGCAAAGTTCTTACCTTGCACAAATGATAAACAGATTGTATCCTGCTCTGGAGATGGAGTAATATTTTATACCAATGTTGAGCAAGATGCAGAAACCAACAGACAATGCCAATTTACTTGCCACTATGGAACTACTTATGAGATTATGACTGTACCCAATGACCCTTACACTTTTCTCTCTTGTGGTGAAGATAGAACTGGTAGGTGGTTTGATACACGCATCAAAACTAGCTGCACAAAAGAAGATTGTGAAGATGATATTTTAATTAGCTGTCGACGTGCTGCCACATCTGTTGCTATTTGCCCACCAATACCATATTACCTTGCCGTTGGTTGTTCTTATAGCTCAGTACAAATATATGATAGGCGAATGCTGGGCACAAGAGCTACAGGGAATTATGCAGGTCGAGGGACTACTGGAATGGTTGCCCATTTTATTGCTTCCCATCTTAATAATAAGTCCTGCAGAGTGACATTTCTGTGTTACAGTGAAGATGGTCAAGAGATTCTCATTAGTTACTCTTCAGATTACATATATCTTTTTGACCCGAAAGATGATACAGCACGAGAACTTAAAACTCCTTCTGCGGAAGAGAGAAGAGAAGAGTTACGACAACCACCAGTTAAGCGTTTGAGACTTCGTGGTGATTGGTCAGATACTGGACCCAGATCAAGGCCTGAGAGTGAACGAGAATGACATGGAGAGCAGAGTCCCAATGTGTCATTGATGCAGAGAATGTCTGATATGTTATCAAGACGGTTCGAAAAAGCAAGTGAGGTTGCACAAAGCAATAGAGGATGAGGAAGATCTTGACCCAGAGGTGGAACAAGTCAATCAGATATTTCAACTCTTCCTATGGTCCCATCAAGTCCTGATTTGGAAGTGAGTGAAACTGCAATGGAAGTAGATACTCCAGCTGAACAGTTTCTTCAGCCATCTACATCCTCTACAATGTCAGCTCAGGCTCATTTGACATCATCTCCCACAGAAAGCCCTCATTCTACTCCTTTTTAATCTTCGCCAGACAGTGAACAAAGGCAGTCTGTTGAGGCATCTGGACACCACACACATCATCAGACTGATTCACCTTCTTCTGTGGTTAACAAACAGCTCAGATCCATGTAACTTGATGAGCAACAGAGTGCGTGCAACAGGAGATGCGCTATGCCCATCCATCCATAGCTTTATTGCAGTGCATAAACTAAGCTCTCGCACACCTTTCATAGCATTTCATTTTGATTATGGTCTTATAGTCAGTATTTTGTGGACTAAATTACAGTAGGTGGTATTGTATACAAAAGGTCTGTTTGGCCTATACAAATTATTTTCTATGTAAGCTAATTTCTACCTTTGACCCTTGATGCCAACTTTGAACTCTCTCAGTATAACAAAATTATAATGGATATAAGCTATATCCATTTTTTAAATCCTAGATATCTGTCATAAAATCATGTAGAATTGTGAGTGTGAGGTTAACACTACCTTGTTGTTTATGTAGGATAAGTTATTTAAACACAGTAATATTCTGTATCACTAGATTGCTTTAGTAATGATACTTGGTTTTATGTCTCACTTATCTGGTAGCCAAATTCCTGATAGCTTTAACTAAAGAATACAGTTACAAACCCGGAGGTAAGCTCAAAAGCTATCAATCAGAAGCTCCCACTTCCACTTGCACTTTTCAATGTGGGAAAGTTATAGAGTCAATCTCCAAGCCTTGAATAGAGCCTGATGAAATAAACAGATTACTTGTTTATCAAGCTTTATTACTAGCAGATCAAATACAGCACAGAGAAGGATTAGCAGAGGAAGACATTCTGACATGAAGGGACATCTGAAAAGGTTGGAGATAGGAAGACTATTCAAAAACTAAAAAGGCTATTTAGGGTTAGCACAAATGGTTTACTATCTCACCTCAGAATTTAATGAAGTATTTTAAATATATTGTGACAAAGTATGATAAGTAATCTTAGTTAAGTCTTTAAGAATAACTTAACATGATATTCACTTCCTCTATTTAAAAAAGCAGATAGCTGGACGTGGTGGCACACCGCCTGTAATCCCAGCTACTTGGGAAGCTGGGGCAGGAGGATCGCTTGAGCCCAGACGTTTGAGACCAGCCTGGTCAATATAGCGAGACCCTGTCTCTTAAACAAACAAACAAACAAACAAACAAACAATTTAATTAGCCGGGTGTGGTGGTGCATACCTGTAGTCCCAGCTACTAAGAAGGCTGAGGCAGGAGGATTGCTTGAGCCCAGGAGTTCAAGGCTCCAGTGAGCTATGATTGTACCACTGCACTCCAGTGTGGGTGACAGAGTGAGACCCCCCATCTCTTTAAAAAAAATGAGACCCCCCATCTCTTTAAAAAAAAAAAGAAGGCAGATGAATGCCTTTATATATTTTACAAATGTTCCTTTCAAAAACTTTTTTTTAAATTAGCACTAAAGCCATAATATTTGGTTGGCTGAAAGTTTACATGTTAGATGACTCATATGTCAATAGTAACGCAGAAATTAAATATTGCTGTAGTACTTATTTGGTGTGAAATAGATCGAATTTAAACTATAGTCTTAGAGAAATATGCAGAAACTAATTTTAAAATCAATTAGAAAACTTTCTTTGTACTTCTGATCTTAAATTATTCCTTATGGGGCCAGGAGCGGTGGCTCACACCTGTAATCCCAGCACTTTTGGAGACTGAGGCAGGCAGATCACCTGAGGTCAGGGGTTCGAGACCAGCCTGGCCAACATGGCGAAACCCCATCTCTACTAGTAAACACAAAAATTAGCCAGACGTGGTGGCCCACGCCTGTAATCCCAGCTACTCAGGAGGCTGAAGCGGGAGAATCGCTTGAACCTGGGAGGCGGAGGTTACTGTGAGCCAAGATTGCGCCACTCACTCCGGCCTGGGCAGCACAGTGAGACTCCGTCTCAAAAAAAAAAAAAAAAAAAAAAAAAAAAAAGAAAAGAAAACTTATTCCTCATGGACCTGACATGAATTTCTGATCTTAAATTACTCTTTATGGACCTGAGATGACCTGTATTGCTATAAGGTTTTCCGTTCTTGACAAAGAAAGAATGAACGAATTGGTAAATTAATTTGCAAACTAAGAAATTAAGCGTTTTATTTTATATGTTTATTATAGAGGTATTAACAATGAAGAATAATTAAGGCAAAACACAACTATAGCATACTATATTAGACTACTGTTTATAACTACTCTATAATTAAAGGGAATTTTTTCCTAAGGATATATGGATATAAATACTATATCACTATCAGAGATTTTATAGCCAGATTTATATTCTCATTAATCACATACAATAATTTTCATAGCATTACATTGAATATTATATTCAATTTAAGTTGATACTTAATTTACATATGATATGGGATATGAGAGGAAGAGAAAAATTATGATTAACTCTCAGATTTTTTACATCAGTGCCTGGGTAGGGTAAATGGTAAGGCCATTTACTAGGGAGTTGAGTAGCTTGGAAGTAGAAATCAAGTGGTTCTTTATCTTTTGACTATGTCAAGTATGATATGCATTTTAATCATGTAAGTAGAGATGCTATGTAAGAGGTTAGTACTGAGTGGCTTTGGCAGAAGCTGCATCGTAGTAGACTATCAGAAATGTAGCTTTGTAATAAGATCTCTGAGCAGAAATGTTCTAATGGTGGAAAATGTATCTAATTAGATTAAATCCTGAGTTTTTACATACCTTTTTGTTCATCAGCATTATAACTTTTAAAGTACTAGGAACTTCACGTTGCAGGCTCACATTACCTAAAGATAACTTCTAAAAGTTAATAGAGACTGCCCACCACCATTTTTCTCTCCTAGACTAATGGAATAATCCCTTTACTAGTCTTCTCACATCCACTCAGGCTATAATCTATTCTCTACCAGCAGCCAGAGTGAAACTTTAAGATGTAAATATAACCATGTGATTCATCTGCCTAAAACTTTTTAATTGCTTCCCATAGCCTTTCAAAAGAACCCAAATCCATACCTTGGCTTACAAACCCTACATGACTTGGTTTCTATGTCAATAATCTTGTCTCAGGCCACTATCCCATCCTTCACTAAGCTCTTGCCAAATAGGCTTACCTTCATTTCTTTTAACACTCTAATCTCCTTTCCCTTTCAGATCCCTTGTACGTGCTGTTCCCTCTACCAAAACTACTTCTTTGTTGAGCGACTTCTACTCATTTTTTAAACTTACCGAGATATTATTCTCTCAAAAATAATATAACTTCACAATCTCTAGTAGGTCTCCTCTTTTTCTTCCTTTGTGACTTATTATTTTTCTTCATTGCATTTGTCAAATTTGTAATCATACATTTATTTAGGGGATTGTTTAATATCTACCTTTCTGCATATTCTCTAAATATTTTCATTTACTATAATTTCCTCTCTGCCTAAAATCATACGTTATGTGGTAAATAATATTTGTTAAATGAGTGAGTAAATGAATTCTTTAAGCAACTAATTATTTAAGAGCTGTAGGGATTACTTCAGCTTGGGAGAAATGTGATCAGATTTACGTATTGGAAAGATCATTTTGGCAACATTATAAATGATTGATTGGAAGAAATAAGATTGGAAACGCCAAGAACATCTAAGAGGCCATTGCTATAGTCCACCTAAGAGATTATGAAGGATCCAACCTAAGGCAATAGTGGTGAGAAGTGGGAATGGACAGATTTTAAAAATAGTTGAAAGGTTGAATTCATGGGACTTTGAGACTAAGTTAGAAATGAATGAGAGTATGATATCCAGGTGTCTTGACAGGGTGATAATGAACCATCAGCCAAGGTAGAGATTTTAGGAGGAACAGCTGATTTGAGGGGAGAAGAAGGTATGTGAGATTTTTTTTTTTAATGTTAAGTTTGAAGTGTCTTTGGATATCCACATGGAGAAATGTCACAGATGGTTGGATGGCTGTATGATGCTGGAAGTCACCAAAGTGGTCTGAGATAGAGATAAAGATAGTTTATAGATAGCAACTGAAACCATGGGAGTGGATGAGATTGTCTAGAAAAAGAGGATAAAATGAGAAGAGCAGAGTCTGCACTACAGGAGCAAGTAGAGAAAAGGATCTAGCTAATGAGACCAAACAGGAATGATAGAGAAGTATGCAGGGCAGAAAGAATGCCATATCCAAAGCCAGGAGAAAACAAGTACAAGGAGGGACAGGTTAGTAATGCCATGTGAAGCAATGATACCAACTCCCAAAAGGTCTGGGAAATCCTTTTTCACATTTGGCAACGTGATTGCTTTGACATTTTAGTTTCAGATATGATGTAGTGGAAGCAGAAACCAGATAGTAGTGGTTTGAGGAGAAAGGTTTGGGGAAAAAAAGGTAGAGACATTGGTATGTCTCTTTCCATAAGCTCAATTAAGAATTGAAAGATAGAGCAAAGATAATGTCAGGTATAGGGGGTGGTAGGTTCAAAACTGAGCATGT